>NC_000021.9:42915794-43212462 GCF_000001405.40 Homo sapiens
GCTCGATCTCGTCTCATTGCAAGCTCCGCCTCCTGGGTTCAGGCGATTCTCCCACCTCAGCCTCCAGAGTAGCTAGGACTTCAGGCGTGCACCACTATGCCCAGCTTTTTAAAAAATTTTTTGTAGAGATGGGGTTTCACCATGTTACCCAGGCTGCTCTCGAACTCCTGGACTCAAGCAATCTGCCTGCCTCAGACTCCCAAAGTGCTGGGATTACAAGCGTGATCCACTACTCCAGGCCTAAAAGTGGGTTTGGTTTAGTTTGTTTGTTTTTTTTGAGACAGAGTCTCGCTCTGTGGCACAGGTTGGAGCGCAGTGGCTCGATCTCGGCTCACTGCAACCTCCGCCTCCCTGGGTGTTTTGTATTCTTAGTAGAGACAGGGTTTCACTATGTTGGTCAGGCTGGTCTCAAACTCCTGACCTTGTGATCCATCTGCCTCAGCCTCCCAAAGTACTGGGATTACAGGCATGAGCCACCGTGCCCAGCCTAGTTTTGTTTTCTTGAGACAGCGTCTCAGTGGTGTGACCTCTGCTCACTGCAGCCTCTGGCTCCTGAGCTTAAGTGATCCTCCCATGTTGCCCATGTGAAAGAAAAATATTTTGGGCCCCAAAATCACTAAGGAAAAGTCAAGCTGGACACTGCTTAAGGGAAACCTGCCTCCCATTCTATTCAAAGTCACTCCTCTGCTCACTGAGATAGATGCATATCTCATTGCCTCCTTTGGAAAGGCTGATCAGAAACTCAAAAGAATGCAGCCTCCAGTGTCTCACCTTTCTGTGCCCAGCAAGCTCCCTCCCCGCTTGGAGTGTTCCTGCCTTTGCTTCAAGTTGTCCCACCTTTCCAGAAGAACCAAGGTGCTTCTTACATATATTGATTGGTGTCTCATATCTCCCTAAAATGTATAAAACCAAGCTGTGGCCCAACCACCCTGGGGACATGTCATCAGTGCAAGGCTCTTGCATTGGTTGGAACCCCGAGAGCGCGCCAACAGACAACATGAGGCGGTGTGGAGCAACATGCTGTTTTAATGAGCGCCTGCATGCAGACAGGCTGAGGCCTAAAATGGCATCAGCCCCAAGTGAGGATGGGGCAGGGGTTTTATAGTCCTCTGTAAACAGGAATTGTCCCAGCCTAACGTGACTGCTATGTAGTACCAGGGCGACCTCCCTCTTGATCTTCAGGGGGTACGTGTCTTCCAGCCAGCTCTCTTCCTGCCTCTGCTATCTTGCTGCTGGTGCAAGTTTGTACCTTGGGACTGGGCCTGAGGAGGAGGAGTTATTCATCCCGCAAGCTTTCAGGCCCCGAGGAGAATCTTCCATTCCTGTCTATTTGGTTATAGAAAAGGGGAAAGGGACGACTTTCTCAATAACTACTTCAGGCGTGACATAGGGGTGGCGTGGGCACCTTGGAAAAAGAAAAACTTAATTTTTGGGGTATTCTTGAGAGACGGGTTGGTATCCATCGTGCCGCTGTAGCAGGAGCATCATCTGGATTGTCAGGAGGTTAACTGTAGTTTCAACAAGAGTTTTAATGGGATACCACAGGGGAGAAACAGGAGGACCCCAGTGATGAAAATGACTGTCCCCACCAGCATTTTAAATCCTCCTAAATTAGAGAACCACCCTCCTAGAAGGTTTGCTGGGTCCCATCCCTCCCAGGTTTGGACTGGTACACGGGCTACTTTTCTGATGTTTGAAGCGATTTCCAGAACCTCTTCTCCATTATTGCCTATGTTAAGACAGCAATTGGAGATGTTAAACTTACCACAGCCCGCACCCTCTTCTGCTAATAAGTAGTCTAGGGCCAGCCTGTTTTGATAAATTGCCGCGCGCATTTGGTTTTGTTGTTGCGCGAGCATTTCTAGGGCTGAGGCAGTTTGGTTAGTGATTATCTCTAGAACAGCTTGTAGTCTAATCGCTCTATTTGGCATATATATGGGAGTGCGATAACCCCATGAACCATCCTCTGCCCAAGTGGCAGGACCATAGTATTCAATGATCCGTTGCAGAGGCCACTCGTCCTCTCACAATCTTTGGCTCCCTCCTACCTCCAAGGATCATTTTTCTCTGGTTATCATACACAGGGACTCTGAGGGTGTTGCCCGCCTGCTTCGGAAGTAAAAAGAATCCAGGTTGAATTGTGCCTAGGAAGCAAGTACCTTGCCAGTGATAAGGTAGCTGTGAGTAAGCCTGGGTTCCCCATATCCACAGGAATCCGTCAGTGGCAGTCCATTGTCAGCTGGTGTTCCTAGGATTGTCGCATAGTACACTTAGGCGGAGGTATGCGGCATAAGGGTTAGTGGTGTTCGTACAGTACCAGGCCTTTTTTGACAAGACACAATTGAGGTAGCTTAAGTTAGAAGGAGACCAGGCTCCAGGGGGTAACCTTGGCCAC
Source organism: Homo sapiens (assembly GCF_000001405.40). Taxonomy (NCBI): domain Eukaryota; kingdom Metazoa; phylum Chordata; class Mammalia; order Primates; family Hominidae; genus Homo; species Homo sapiens. Next base: position 42,918,190 of record NC_000021.9, read on the forward strand.
CACTCAGCTATGGAGGCATTGACTGTTAGGGTTTGGTGACGGGTTTTCACCTACGGCGCGATGGGTTTTATCAGTCCACTTGCGGGATATGCACACCGTCCCTCATACTGGGTTGGTAAGTGTCCAGGACTGCGGGCATTCCTGAGGAGTGAAAGTGAGTCTGGGGTTTTGGGATGCCTGTAAGTAAGGGGGAATGTCTATCCCGTCCCACAGCCACTGTTCACTCATAAAGCTCCCCCGCATACCCAACAATTGGACACATTCATGGTAAGCACAATGGTTCTCCTAGATCTACAAACAGATTTTTTCCTGGCTTAGGAAGGGATGCATCTGCTTATAGTTTTTGTATAAAGGAATGGAAATGCCGCGGGCGATTTTCAGGGGGAGTTGTTGGTTTTGAGGCTTTGGCTTTGGCTATAATCTGTTCTCTCTTTATGTCCTCAAGCACCTGAGTGTTTACTCCCCATTGTCCAATTTTGGTGAAGCAAAGCCACTGCTTCCCTCTGGGGCAAATAGCCCCATTACGACTGCCACATACTCCTAGATTCTTTACTTTATAATAACTCTTTCCTGATTCAACACATTCCTCGATTAAGTTTCCATAACAGGATCTTTCTATATGAGTATGGTAAGTAAAGTATTGTTGCATCTCCCCTCTGTAGTGCAAAGACTGATAACACTCACGGCAGCTCGGAGGGGCTGCTGTGGACAGCAGGACAGCTACTGACAGTATTAGGATCGTGGTGAGGGATATTCCCATATTAAGACTTTTGGTTGGAAGAGAGGTATAGAAAGTGGTTGGGTAGATACAGGCCATTCCTGGAAGCACGTGGTTAGTCTTCCTTGTGTTTTGGTTTTAAGAAAAAAATGTTGGTTAATTTAAACTTGGTAGGAGAAATTGGCCCAGACAAACACTTAGCTGTTAATGTTTTGGAGGAAGAAGCTGCCTTGGGGGTGAGCTTGACCCTGGTGCGATGGATCCAGTTGGGGAGTCCTCGGACTCTCACTGCAGTTGGTGTGCTGAGTATCACAGTGTAGGGGCCTGTCCACTTCGGTGGTAGCTTTTTGTGAGGGTCAGTTTGGCCGATAAACACGTCTGTGCCTGCAAGACAGTTATGATGTTGAGAGGATAAGGAGGTGTCGGCAGGGAGAGGCATGGCCTCACTCACTGCTTCACGAGTGAAAGACCGTGTCTGGATTAAGGAGGGGAGGTAATTCCTGAGTGGCTCAGAGTCTGTTAAGGGTGGAGGCTCTAAGACAAAAGTTCGGCCATACATGATCTCAAAGGGACTATAAAAAAAGGCTGCCTTTGGTGTTGCCAGAGTCTCATGAGGGCGAAAGGGAGACTTCTCGTACACGACTGGCAGATTTCTAGAGTGAGCTTGGTGAGTTGGGCTTTAAGGACAGAGTTGACCTTTTCAACTTAGCCTGAAGATTGAGGCCGGTAGGGTGTGTGGAGAACCCATTTTATTCCCAAGGATGTAGAGGCGCCTTGGGTGATTTGGCTGATAAAGGCAGGCCCGTTATCGGACCGGATGGATGTTGGGAGTCTGAAACAGGGAATTATATGCATGTTGAGAGTTTGTGTGATGATATTTGCACCTTCTGAAGTTGTTGGGAATGCTTCTACCCACCTGGAGAAAGTACAGACAAAGACTAGAAGATAGTGGAGCCATTTATGGGGCAGCATGTGAATAAGTCTACCTACCAATCCTGCCCGGGTACCTTGCCCTGGGCTTGGTGGGTAGGAAAAGGCAGTGGCCAGAGGGAACCCTGGGGTGACATTGAGTGGCAGATAGAGCAGGACTGGGTGACCTCTCGAACACGGCTGGAAAGATGAGGACAAATGAGGATAGGGCAGAGACGTTGCAGGACAGGTTTGTACCCGACGAGGACAAATGAGGATAGGGCAGAGACGTTGCAGGACAGGTTTGTACCCGACATGGAAAGAGTTGTGGAGGCTTTGGAGGACAGGGATTGTTTGAGAGTGAGGACAGCGAAGCGCACTTCCTTGACATACCGTGGTCCTTGTTTTTGAAGGTTTTGGGCTTGGCAGTCCTCCTTTTCTTCTGGGGAGTAAAGAGGAGAGAACGAGGACAGGGAAAGAAACTGGCCTTGCACGGGTTGTAGGGCCATTTGTTTGGCTACTCTATCTGCTAAAGCATTTCTGGCCAATATAGGATTGTCTGGGGTTTGGTGGCCCCTGCAGTGAATGATGGCAAGTTTCTGCGGGAGCCTGGCAACCTGAAGGAGCTTGCTGATGAGAGCATTCATGACAGGGGTGTTGTTTGCAGTTAGGAAACCCCCTTCTTTCCAGATGGACAAGTGTGAGTGCACTACGTGGAACACATAATGAGAATCTGAATACATGTCCAGCTGCTCGAGTGAGAGCTCAAGTGAGGACGATGAGTTCAGCCTTTTGGGAGGTGGTTCCTAGGGGGACCAGATTAGCTTCAATAGTGTGGGTGGGTGACACTATAGCATAGCCAGCATGTTGGCATCCTTGATGTAGGAAGGAGCTGCCATCTACAAACCAAGTAAAGGAGGCATCTGGAAGGGGTTGGTCTGTTAGGTGTGGAAAAGGTAAGAAAAGTTTGAACAGTGTCCACACAGAAGTGTGCAGGGTCTTGGGAGGTAGTGGCTTCAGGTAAGAGTGTGGCCGGGTTTAGACAGGAGCTGGTTAGCACGGTGATTTGGGGGGTTTCTATGAATAAAGCATACAGTTGGAGGAGCCGTGGGGCAGAGATGAGACTTAGTACGCTGCGGTGAGCTAGCATGTCTTTGATGCTATGGGCTGACTAAACTGTTAGGTTGGCATCAAGAGATAGTTTTAGGCTTTCAAGGGTGAGGACAGCAGCTGCCACCAGTGCTTGGAAGCAAGCAGCCCATCCGAGAACTGTGGTTTCGAGCTGTTTAGAGAGGTAGGCAACAACCTGGAGGGCGGGTCCCTTAGACTGGGTTAGAACACGTAGTGCGACTCCATGCCGTTCGTCAGGATAGAGGGAGAAAGGTTTGGTGAGGTCTGGGAGGGTGAGGATGGGGACTGGGGTGACAGACTTCTGGAGTAGGCAGAAAGGTTGGGTAATAGGCTGTGCAGGGTTTAAAGGCTCATGGAGAGGGCCTTTAGCAGCTTGGTATAACAGTTTGGCTAGTAGAGCGAAGGAGGGAACCCAGAGCCTGAAATATCCCGCTAGTCCTAGAAAAGAGAGAATTTCTTGCTTAGTTTGCGGAGGCGGGAGGGACTGGAAGAGGGATATGTGGTCTGTTATGAGCCCTTGGGTTCATGGGGTAAGAGCTAGGCCTAGATAGATGACTGAGGGGGTGCATGTTTGCGCTTTTTTAGGGGATACCTGATACCCCCACTCTGCCAGAAGTTTAAAAGAGAGATAGTATGGGCATTGCAGTCTTTTTGAGAGGGGCTACCCAGGAGCAGATCATCAAGGAGAGTGGACGGTTTTAGGGATAAGGTACAGAGGTCATGATCAAGGGCCTGTCCAAAAAGGTGGGTGCTGTCTCTAAAACCTTGAGGTAGTAGGCACCAGTGAGCTGATGTGAAAGGCGGGTGCTGTCTCTAAAACCTTGAGGTAGTAGGCACCAGTGAGCTGATGTGAAAGGTGGGTGTTGGGGTCTTCCCACATAACAACAAAGAGGTCTTGAGAATCAGGGTGCAAATGAACTGTGGAAAAAAGCATCCTTTAGGTCTAGGACAGAAAAATGGGTGGTATTGGAGGGAATTTTGGAAAGTAAAGTGTATGGGTTAGGGACTACTGGACATACTGGGAGTACAGTTTGGTTAATGAGCCTGAAGTCCTGGACTAAGTGGTAAGTTCCATCTGGCTTTTTAACAGGTAGAATTGGTGTGTTTAAAAGGGAGTTTGTTGGGCGGAGGAGGTGACTGGCGAGGAGGCGAGAAATGATAAGCTATAGGCCTACAAGAGCTGCTTAGGGGATTGGATACTGCTTCTGTGATAGGAACTGGGTGGGGATTTTAAGGGTAATGCAGAAGGGGGTGTGGTGTTTTGCAACTGAGGGTGTGGAAGTATCTCAAAACAGCGGGGTTAACCATGGATGGGGGATAAGGAAAGGTTGCATGTTTTAGGGTGGGAGGTTGCAGGAGTAGAAGAAAGTTAGAAGCCCTGGAGGGGTCTGGGTGGATGCGTTGGGTACTAGGGGAACGTGGGAGTGGAGAGTGGTGTGGAGTTTTGAAAGCATGGCTCTGCCTAGGAGTGGAGTTGGGCATGAGGGCAGGACTAAGAGTGAGTGAAGGAAGGCCGGGCGCGGTGGCTCAAGCCTGTAATCCCAGCACTTTGGGAGGCCGAGGTGGGTGGATCATGAGGTCAGGAGATCGAGACCATCCTGGATAACACGGTGAAACCCCGTCTCTACTAAAAATACAAAAATTTAGCTCGGCATAGTGGCGGGCGCCTGTAGTCCCAGCTACTCGGGAGGCTGAGGCAGGAGAATGGCGTGAACCCGGGAGGCGGAGCTTGCAGTGAGCGGAGATTGCGCCACTGCACTCCAGCCTGGGAGACAGAGCCAGACTCCGTCTCAAAAAAAAAAAAAAAAAAAAAAAAAAGTGAGTGAAGGAAAAGGCATGAAGGGAGCAGAAGGGTGGAGGGGGGCTCGGGATTTGGAGACCATCAGTTGTCCATCAATTCCCACAACAGAGACCTGGGAGGACTCGGTGAGTCCTGAAAAATTAGGTAAAGCAGAGTAGGTTGACTTGATATTAATTTTAAAAACATACTGGCCTACCTGCCATTATCAGGGTTACCCTTGGCTCAGATGAGGCAATGGTAGTTGCCGGGGTGTCCGTTCCAGGGCACTGTCAGTCTTCAGCGGCAAGGCCGATGAGATCGAGTAGGTTTTGGCCGGCTCAGGAAGGGATGGAGGCGGTCCTTGCAGGGGCCGCTCACAGTCCGACTTCCAGTGGGGTCCTCTGCAGAGGGGGCACGGCCTGGGGGGCTTACCTGGGTTTGGGCATTGCCTGGACCGGTGGCCTTCATTGCCACACTTGAAACAGACGCCAGGTGCAGGTGGCTTGCTAGGAGGCTCCCGTGTGGAGCTGCGGCCCCGTGGGCCTGCAGGGCCTCCCGATGGCGGAGGCAAGCATTCGAAACTCTGCCTGTTTTTGCCTTTCACTTTCTTCATCACAATTATTAAAGGCTTTGAGGGCTAAATTGAGAAGGTCTCGTTGTGGGGTTTGAGGGCCATCGTCAAGCTTCTGAAGCTTGAGCTGGATATCAGGGATGGGTTGGGAGATGAACCGAAGGCTTAAGATAGTGGTTCCTTCTGGGCTGGCTGGGTCTAGGTTGGTATATTTTCTCATGGCTTCCATTAAACAAGAGAGGAAAAAGGGCTGGGTTTTCGTCAGGACCTTGGGTGATTTCTAAAAGTTTTTCATAGTTTACCGCTTTATGGGCACACTTTTTGAGTCCTGCAAGGAGACACACAATCATGTGGTCTCGATGGCAGCATCCAAAGGCCCCATCTTGATAATCCCAGTGGGGGTCCTGGCTGGGGACTGCCTCTGTGCCAGCAGGCTGGGCGGCAGCTTGGTGATGAATTGTATCAGCATGTGCCTGAGCTAGGGTCCAGATACGGTCCCAGTCTTCTGGGGTGAGCGTGGAAGAGAGGATAACGTAGAGGTCATGCCAAGTTAGTTCATAAGACTGGGTGAGGTACTGAAACTCTCTAATATAAGAGGCAGGGTATTCTGGAAATAAACCGAGTCTTTTGTGAATTCAAGAGCGATCAGTGAGGGAGAAGGGAACATGAACTCTAATAAGATCTTCAGTTCCTGCTACTTCCCGAAGGGGGCATTCTAGCACAGACGCTGAAGTAAGGGTGGGGCATGGGCCAAAAGCAATGCCTGAATGAGTATAGGCGGGAAAGAAAGAAAAGCCGGAAGTGGTTCCTGCTGAGGGTTTGAAGGGGGAAGGAGGGTTGAGTTAATAGGCAGCAGAGGATAGATAGGAGCGGAAGGTGGCGGGGTGGGTTTACAGGCCTCAGGAGAGAGCGGTGGGGGAGGAGAATGGGTACAGGCAGTGCAAGAATTGTCCTGAGGAGAGGATGGTGTAGGAAAAGAAGTGGATACTCTTGGAGGCAGTGCTGGCTGGGAAGACAAAGAGGAGGCTTAGGGGGTTAAAGAAGACGGTTGAGAGGAAGAGGCAGGGGCTGGAAGGGGTGGACAGCAGTTGGCTGGATCCAACAAGGAAAAAGAGTTAGGGTCGGGAGGAGAACGGCGATCAGGGCGGCGAGAATGGAGGGGGAGGATTTGAACAGGTGAGCAAGAGCAGAGGCCAGGTTGTAATCTGAGTGTGAACAAGGCCTGGATATAAGGAATTTCTCCCCATTTTTCCAGCCGTCAGCAATAATTGCTTAAGTCAGTTAAAATTGTAAAGTCGTATGTTCCATTTGTGGCCCATTTGGACCCACTGTCCAATTTGTACTGTGGCCAGACTGAATTGCAAAAAAAGAACAAGGTGCTTAGAGGGATATCTCGCCTGAGGTCTAAGGTTTGCAGGTTTTTCATGAGGCAGCCTAGAGGGCTGTCCTTTGGAATGGAAGACTGGGAATTTTCCATAATGGAGGGTAGGCTCAGGAGAACGGGAAAAGCAGACCGTCCTGGACAGCCGGAGGGAGACGATAAAAGGAGCGTTTGTCACCGCTGCCTTTTTCATTCCCAGAATGGGATCAACTGGCTTAGAGTCCCCCTAAGACCAGATGATCAGCGAGTGCCTGGCACACACCTTAGCATTTTTTTTTTTTTTTGAGACAGAGTCTTGCTCTGTTACCCAGGCTAGAGTGCAGTGGCGCGATCTCTGCTCACTGCAACCTCCACCTCCCGGGTTCAAGCGATCCTCCTGCCTCAGCCTCCCGAGTAGCTGGGATTACAGGGGCCTGCCACTGTGCCCAGCTAATTTTTGTATTTTTAGTAGAGACGGAGTTTCACCATGTTGACCAGGCTGGTCTCGAACTCCTGATCTCGTGAATCCAACGGCCTTGGCCTCCCAAAGTGCTGGGATTACGGGCGTGAACCACCACGCCCGGCCATGCCATAGCCTTCTTGGACCCATGTTGGATTTTGGGGCTGGAGAAACCAAGAGAGGCCGTGCGGATTTTTCCCTGTTAACCGGGCTCCCAGGAAACTTACCAGTAGGCGAGATCAGTGACCGATGTGCATGCACAGAGAGGCGACTAGAGGCTGAGGAGCTTCCTTTGTCCGGCTGCTGTGGCCTGCTTTCCCAGATGGAGGGGTGGTAGGTCCACTGGGGACGTGGACGGAAGCCCCTCGCAGGTTTCAGGGCCAGCCCCAAGGCTCTTGCATTGGTTGGAACCCGGAGAGCGCGCCAACAGACAACACGAGGCGGTGTGGAGCAACACACTGTTTTAATAAGCACCTGGATGCAGACAGACTGAGGCCTAGAATGGCATCAGCCCCAAGTGAGGAGGGGGCAGGGCTTTTATAGTTCTCTGTAAACAGGAATTGTCCCAGCCTGACGTGACTGCTATGTAGTACGCGGACGGCCTCCCCCTTGATCTTCAGAGAGTATGTGTCTTCCAGCCAGCTCTTTTCCTGCCTCTGCTATCTTGCTGCTGGTGCAAGTTTGAGCGTTGGGACTGGGCCTGAGGAGGAGGAGTTACTCATTCCCTCAAGCTTTCAGGCCCCTGGGAGAATCTTTCAATCAGGACTTCCTGAGGCGGTGTCACAGGTCCCTGCCCAACCTTGGCAAAATAAACTTTCTAAATTAACAAGAGACCTGTCTCAGCCGGGCACGGTGGCTCACACCTGTAATCCCAGCACTTTGGGAGGCCCAGGCGGGCAGATCACGAGGTCAGGAGATCGAGACCGTCCTGGCTAACACGGTGAAACCCCGTCTCTACTAAAAATACAAAAAATTAGCCGGGCATGGTTGCAGGCGCCTGTAGTCCCAGCTACTTGGGAGGCTGAGCCAGGAGAATGGCCTGAACCCGGGAGGCAGAGCTTGCAGTGAGCGGAGATCGCGCCACCGCACTCCAGCCTGGACGACAGAGCGAGCCTCCATCTCAAAAAAAAAAACCTGTCTCAGATTTTCCACATCCGCACCCAAAATGGCATCAAACTCCTGGCCTCAAGTAACCCATCTGCCTCGGCCTCCCAAAGCGCTGGGATTACAGGCGTGAGCCATTGTGCCTGGCCTCAAGTGGGATTTTTTTTTTTAATTCTGAGACAGAGTCTAACTCTATTGCCCAGGCTGGACTGCAGTGGTGCCATCTTGGCTCAGTGCAACCTCCATCTCCCGGGTTCAAGCGATTGTCCTGCCTCAGCCTCCTGAGTACCTGGGATTACATGTGCACGCCATCACGCCCAGCTAATTTTTTTTTTTTTTTTTTTTTTTTTTTTTTTGGTAGAGATGGGGTTTAGCCATGTTGGCCAGGCTGGTCTCAAACTCCTGACCTCAAATGACCTCAAATGACCTCAAATGATCTGGCCTGCCTTGGCCTCCCAAAGAGCTGAAATTATAGGCATGAGCCATCCGCACCTGCCCACAAGTGGGTTTTTTGTTTTTTGTTTCTTGGTTTTTTTTTTTTTTTTTTTTTTTGAGACGGAGTCTCGCTCTGTCGCCCAGGCTGGAGTGCAGTGGCGCGATCTCGGCTCACTGCAAGCTCCGCCTCCCGGGTTCCCGCCATTCTCCTGCCTCAGCCTCCCGAGTAGCTGGGACTACAGGCACCCGCCACCACGCCCGGCTAATTTTTTTGTATTTTTAGTAGAGACGGGGTTTCACTGTGTTAGCCAGGAGGGTCTCAATTTCCTGACCTCGTGATCCGCCCGCCTCTCCTGCCGAAGTGCTGGGATTACAGGCGTGAGTCACCGCGCCCGGCCAACAAGTGGATTTTTAAAGGAAAAAAGAGGCAGTTGCTAAATTCCTCGCCAACAATTTACATTAAAATACATAAGCGATTTATTGGCTTGTTCTTTGTATCACAAATTCCACAAATTTAGAAACGTGATTGTAATGAGTGAAGCAGGTATTCAGGGACTACATGGCTAAACAATTGCGCTGGGCATGGGTGGAGGGCACGAGTGAAGTCCCGAGCTCAGGTCTCTCTGTGCAAGCCTAGCAGAGCACAGAACGCTCTGGGCTATCTTTTCACCTAGGGAATACTGTGGGCGGGACAAATCTGGGGTTATAGACAAGCTGGGGACGGCTGTGCCTCGCTGGGGGACTGACACAGGCAGCCAGTGTGTGAGCCCAAAGCTTCCAAGACACCTCTCAGCCAATGTGGAAAGTTTATTTTGCCGAGTTTACAGACGCGCCTGTGACAGCCTCAGGAGGACCCGAGGGCGTGTGCCCAAGGTGGTCGGGCACAGCTTGCTTTCATACACTTCAGGGAGACATGAGACATCAATCAGTATGTGTGAGGCCGGCCGTGGTGGCTCACGCCTGTAACCCCAGCACTTTGGGAGGCCGAGGCGGGCCGATCACCTGAGGTCCGGAGTTTGAGACCAGCCTGGCCAACATGGTGAAACCCCATCTCTACTAAAAACAAAAAATTAGCCGGGCGTGGTGGTGGGTGCCTGCAGTCCCAGCTACTCGGGAGGCCGAGGCAGGAGAATGGCTTGAACCCGGGAGGTGGAGGTTGCGGTGAGCGGAGATCGCGCCACTGCACTCCAGCCTGGGTGACAGGGTGAGACTCCATCTCAAAAAAAAAAAAAAGGAGAGAGAGACAAAAGTTGCATTCTTTTGAGTCCTTGGTCAGCCTTCCACTGAATACACAATTGAGTCTGGCTCAGCGAATCTGCATTTTTACATAAACAATAGGGCAGAGGAAGCAATCAGATGTGCATTTGTCTCAGGGGAGCCTCAGAGGGATGACTGAGTTTTCTGTCCTTTGTCCACAAGGAATTTTCCTGTGAGCAAATTGTGAGGGACATATATATGCTCTTTTCTTTGTACCTGTTTTATTTAGGAGTAGAATGGGAGGCAGGTTTTCCTGACATGGTTCCCAGCTTGACTTCCCTTGGCTTAGTGATTTGGGTGTCCTGAGATTTATTTTCATTTCACAGGTGTCTTGAAACTGCCTTTGAAAAATGGTGACAGTTGGCTGGGCGCGGTGGCTCACGCCTGTAATCCCAGCACTTTGGGAGGCCAAGGTGGGTGGATCACGAGGTCAGGAGATCCAGACCATCCTGGCTAACATGGTGAAACCCCGTCTCTACTAAAAATAAAAAAAATTAGCCGGGCGTGGTGGCGGGTGCCTGTAGTCCCAGCTACTTGGGAGGCTGAGGCAGGAGAATGTATGAACCCGGCAGGCGGAGCTTGCAGTGAGCCGAGATTGCGCCACTGCACTCCAGCATGGGCGACAGAGCGAGACTCCGTCTCAAAAAAAAAAAAAAAAGAAAAGAAAAAGAAAAATGGTGACAGTAGGAGAAATCTGACAGAGAGTAGACTCCACCTTGCTTCTGATCTCTAGCGGCTCTTGCTCATTCCTGGGCGTAAACCAAGCTAACCATGGAGGAATTTCGTTTGTAATTCAACTTGAAAGCAAGGATGCTAATAGTCCTTTCCTGACACTAACCCTCCTCGCTCAGGGACCAAAAACTGCCTTTCAAAGACTAATGAAAGGCCACAAGAATAATATTATGGGACAGGCCTGAATAAATGTAGCTGTAATTTCTTTCTTTCTTTCTTTCTTTTTTTCTTTTTGAGAAAAAGTCTCACTCTGTCACCCAGGCTGGAGCACAGTGGTGCTATCTCGGTTCACCACAACCTCCGCCTCGCAGGTTCAAGCGATTCTCCTGCCTCAGCCTCCCGAGTAGCCGGGACTACAGGCGTGTGCCACCATGCCCAGCTAATTTTTGTATTTTTAGTAGTAACAGAGTTTCACTATGTTGGCCAGGCTGGTCTTGAACTCCTGACGTTGTGATCTGCCCATCTCTGCCTCCCAAAGTGCTGGGATTATAGGTGTGAGCCACCGTGCCACCCAGCAGTGTAGTTTGTTTGTTTGTTTGTTTCTTTTTTTCTTTCTTTCTTTTTTTCTTTCTTTCTTTCTTTCTTTTTTTCAGACAGGGTCTCACTCTGTTGCTTAGGCTGGAGTACAGTGGTATGAACTTGGCTCAGTTGCAACCTCCATTGCCTGAGCTCAGGTGATCCTCCTGCCTCAGCCTCCTAAGTAGCTGGGACCACAGGCGCGTGCCACCATGCCCAGCTAATTTTTTGTATTTTTTATAGAGATGGGGGTTTCACCGTGTTGCTCAGGCTGGTCTGGAACTCCTGGGCTCAAAGGATCCTCCCACCTTGGCCTCCCAAAGTGTTGGGATTACAGGCGTGAGCCACTGCTCTGGGCCTATAATCCTTTACTGCCCAGGAACAATATAGCCAGAGGCAGCTGGATTTGTGACTTCCTCAATTGCTCCAATAGATAACATCACTATTGTAGAACCTAAGATTGGCCTTTTTTTCTTTTTGAGACACTTTTGTCTCCCAGGCTGGAGTGCAATGGCACGATCTCAGATCACTGCAACCTCCGCCTCCTGGGTTCAAGCCATTCTCCTACCTCAGCCTCCCAAGTAGCTGGGATTATAGGCACCCGCCACCATGCCCGGGTAATTTTTGTGTTTTTAGTAGAGACGGGGTTTCATCATATTGGCCAGGCTGGTCTCAAACGCCTGACCTCAGATGATCCAGCTGCCTCGGGCTCCCAGAGTGCTGGGATTACAGCCGCGAGCCACCGTGACCAGACGAAATTGGTCTTTTGAGATTTTTTTTTCAAACTTTCTGGTGTGAACCCCAAATATATGAGACTGGTCTCAGTCAATTTAGGAAGTTTATTTTGTCAAAGTTAAGGACACATGCTGTGACACAGCCTCAGGTGGTCCTGATAATATGTGCCCAAAATGGTCGGGGCACAGTTTGGTGTGACATACTTCAGGGAGGCATGCAACATCAATCAATATGTGTCAGGTGTCCATTGGTTCGACCTGGAAGTGTGGGACAGCTTGAAGCAGGGAGAGGGCTCCCAAGTCATAGGTAGATAAGAGACAAATGGTTGTGTTCTTTTGCATTTCTGACTAGCCTTTACAAAGGAGGCAACCAGATATGCCTTTATCTTAGTGAGCAGAGGGATGACTTTGACTAGCGTGGAAGGCAGGTTTGCCAGGAGCAGTTCCCAGCTTGACTTTTCCCTTTGTGATTTGGGGGTCCCTAGATTTATTTTCCTTTCACATTGGCAACTGAGTGGCCCTACTGGGACCCGTGACTTGTGACCCAGCCAATCCTGTGGCCCCACCCAGAGGCAGACTCAGCACAGGAGGACTGTTCTCCATACCTGTAAGATTTTTCTTTATATATATATATAGTGGCACTATCACAGTTCACTGCAGCCTCCAACTCTGTGATTGAAGTGATCCTCCCACCTCAGCCTCCCAAGTAGCTAGAACTACAGGCATGTGCCACCACGCCTGGCTAATTGTTTTGTTGTTGTGGTGGTGGTGGTTGTTTTTGAGATGGAGTTTCACTCTTGTTGCCCAGGCTGGAGTGCAGTGGCACAGTCTCGGCTCACTGCAACCTCCACCTCCCAGGTTCAAGCAATTCTCCTGCCTCAGCCTCCCGAATAGCTGGGATTACAGGCGTGCGCCACCACACCCGGATAATTTTGTATTTTTACTAGAGACAGGGTCTCTCCATGTTGGTTAGGCTGGTCTAGAACTCAGGTTATCCACCCTGGCCTCCCAAAGTGCTGAAATTACAGGTGTGAGCTACTGCACTCGGCTGTTGTTGTTGTGTTCTTGTTGTTATTGTTGTTTTTGAGATGGAGTCTCGCTCTGTTGCCCAGGCTGGAGTGCACTGGCACAATCTCGGCTCACTGCAACCTCTGCCTCCCGGGTTCAAGCGATTCCTGTGCCTCAACACCCCCATTAGCTGGGATTACAGGCATGCCCCACCATGCCCCACTAATTTTTATATTTTTAGTAGAGATGGGGTTTCACCATGTTGGCCAGGCTGGTCTCGAACTCTTGACCTCAGTTGATCCACCCGCTTCAGCCTCCCAAAGTGCTGGGATTACAGGCATGAGCCACCACACCACTCCCTGGCTAATTTTTAAAAATTTTTTGTAGACAAGGGTTTCACTTTGTTGCCCAGGCTGGTCTCTAACTCCTGGCCTCAAATGATCCTCCCACCTCAGCCTCCCAAAGAGCTGGGATTACAGGCATGAGCCACAGTGCCCAGGTGATACCCCTATCATTTCATCTCAACCATTTAGCTGCACCCATCCTCTAGCTCCACGCCTACCAGATTGTCCATAAAAACCCTAACCTGCAAGCCTCTGGGGAGACTGATTTGAGTAGGAACTCCATCTCCCACGGGGCTGGACTCACATTAATTAAACTCTTTCTTTACTGCAATACCGCAGTCAGTCTCAGTGACCTGATGTCATCTATGCGGCAGGCAGGAAGAGCCCATCAGGGAATCATAGTCTTGCTGTAAACCTGGGGAGAAAGTGACGGATCAGAGGGAAGCTTCTTTGTACTTCTGAGTCAGTCAAGGCCTGACCCACAGATCCGCATGGCAGGATCCTTCTGGAGGCTCCCCAGGGCCACAAGAGCAGCTTCCTGCACCACTGGGTCGTCTGTTCCCATGATGCCAGCTCAGTGGAGGGAGTAGAACCACTGCACTGAGGGATGTGGTCCTGTTGCTCCGCACAGGCAGCCACTACTCTTTTTTTCTATTTTTTTAGAAATGAGTTCTCACCATGTCGTCCTGGCTGGAGTGCAGTGGCATGATCACATTGAGGGAAGACAGAGACCCTCTCATATTGTTTTATACTCAGAAAAAGAAAGAGAAGCGAAACTAAAGGCAGGTAGCCCGGTGCCTAGGAAGCAGACCCGAAACCAGGCCTGGGCCTGCCTGACCTAAGCCTGGTAGTTAAAATTCGACCCCTGACCTAGGAACTGATGTTATCTATAGATTCCAGACATTGTGTGGAAGGACATTGTGAAACCTCCAGTTCTGTTCTTTTTCACTCTGACCACCGGTGCTCGCAGCCCCTGTCACATACCCCCTGGCTTTCTCAATTGATCACGACCCTCTCACACGGACCCCCTTAGAGTTGTGAGCCCTTAAAAGGGACAGAAGTTGAGCACCCAAGGAGCTCGGATTTTAAGACGCTAGCGTGCCCATGCTCCCAGCTGATTACAGCCACTCCCTTCACTATCTTGGTGTCTGAGGGGTTTTGTCCACGGCTCGTCCTGCTACATTTCTTGGTTCCCTGACCGGGAAGTGAGGTGATTAATGGACAGTCGAGGCAGCTCCTTAGGTGGCTTTAGCCTGCCCTGTGGAACATCCCTGCGGGGGACTCCAACCAGCTGGAGCGACACGGATCCTGAGAGTGCTCCCGGGTAGGCATTTGCCCCGGTGGGACGCCCCCCAGAGCAGTGTGTGGCAGGCTCCCATGGAGGATCAATGCAGTGGCTGAACACCGGGAAGGAACTGGCACCTGGAGTCCAGACATCTGAAACTTGGTAAGACTGGTCTTTGGAACTTGCCCACTCCATTTGAGTGGAAGCGTGGCCTGATCACCCACGGCGTGCCTGTACAGGCACTTTGGTTTTGGTTTTGACTTGGTTTGAATTGCTTGACAGGACTGGTCTTGGGAACTTGCCCACTCCATTTGAGTGGAAGGGTGGCCTGATCACCCACAGTGTGCCTGTACCAGCACTTTGGTTTTTGTTTTTGACTTGACTTAGATTGCTTGATACTTTGGTTTTGGTTTTGACCTGGCTTGGATTTCTGGATACTCTGATTTTGGTTTTGATTTTGGTTTGGTGTAAACTGCAAAAGTGTGTGTGTGCCCTTTTTACCTGTTCTTTGTTTTGTGGTGTGCGTGTGGTGTGAGCGTGGTGTTTTGTCTTGAAGAAGCATGGGTGAGAAACAAATAAGCCCACCCTACTAGGAACTATATTGAAAATTTTCAAGAAAGGATTTGAGGGAGATTACGGTGTTACTATGACACCAGGAAATCTTAGAACTTTGTGTGAAATAGACCGGCCAGCATTAGAGGTAGGTTGGCCATCAGAAAGAAGCTTGGACACGGCCCTTGTTTCAAAGGTACGGCACAAAGTAACTTGTAAGCCAGGGCACCCAGACCAGTTTCTGTACATAGACACTTAGTCACAGCTGGTTTTAGACCCCTTCCCCCCAACAGTAGTTAAGAGAGACAGAAAGTCAAAGAGAGAAGAAAAAGAGAAAGAGAGAAATATACAAGTAGTTAAGAAAAAAAACAGTATACCCTATTTCTTTAAAAGCCAAGGTAAATTTAAAACCTATAATTGATAATTAAAGGTATTCTCCATAAGCCGGAAACACTCTAATACCACTTTGTTGTCAGTGTAAACAAGGGCGTATCCCGAAAGCATTGAGGCCTTCCTATCAAAAATCCTTAACCCAGTAACCCGTGGATGGCCCAGATGCATTCAATCTGTAGCGGCAGCTGCTTTGCTAACAGAAAAAAAAGTAAAAAAAAAAAAAAAAAAGGCAGTTGCAGTTTTAACCCAGACTGTAGGGCCCCTGCCAAGGCCAGTGGCCTATCTCTCAAAACAACTAGATGGGGTTTCCAAAGGCTGGCCCCCAAGTCTAAGGGCCCTGGCAGCAATGGCCCTGTTAGCACAAGAAGCAGATAAGCTAACTCTTAGGCAAAACCTAAAGTCCCCCCATACTGTGGTGACTTTAATAAATACCAAAGGACATCATTAGCTAATGAATGCTAGACTAACTAGATACCAAAGCTTGCTCTGTGAAAATCCCCGCATAAGCATCGAAGTTTGCAACACCCTAAGCCCCGCCACCTTGCTCCTGGTATCAGAGAGCCCAGTTAAACATAACTGTGTAGAAGTGTTGGACTCAGTTTATTCTAGGGGGCCCAACCTCCGAGACCATCCTTAAACATCAGTAGACTGGGAGCTGTACGTGGATGGGAGCAGCTTCGCCAACTCCTGCAAAGTAACTCTGAAGAAGACGACAAGCCCTGCTCCAGTCACACCCGGAAGCTGACTGGTCCACACACGGCCGAAGCATGAGACAACTCATCGCGGGACTCATTTTCCTTAAAATTTGGACTTGTACAGTAAGGACTTCAACTGACCTTCCTTAGACTGAGGACTGTTCCCAGTATATACATCAAGTCACTAAGGTAGGACAAAAGATTGCTACAGTCCTGTTATTTTATGGTTATTATAAGTGTACCGGGACTCTAAAAGAAACTTGTTTGTATAATGCTATTCTATCCAAGGTATGTAGCTCAGGAAATAACCAACCTGATGCCTGTTATGACCCATTTTAAGCCTCCCATGATCACAGTTTTTAGAATAAAATTAAGGACTGGTCATTTTCTAGGCGACGCAAGTAAAGTAACAGCTAAGACAGAAGAAAGATGGGTCCCCAAGCATATAACCCTAAAACTTAATGCTTGTGCCACTATCAATAGCAATCGGCATAGGATAAGATGTGGTTCTTTAAATTGAAAAAAAAAAGTTACACGGCAGGAAATAAGTATATCTGCCATGAATTAAGCTCATGTGCAACTGTGTGTAATTACTGGTCTTGTGTCATCTGGACTACTTGGAAAAAGGATGAAAAAATCCTGTTTAGCTCCAAAAAGGAGAAGGCAGCCCCGCCTGTATGAGTGGAAGCTGCAACCCCTTAAAATTAGTAATTACAAATCCCTTAAACCCAAGGTAGAAAAAAAGAGAACACATATCTCTGGGCATGGATAGAAAAGGACTAGATCCTAGAGTAAATATCGTAGTAAAAGAGGAGGTTCATAAACTCTCTCTAGAACCAGTATTTCAGACTTTCTATGATGAACTAAATGTGCCAGTACCAGAGACTCCAGGAAAAACCAGAAATCATTTTTGCAATTAGCCAAGCATGTAGCCCAGTCTCTAAATGTCACTTCATGTTATGTTTGTGGAGAAACTGTAATAGGAGATCAATGGCCATAAGAAGCCTGAGAATTAGTGCCTACAGACCCAGTTCCTGATGAATTCCCGGCCCAAAAGAAATCACCTTGATCATTTCTAGGTTCTAAAAGTCTCAATTATTAGAAAATATTGCATAGTTTAAAAAAGGAAAGAATTCACTCATTCTGTAGGATGACTTAGTTGCCTTGGACAAAAACTGTATAATGGTACCACAAAAACAGTTACATGTGGAGTTCAAGCCATACAGATAAAAATCCATTCAGTAAATTTCCAAAGTTGCTGACTGTTTGGGCCCCCCCAGAATCCCACTGGGGCTGGAGGCCCCCACTGGGCTATACTAGATATGTAGACATCCAGCCCATGCTAAGCTGCCTGACCAGTGGACAGGTAGTTGTGTTATTGGCACTATTAAACCATCTTTCTTCCTACTGCCCATAAGAACAGGTGAACTCCTGGGCTTCCCTGTCTATGCCTCCTGCAAAAAGTGAAACATAGCCATAGATAATTAAAAAGATGATGAATGGCCTCCTAAAAAAATTATACAATACTCATGATTGTGGGCGCCTGTAGTCCCAGCTACTCAGGAGGCTGAGGCAGGAGAATGGCGTGAACCCGGGAGGCGGAGCTTGCAGTGAGCCGAGATCACACCACTGCACTCCAGCCTGGGTGACAGAGCGAGACTCCGTCTCAAAAAAAAAAAAAAAAAAAATTATACGATACTATAGGCCTGCCACTTAGACATAACACAGGTCATGGGGATACCGGACCCCCATTTACATGCTCAACGAAATCATACAGTTGCAAGCTGTTTTAGAAATCATCACTAATAAAACCGGTCAAGCCTTGACTGTTCTGGCCCAGCAAGAAACTCGGAGAAGAACTGCTATCTATCAAAATACACTGGCTAGCAGCTACTTGCCATCGATCAATAGATCGACTACTTGCTAGCAGGCGAAAGAGAGGTCTACAAGAAATTTAACCTTACTAATTACTGTGTACACATAGATAATTAAAGACAAGTAGTTAAAGACATAGTTAGAAATATGACAAAACTGGCACATGTGCCCTTGCAAGTGTAACACGGATTCGGCCCTGGAGCCAGGTGGTTCCCAGCACTAGAAGGATTTAAAACTCTTATAATAGGAGTTATAATAGTAACAGAAACCTGCTTACTGCTCCCTTATTTGCTACCTGTACCTCTTCAAATGATAAAAAGCTTCATCGCTACCTTAGTTCACCAAAATGCATCAGCACAAGTGTACTATATGAATCACTAGCAATCTATTGTACAATGTAATGCCCAACCTTGTTCTTACTAACCCTGTTCTTAGACTCTCCCTTTCCTTTACTCACCTAGCCTCATTTCCACCTGAATGGACTCTCCCTTAGCTGAGAGAGCCAGACAGACTCCATCTTGGCTCTTTCCCTGGCAGCCCCTTCCTCAAGGACTTAACTTGTGCAAGCTGACTCCCAGCACATCCAAGAATGCAGTTAACTGATAAGATACTGTGGCGAGCTATATCCGCAGTTCCCAGGAATTCGTCTGATTGATAACGCCCAAAGCCAAGACTATCATCTTGTAATAGTCTTAAAGCCCCTGCACCTGGAACTGTTTACTTTCCTGTAACCATTTATCCTTTTAACTTTTTTGCCTACTTTACTTCTGTAAAATTGTTTTAACTAGACCCCCCCTCCCCTTTCTAAACCAAAGTATAAAAGAAAATCTAGCCCCTTCTTCGGGGCCAAGAGAACTTTGAGCATTAGCCATCTCTTGGCCGCAGGCTAAATAAACGGACTCTTAATTCGTCTCAAAGTGTGGCGTTTTCTCTAACTCGCTCAGGTACAACAACAAGAAGACATAAGTGGCAAAGATAAGAGTGAGAACTCCCACTAATAAAAAGTGAGAGTCTCAAAGCAGGGGAATGAGGTAAGAGAGAGACCCTCTCATATTGTTTTATATTGTTCTATACTCAGAAAAAGAGAAGTGAAACTAAAGGCAGGTAGCCCGGCGCCTAGGAAGCAGACCCGAAACCAGGCCTGGGCCTGCCTGACCTAAGCCTGGTAGTTAAAATTCGACCCCTGACCTAGGAACTGATGTTATCTATAGATTCCAGACATTGTGTGGAAGGACATTGTGAAACCTCCCGTTCTGTTCTTTTTCACTCTGACCACCGGTGCTCGCAGCCCCCGTCACATACCCCCTGGCTTGCTCAATCGATCACGACCCTCTCACACGGACCCCCTTAGAGTTGTGAGCCCTTAAAAGGGACAGAAGTTGAGCACTGAGGAGCTCGGATTTTAAGACGCTAGCCTGCCCATGCTCCCAGCTGATTACAGCCACTCCCTTCACTATCTTGGTGTCTGAGGGGTTTTGTCCACAGCTCATCCTGCTAAAACAGCTCACTACAATCTCAAACTCCTGAGCTCCAGTGATTCTCCTGCCTGTGAAAGGAAAACAAATCTTGCCCCTGCCCCCACCCCAAATCACTAAGCTAAAGGGAAAAGTGAAGCTGGAAACTGCTTAGGGCCAACCTGCCTCCCATTCTATTCAAAGTCACCCCTCTGCTCACTGAGGTAAATGCATGTCTGATGGCCTCCTTTGAAAAGACTAATCAGAAACTCAAAAGAATGCAACCATTTGTCTGTCTCCTACCTGTGACCTGCAAGCCCCCTCCCCGCTTCCTGTCTTCCTGCCTTTGCTTCAGGTTGTCCTGCCTTCCAGACCGAACCAATGTACTTCTTACCTATATTGATTGATGTCTCACGTCTCCCTAAAATGTATAAAACCAAACTGTGCCCCGACCACCCTGGGCACGTGTTGTCAGGACCTCCTGAAGCTGTGTCGCGGGTGCGTACTCAACCTTCGCAAAATAAACTTTCTAAATTAACTGAGGCCTGCCTCAAATTTTCAAGGTTCCCGTGCCTTAGCCTCCCGAGTAACTGGGACTACAGGCACGTGCCACCACGCCCGACTAATTTTGTTGTTGTTGAGACAGAGTCTAGCTATATTGCCCAGGCTGGTCTCCAACTGCTGGGCTCAAGTGATCTTCCTGCCTCTGCCTCCCAAAGCGCTGGGATTACAGCCACGAGCCACCATGCCCGGCCTTCTTTTTCTCTTTCCAGCATTGGCTTTGAAATCTTATGAAATCCAAGCGGATGGGAGCCTAAGCTAACGAGTATGTCTTGATGGTTTTAGTTCATCAGAACCCTTGCCAAGACTTTTATTTTTAAATGTACGGCTTAAAATATATCATCCTCGGCCCTGAGCCAATGAGAGGAAGCCAAGGTAAAACACTCTCTTCTCCAGGACATATGGAAAGTCGCTGCTGCCGGAGTAAGGGAGAAATTCTAGAAAGGACGTTCTAGTGCAACAGGCAAAGTTTCATGGCACCGACAGCTATTTTCCAGGAAAGAAGCTTTAAACTATGGAGTTTATGGAAAAAAAGAAAGGGGGGAAAAGACATTTCTGCAAACTGACCTAAGCCCTGGGAATCTGAACCTTCCTATCTGAGGAAAGGGAGGGGGGACTCCGAGGGCCTCTGCAGGACACAGGTGCAATGTTTACCTGCTGCTGTCAGTGAGGATCCTCTGCATGGAGGAGCCCTTCCTTGGCCTGAGTTGTACTTAAAAGCAGGCACTTGTCTTTCATTTTTTTGAGACAGGGTCTCACTCTGTCCCCCAGGCTGGAGTGCAGTGGCGTGACCATGGCTCACTGCAACCTCCACCTCCCGGGTTCAAGCGATTCTCCCACCTCAGCCTCCCAAGTAGATGGGACCACAGGCGTGCACCACCACGCCCAGCTCATTTTTGTATTTTTTGCTAGAGATAGGGTTTCACCATCTTGGCCAGACTGGTCACAAACTCTTGACCTCAAGTGATCTTCCTACCTCAGCTTCCCAAAGTGCTGAGATTTCAGGCGTGAGCCACCGCGCCAGCCCAGGCTGTTGTCTTTCTCATGGCTTTGAGTTTCCACCCTTCCTCCCTTTTCCTTGTGCCACTGAGCACTTTAAAAATCCTAATTGTGTCACCAGACGGGTTGCAAACTAAGGCATCTACTTGCGGGAGTCAGCCTAAGCCAGCTCATGGGGCTTGAAGTTTTCTTTGGTTTTTTGTTTCTTGTTTTTTTTTTTTTTTTTTTTTTTTTTGAGACGGAATTTTGCTCTTATTGCCGAGGCTGGAGTGCAATGGTGCGATCTCAGCTCACTGCAACCTCTGCCTCCCGGGTTCAAGCGATTCTCCTGCTTCAGCCTCCCGAGTAGCTGGGATTACAAGCATGCGCCATCAAGCTTGGCTGATTTTTTTGTATTTTTAGTAGAGATGGGATTTCTCCATGTTGGCCAGGCTGGTCTTGAACTCCCGACCTCAGGTGATCCACCCACCTCGGCCTCCCAAAGTGCTGGGATTGCAGGCGTGAGCCACCGCCCCCGGTCACAGTATTTTTAAGGTGTATTTTCCAGCATCTTTTGATGCTCTTCATACTTTTTTCAACCTTTCAGTTATTTAAGTGCATCATTCTCTTTCCACAATCTCAGCACCCTGAGGGTTTCCGCTTCTCTTCTGCCCCTTTGGTGAATGCTCTATTTATGATTCTTCTTGTAAAACTGAACACGTTGGGTGGCTCTTCCACTCAGCCCAGCTGGAGCTACACTGCCTAGAGGCCAGGGTGATCCTGGGATGTCACAAGCGCAGTGAAGGGACCCTTATGTTACAGGAAAGGGGTCCAGATCCAGACCCCAAAAGAGGGTTCTTAGATCTCGTGCCAAAAAGAATTCAGGGCCAGTCTGTAAAGCGAAACCAAGTTTATTAAGAAAGTAAAGGAATAAGGGAATGGCTACTCCAAAGGCGGAATAGGAATACGACTAGGAAACGGCATGCAGTGCTACTAGATAGTCAAAGTTTCAGATTTTTTAATTTATTGTTGGGATTGGGGTGTCGTTAGAAAAAAGTATGAAAAGAGACGGTTAGCAGTGCAATTGAAGACATGTTAGGTTAATATATAATGTATGAGTCTGTGTAACGGATAGTTTTTATTCATCATAAAATTCTCAAAAGACTCACAGATGTGTGGCCCTTGCAGCTGTTCTTCCCTTGCTAACAGCGTTAGGCTCTGACTCAGAGGAGTTTTGTGCCAAAGAATTCTGGCAGCGTCTACAGTTCTTGTGAAATTCCCAGTGAGGAAATCGTTCACTGTGAGCAGGGGCGATGATGACAAGACGATCCAGGGGATGGGGAAGGAGCCCAGGAAGAAAGAATACAGAGCCCCGGGCATGTGAAATGTATCAGCCTCAAAATTCTTATCTTTCTTTACATCTTTCTATTTACAAAGTCTTGTTTTTGTTTTTGTTTGAGATGGAGTTTCACTCTGTCGCCCAGGCTGGAGTGCAGTGGCACTATCTTGGCTCACCACAACCTCCGCCTCCCAGCTTCAAGCACTTCTCCTGCCTCAGCCTCCCGAGTAGCTGGGATTACAGGCACGCGCCACCACACCTGGCTAATTTTGTATTTTTAGCAGAGATGGGGTTTCTCCATGTTGGTCAGGCTGGTCTCAAACTCCCGACTTCAGGTGATTGCCAGCCTCGGCCTCCCAAAGTGCTGGAATTACAGGTGTGAGCCACCACACCCGACCCTGTTTTTGTTTTTTGACATGCAGTCTCACTGTGTCACCGAAGCTGGAGTGCAATGGTATGATGCTGGCTCACTGCAGCTTCCACCTCCCAGGTTCAAGGGATTCTCCTGCCTCAGCCTCCCCAGTAGCTGGGACTACAGGTGCCCGCCACCACAACCAGCTAATATTTGTATTTTTAGTAGAGATGGGGCTTCACCATGTTGGCCAGGCTGGTCTCAAACTCCTAACCTGAGGTGATCCACCTGCCTTGGCCTCCCAAAGTGCTGAGATTACATGTGTGAGCCACCGCACCCAGCCCAAAGTCTGTTTTTCTTGGCGGGGGTTGGCAGTCAGGGAGCAAATCAGAGTGGCCTATGCACAAAAGGTTGAGAACAGAACTGTGATTTGGAGAGGGAATTCTCCAGCCAGCGTGTCACAAAGCCGCTCACCTGCTCGTGTGAGTGTCTGAATGCACGTGTTTGAGTGTCAGGGGCGTGTGAACCACAGCAACTCAATCTTGAATAGGGGCTGGGTAAAGTGAGGCTGAGACCTCCCGGGGCTGCATTCCCAGATGGTTAAGGCATTCTAAGTCACAAGATGAGATAGGAAGTTCGCACAAGACACTGGTCATAAAGACCTTGCTGATAAAACAGGTTGCAGTAAAGAAGCCGGCTAGGGCCGGGCGCGGTGGCTCATGCCTATAATCCCAGCACTTTGGGAGCCCAAGGCAGGCGGATCACCTGAGGTCAGGAGTTCGAGACCAGCCTGACCAACATGGAGAAACCCTGTCTCTACTAAAAAGTACAAAATTAGCCGGGTGTGGCGGTGCATGCCAGTAGTCCCAGCTACTCGGGAGACTGAAGCAGGAGAATTGCTTGATCCCGGGAGGCGGAGGTTGTGGTGGGCCGAGATCGCACTATTGCACTTCAGCCTGGGCAACAAGAGTGAAACTGTCTCACACACACACAAAAAGTTATAGGTAGGACAATTTCCAGGTATGGTTGTTTTGCAATCAGGGCATCTCAGCGGGTCCACCAAATAGGAGGTTTGTCTCTGTGCCTGGATGGTTTCATTACTCATTCATGAGACAAAGAGCGGGAAGGTAGAGGGTCTGGGTGTGGCTTTGTCACAGGTAAACACTGGTGCCGGATGGGCACGGTGGCTCAAGCCTATAATCTTAGCACTTTGGAAGGTGGAGGCAGGAGGATCCGTTGAGCCCAGGAATTTGAGACCAGCCTGCACAACATGGCGAGATCTCATCTCTACAAAAATTTAAAAGTTAACCAGGCATGGTGGTGCATGCCTGTAATTCCAGCTACTCTGGAGGCTGAGGTGGGAAGATTGACCCAGCCCAGGAAGCGGAGGTTGCAGTGAGCTATGATTGCACCATTGCACTCCAGCCTGGGCAACGGGGCGAGACCCTGTCTCAAAAACAAAAACAAAATGTAGGATATAATAAATTCTTCTTCAAAGGTTTTAGCCTGTAAATTGTTTAGTACAATGAGTTCTGAGATCCTCTCCAAAGAACCAGTGCATCAGTATGTTCAGCTCCCCTGTTCTTTGTTCTTCATTTTAAAATTTAATTTCCTCTTTCCCTTCGTCTCCTAGCCCCTAGTTTCAGTGAACAGTCCCCTCCTAGCCTCTATCACCTGCTCTGACCTGAGTCATTCTGAGTCACCTGTTTTGTAACCATCCTTCCCGCCAAACTACTCACCCCGCCACTCCAGCTCGTACCCCTGCTCTCTTTAAAACAGCCAACTGGAATTAGCTTAGACGGTGCGGTCCAACCCTAGCTAATATGGGAATGACACAGCAGTAGGGGCTGCATGCATCAGGGATAAGAACCCCTTCCCTTCCCTTTTCAGATTTGCTCTCACCATTGCTCCACCCTCGAGGTGCACCCTCCTATAGAAGTAACATTGCCTTGCTGAGAAAATTAAATTTATGTTTGAGTGCTATTTCTTTGTGGCACCAAAAATTTATTTCTAACAAAAAGAAAGAAAAAACCAACACTGGTGCCATCCTAGAGTTCTGGGGAGTCATGAGCAAGTGCACACTGCGAGTCTTACTGAAGTCACAGGGGAGGGGTGGGACACAGTGTGGGGATCTCTCCAGGGCTCTGCTCTCTGGTGCACAGGGCTCAGGGAAGGCCCGGCATTTGGCAGTTGCCCAGTGACTCGGGGAAAAGAGGGATGGACCACACTCAGAACCCTGCTTAGGGCAGCAGAAGGATGTAGGCACTGTCCCTGGTACCCAGGCAGCAGGCTGGGCATTCCTTGGTCAATGTTTGCCAGGCACATGATAACCTAAGTGTGCAGGTGATGTTCAAGCCAGGTCAGGACATGGGGAACCACCTGGCTTCTCTCCAGTGCTTGCCATGATGTCCCAAATGAAGGTGATTTTTTTTTCTTTTTTTTGAGACTAGGTCTCATTCTTTTGCCCAGGCTGCAGTGCAGTGTCAAGATCACGGCTCACTGCAACCTCTGCCTCCTGGGCTCAAATGATCTGCCCACATCAGCCTCCTGAGTAGCTGGGACCACAGGCGCCCACCACCATGGCCGGCTAATTTTTTGTACTTTTAGTAAAGACGGGCTTTCACCATGTTAGCCAGGATGGTCTCGATCTCCTGACCTCGTGATCCACCTGCCTCGGCCTCCCAAAGTGCTGGGATTACAGGCCTGAGCCACTGCACCCAGCCAAGTGCTGGGAACCATTTTCTAAACATGGCCCCAGGATCAAATCCATTCCACACTTGCATGGGCACATGTGCCAGTTTTGTCGTATCTCTAACTATGTCTTCAACTGCTTGCCCTTCATTATCTATGTGTACGCAGCAATTAGTAAGGTTAAATTTCCTACAGACCTTTCCTTCAGCTGCTAGCAAGTAGTTGAGAGCTAATCTATTTTGACATATAGCATTTCTCATCTGAGCTTCTTGCCAGGCCACAATAGTCAAGGCTCTGCTGGTTTTATTAATGTTTATTTTTAAGACAGCTTGTAACTGTATGATTCGGTTGATCATGTAAATGGGGGTCCGGTATCCCCACGAGCCGTCTTGTGCCTAAGTAGCAGGACTATAATGTTGTATGATTCTCTCAGGGGGCCATTTATCATTTTTTCAATTTCTTATGGCTACGATTCTCTTTTCGTGGGAAGAATAGACAGGGAAGCCCAGGAGTTCGCCTGTTTTTTTGGGCAGTAGGAAGAAAGATGGTTTAATAGTACCAATAACACAACTACCTGCCTACTGGTCAGGTAATTTGGCGTAAGCTCTGTGCCTACATATCCAGTATAATCCAGTGGGGGCTGTCCAGTCCTGGTGGGACTCCGGGTGGGTCCACACAGTTTGCAACTTTGGGAATTTACTAAATGGATTTCTCTCTGTGTGATTTGAACTGGAGTTCACTGGAGTCCACCAAGTGACTGTTTTTGTGGTATCATTATACAGTTTCTGTCTCCGACAACTAAGTCGTCCTCTGGGGTGAGTGAATTCTCTTCCTTCTCTAGCTATGCAATATTGTCTAATAATTGAGGCTTTTAGGACCAGAAATTATCAGGGTGATTCTTTTGAGCCAGGAATTCATCAGGAACTGGGTCTGTAGGTACTAATTCTCGGGCTTCCCATGGCCATTGATCTCTTATTACAGCTTCTCCACATACATAGCATGAAGTGACATTGAGAGACTGGGCTATATGCTCAACTAATTTCAAAAACAAATTTCTTGTTTTTCCTGAAATTTCTGGTACTGGCACATTTAGTTCATCATAGGAAGTTTGAAACACTGGCTCAGGAAAGCGTTTGTAAACTTCTCCTTGAACCAAGATATTTAGTTGAGGATCCAGTCTGGCCCAATCAATTCCTAAGGTCACGCGCTCCTCTGTTTTTCTAGCGAGGGTCAAGGGGCTTGGTTATTACTAGCTCTAAGGGGTTACATTGTCCCTTAGTACAGGAAGGGCCATTTTTTCCTTTCTGAAGGTGGACTGGATCTTTTTCATTTTCTTTTTGTCCAAGTGGCCAAAATGACACAAGACCAGTGTTTACATTTATTTCCACACAGTGCTAATTTATGACAGATGTATTTATTTTCTGCCATATAGCCTTTTCTAATGAAGAGAACCACAACTTATTCCTAACTTACTACTATTAATGACAGCACAGGCATCAAATTTTAAGATGAATTGTTTGGGCACCCCTTTTTCTTCTGTTTTGGCTAACACTTCACTCGTATCATTTATGAGTCCACACCAGTCCTCAGTCCTTAATCTTATTTTAAAAACTATGGTCATGGGAGGCTCAGATGGGTCATAACACACATCAGGTTGGTCACTTCCTGGGCTACATACTTTGTATAGAATAACATTACACGAACAAGTTCTTTTTAGAGTTCCAGTACACTTATAATAACCATAAAATAATAGGACCATAGCAACCTTTTGTCCTACCTCAGTGACTTGATGTATACAATGGGAACTGTCCTTAGTCTGAGGAAGGTCATTTGAAGTCCTTACTGTAAAAGTCCAAATTTTAAGAAAAATGAGTCCCGCAATGGGTTTTCTCATGCTTCGGCTGTGTGTGGACCAGTCAGCTTCCAGGTGTGACTGGAGTAGGGCTTGTCGTCTTCTTCAGAGTCACTTTGCAGGGGTTGGCAAAGCTGCTCCCCTCCACGTACTGCTCACAGTCTACTGATGTTCAAGGATGGTCTCAGAGGTTAGGCCTGCTAGAATAAACTGAGTCCAACACCTTTACACAGTTATGTTCAACTGGGCTCTCTGATACCGGGAGAAATGTGGTGGGGTTTAGGGTGTTGCAAACTTCAATGGTTATGTGGGGATTTTCAAATAGCATGATTTGGTACTTGGTTAATCTATCATTTGTTAACCAATGATATCCTTTGGTATTTATTAAGGTTACCACAGCATGGGGGGTCTTTATATTCAGATTTTGCTTAAGGGTTAGTTTATCTGCTTCTTGTGCTAACAGGGCTGTTGCTGCCAGGGCCCTTAGACGTGGGGCCAGCCTTTGGAAACCCTGTCTAGTTGTTTTGAGAAATAGACCACTAGCCTTGACCAGGGCCCCACAGTCTGGGTTAAAACTCCAACTGCCATTTTTTCTCTTTCTGACACATAGAATGTTGAGTTTTGTCAGGTCAGGTAGCCTCAGGGCTGGAGCTGACGTGAGTTTTCTTTTAACTCATGAAAAGCTCGTTGCTGTTGGTTGTAATAGATGTAGTTTATCCAATCTACATTTTTATTAACTGTCACCTACCAAAATATTGACTCAAATCCTGCAGCTATTTGATTTCAAGCTTTAAATTGATCTGGTATTCCTCGTGGGACTCCAATTGCGTCTAAATAGACATGAGAGTTGAAAGACCCCTAAGGAGCTTCTCTCGCTTTATGATGTCTTATTGATGAAATGCCAGGGTGAAAGGGATAGCCAACCGGACTAAAGTACAAGTGCCACTCCAGTTATTCGGCAGAGTGCCCAGTAAAGGTCCACCACAATACCACCACACATCCGCTCAGGGATGAACAAGGGCTGCCTCATTGATAAGCTCTTGAAAATTCTTATGCTTCACTGCATCCTTTCAGGTCTCCAAGGAACACGAAGTTTCCTCCCTGTCATGAGAGACACGAAGTGAACTTAGTGTTGGGAGACGGAGGTTGGATGGCCCTCAGGGGCTGACCCACAGGGTGCTGGACTTTGGGATATAGCAGAGAGAGCTTGGCACGACTTATTACTCCAGGCCGTAGAATCCTGGAAAAGAGCTACCATGCAGCCCACACCTGGTCAACTGGAGGACCACCTTAGTGGAAAGGGGACAATCTGGGCCTCTGGCCTGCCATGTGCACAAGCATAACAATTGGTTTTATTTAATGTCAAATGGAATATTTGATCCATTTTAACTAGGCATTTGCATCTTGGTATCCTGTCTTAATTGATAAAGTTTGTTTTAAGTCTTTAACTTCTATGATCCTCTAGTAAAATGAATGTATGGTTTTAGGAAATTATAAAAACCGGTTGGGTCAGTCCGTCCTTGCTCTTTAGTGGTCCACAGGACGTTGGACCAACTATGGCATGAAAGCTCTACGTCAGGGGGCAAGACTCCTAGTTGGCACTGGGGTGTTTATTGAAATCTCCCCGGATTAAATGGTCCTCGTTTACTAATGCCCAGTCTGAGGAGAGTCAGGAGGGGCAGAGATACTTTTCTGAAGTAGAAAGCTGTCTTGGAATTGGCAAGTCCCCACAGGGTATAACAAGGCAAGAATTAAATGCAATAGTTTGAGGTGAAATTGATTTGATTATGTTAATAACTATATGGTCAACAATAGAATGAGGAAAGAAGAAAGAGTAATAGAGTAGATGAAAAGAGTTACATTTTTCTTAGCTTTAGTTTGGTAGGGTTTTCCCCTGGGACTATGGCCCCCACCTCTGGAGGGGGTGGCGCTTTCTTGACTTGGGTGTGATGAGTCCATCTTTTTTTTTTTCTGTAAAAACAGCAGTCTTGGTGGTTAGCAGGACAAGGTAGGGTCCTTCCCAGGCGGGCTCAAGTTTTTCTTCTTTCCACCCTTTGATGAGAACGTGATCTTCAGGCTGGTGCTGATTTACTGGAAATTCTAGCGGTGGTACATGTGCTAAAAGACTTTTAGTTTTTGAGAGAAAGGAAAGTGGAAGATAAACCAAGTATATAATTTTTAAGAAACTGACCTTTTGTTTTAAATGTGGGGACCTTGGCAGTGGACTTTATAGTCCTTAGTGTCTTTTTACTGAGAAATTTCCTTTAGCACCTATTTTTATTAGTTTTTAAACCAAAGAAAGCCAAATACCATTTTACATTTAACAATGCTTCTTGTATGATTTTTATACCAGATAAGCTAAATGTTATGTTTATATTAGTGTGTTATTAATGTTAAACCTAATTTTAATAAAAGCCTGTAGACATATTTATCTAATTTTTAATGTTTGACCGTAAGTTACGATTTTATAGACTCTTTTTAACCTTTCATAATTTTTGCTAAAGAGCAGGTTGGTGCTTTAAGAAAAACCTGTTATGCTTTTACTTTAATGTCTAGTTCACAGAAAAACTGGATGATACTTCTTTAACTTTAGCAAATATGTTTATACACAGAATTTCCTTTACAATTAATGTTTTAAAATTTGCTTAAACCTTCAAAACAATAAATTTTTAACTTTTTAATGTAGGTAAAAATGTACATTCTTATGCCTCCTTATAATCCTTTTACCAAAGATATATTTTACTTTTCTTATACACCTTGCACATAAACTGTTGTTTTTTTTTTTTTTCAATAGTTTTACATTCAGGAGGCCTAGTTACTTTTAAATTATACAACATTTTTTGCATAAATTCTTTTTTATAACATTTTTCTCTTTCTTGACTTTTGCAGACAATTCTTCCACATGCCTCAACTTTCTGACTTATTACAAATATTTCTTTCTTTAAACAACCAGTTAATTTATTTCAGGACAAGAATTTACCATATAATACTCTTTTTATATAAATTCCACCCGCCCCCTTTTTTTTCCTTTTTTTTTTTTTTTCCCTTAGGATACTTCTGAACTGGTGAGATGTGCTCACAATGAGGTTTCCTCTAAAAGTTATTCTTTTTCCCCTTTTTTTTTTTTTTTTGTTAGCGAAGCAGTTGCCGCTACAGATTGAATGCATTTGGGCCATCCGCGGGTTATGGGGTTAAGGATTTTTGATAGGAAGGCCTCAGTGCTTTCGGGATATGCCCTTGTTTACACTGACAACAAAGTGGTATCGGACTGTTATAGGGTTACGGAGAATACCTTCAATTATCAATTATAGGTTTTAAATTTACCTTGGCTTTTAAAGAATAGGGTACACTTTTTTTTAACTACTTGTATATCTCTTTCTTTCTTTCTCTCTTTGACTTTGTCTCTCTCTTTCTGACTTTCCTTTTGCCTCTGTCTCTTCCTCTCTCTGCCTCTCTCTTTCTCTCTCTCTCCTTGACTCCCTCTTTGTCTGTTCCTCTCTGTCTCTTCCTCTCTCTCTTTTCCTCTCTTCCTCTCTGTCTCTTTCCTCTCTCTCTCTCTGCTGCTCTTTCCTTGCCTCTGCCATCTGCTTATGCTGCTGTTCTCTCAACCGCTGTGTGTTGGGGGCGTGGGGTCTAAAACCAGCTGTAACCAAGTGTCTATGTACGGGAACTGGTCTGGGTGCCCTGGCTTACAGGTTACTTTGTGCCATACCTTTGAAACAAGGGACCTGTCCAGGCTTCCTTCTAATGGCCAATCTACCTCTAATGCTGGCCGGTCTATCTTACACAAAGTTTTAAGTTTTCCTAGTGTCACAGTACTCCATAGTCTCTCTTAAATTCTTTTTTTGAAATTTTCCAACATAGTTCCTAGTAGGGTGGGCTTATTTGTGCCTGACCTATGCTTCTTTGAGACAAAATACCATGCTCACTCCACACGCACACCACAAAACAAAAAAATGGGTAAAAAGGGCACACACACAGTTTTGCAGTTTGCACCAAACAAAAATCAAAACCAAAATCAGAGTAACCAGAAATCTAAGCCAGGTCAAAACCAAAACCAAAGTATCAAGCAATCCAAGTCAAATCAAAAACAAAAACCAAAGTGCCGGTACAGGCACGCTGTGGGTGATCAGGCCATGCTTCCACTCAAATGGAGTGGGCAAGTTCTCAAGACCAGTCCCGTCAAGCAATTCAAACCAAGTCAAAACCAAAACCAAAGTGCCTGTACAGGCACGCCGTGGGTGATCAGGCCACGCTTCCACTCAAACGGAGTGAGCAAGTTTCAAAGACCAGTCTTACCAAGTTTCAGATGTGCAGACTCCAAGTGCCTGTTCCTTCCAGGTGTTCAGCCACTGCATTGATCCTCCACGGGGGCCTGCCACACACTGCTCTGGGGGGCGTCCCACCGGGACAAATGCCTCATATTCGTTATATCCTCAGGGGATGTTACTTCTAATGTCACACGAGGTGTTCTCCCTGTGTTCTATTTCATAATATCCTAGGGCAATTTTACTTTTAATGACACCAGGTTGTACACATTGTGACATTATTCATGATATTCTAGAAAGATGTTGCTCCTAATGTCACAGGGGTGTAAACCCTGTGATAGTATTCATAATTTCCCAGGGGTCTGTACTCCTAATGTCACAGAAGATAACACTCTGTGACATTATTCATAATATTCTAGTGAGATGATACTCCTAATGTCACAGGGGGTGTACACCCTGTGCTATTATTCTTACTATTCTAGGGGGATGTTATTCTTATTGTCACAGGTGTGTTCCTTCTGTGATATTATTGAAAATATGCTAGCAGGATATTACTACTAATGTCACAATACATCTTGTGATATTATTAGTAATATTCTGGGGGGATGTTACCCCTAATGTTACAGGGGTGTACACCGTGTGATATTGTTCCCAATATTGTAGGGGGATGTTACTCCTAATGTCACAGGGGGTGTACACCCTTAGATATTATTTGTAATCTTATAGAGAGATATTATTTGTAATATCTTAGAGAGATATAACTCCTAATATCCCAGTGGGTGTACCCCATGTGT
This sequence comes from Homo sapiens, assembly GCF_000001405.40. Classification (NCBI taxonomy): domain Eukaryota; kingdom Metazoa; phylum Chordata; class Mammalia; order Primates; family Hominidae; genus Homo; species Homo sapiens. The sequence continues at coordinate 42,950,338 of NC_000021.9, forward strand.
GTACACCCTGTGATATTATTTGTAATATCCATGGTAAACATTACTTCTAGTATCCCACAGAGGGTACACCCCGTGATATTTTTCATAATATCGTAGGGAGATATTGCTTCTAATAACACAGTGGGTGTACACCATGTGTGTACACTCTGTGATGTGATAGCTTATATCCTAGGGAGATATTCCTTCTAATATCCCAGTGAGTGGACACCCTGTGATATCATTCGTAATCTCCTAGGTAGATGCTGCTGCTAATATCACAGAGGGTGTGCCCCCAGTGACATTATTCATAATATCCTAGGGAGATGTTACTCCTAATGTCACAGGGGGAGTGCGCCCTGTTATATTATTCATAATCTTCTATGGGGGGGTTACTTTTAAAGTCACAGGGGTGTACACCCTGTGATGTTATTCGTAATATCCTAGGAAGAGGTTACTCCTAATATCACATGGGTTATCCTAGGAAGAGGTTACTCCCAATATCACACTCCTAATATCACACCCTGTGATAGCATTCGGAATATCCAAAAGGGACGTTACTTTTAATGTCACATGGGGTGTACACCTTTTGAGATTATTCATAAGATCCTAGGGACATACTACTTCAAATATCACATGGGTGTACACACATGGTGTACACATTATGTGTGAACACCTACTGTGATATTATTCATAATATCCTAGGAAAATGGGACTCCTAATATCACAGTGAGTGTACATACTGTGATATCATTTGTAATATCCTAGGGGAATATTACTCCTAAACCAAAGGCGTGTGTACCCTCATGATAGTATTCATAATACTCTAGGGAGATGTTACTCCTAATGTCATATCACAGGGGTGCACACCCTGTGATAGTCACAGTATATGAGAGGGATATTAGCACTGAAGTCACAATGTGTGTACACCTTGTGATATTATTCATAATATCCTACGGGGATGTTACTCCTATTGTCACAGGGGGTGTGTTCGCTGCGATAGTATTCATAGTCTCCTAGACGGATGTTACACCTAATGTCACAGGGTGTGTACATCTTGTTATATTATTCGCGATATCCTAAAAAGACATTACTCCTCATGTCACAGGGGCTGTATACCCTGTGATATTATTCGTAATATCCTAGTAAGATATTACTTTTAATGTCACAGAGGGTGTACACCTTTTGAAATTATTTGTCACAGTTTCGTGGGCTGTTACTCCTAATGTCACACGGGGTGCACACTGAATGATATTACTTGTAATATTCTATAGAACTCTTACTCATAAATCACAGGTGTTCTACACCTTGTAATGTTATTGGTCATATTCTAGGGGACTGTTCCATCAATTAATGTCACCCGGGGTGTACACCTTGTGATATTATTCGTAATATCCTAGCAGGATGTTACTACTAATGTCACAATACGTATATACCCTCTGATATTATTCATTATATCCTCACGGATTATTACTCCTATGTCACACGGGGTGTACTCCCTGTGATATTATTCGGAATATCTTAGGGGGATTTTGCTTTTAATGTCACAGGGGGTGTACACATTGTGATATTACTCGTGATGTTCTAGAAAGATGTTACTCCTAATGTCACAGGGGGTGTACACCCTGTGATATTACACAGGCTAACCCCCTGTGACATTATTCGTAATATTTTAGCAGGATGATACTCCTAAAGTCACAGGAGGTGTACGCCCAGTGATATTATTCAGAATATTCCAGGGGGATGTTACTCCTAATGTCACAGGTGTGTATACCCTGTGATATTATTCACAATATACTAGCGGGATATGACTACTAATGTCACCATGTGTGTACACCTTCTGATATTATTCATAATATCCTGGGAGGATGTTACTCCTAACATCACAGGGGTGTACACCCTGTGTTATTATTAGTAATATTCTAAGGGGATTTAACTTTTAAAATCACAGGGGGTGTCAACCCTGGGATCTTATTCGTAATATCCTAGGAAGATGTTACTCTTAATGTCACATGGGGTATACAGCCTGGGTTATTATTTGGAATATCCTAAAGGGATGTTATCTTAATGTCATGGGGTGTGTACACTCCTTGATATTATTCATAATATCCTAAGGAGGTATTACTTTAAAAATCACAGTGGGTGTGCACACGTGGTGTACATCCGTGATATTATTCACAATATCTGACTGAGGTATGACTTTTAATATCACAGTGGGTGTACACCCTGTGATATTATTTGTAATACCCTAGGGAGATGCGATTCCTAATGTTACAGTGGGTGTACACTCTGTGATATTATTTGTAATGTCCTAGGAAGATATTACTCCTAATACCAAAGTGGGTGTACACCATGTGTGTACACTCTGTGATATAATCCGTAATATCCCAGAGAGATATTGTTCCCAATATCACAGTGGGTGTTCACCCTGTGATATTATTCATAATATCCTAGAGAGATATTATTCCTAGTATTACAGCATGTGTACACCATGGGTGAACACCCTGTGATGTTATTCATAATATCCTAGGGGGATATTACCCTTAATATCACAGTGGGTGTACACCATGTGTTTCTATTTTGTGATGCTATTCATATGTTAGAAAGTTATTAGTCCTAGTGCCACAGTGGGAGTATACCATGTGTGTACCCTCTGTGATGTTATTTGTAATATCCTAGGGAGATAGTTCTCATAACATCACCATGGGTGTACATCATGTATGTACACCCTGTGCTGTTATTGGTTATGTCCTGGGTAGATATTACTCCTAATATCACCATGGGTGCACACCATGGGTGTACATTCTGTGATGTTATTCGTAATATCCTAGGGAAATATCACTCCTTATGTCATAGTGGGTGTACAGCCTGTGATATTATTGGTAATGTCCTTGGGATGTATTTCTCTTGTTATCGCAGTGGGTGTACACCCTGTAATAGTATTTGTAATATCCTAGGGAGATATTACTGTATACCCTGTGATATTGTTTGTGACATTTTAGGTAGCTGTTTCTCCTAAAGTCAGAGTGGGTGTACACCCTGTAATATTCTTCCTAATATCACAGTGGGTGTACACCATGTGTGGTATTTTTTCTAATATCCAGTGGGGGAGAGGATGATATTGCTTCCAATATCACAGAAGGTGTACACCCCCCTGTGATATGGTTCCTAATATCCAGGGAAGGACAGGATGACATTATTCCCAATATCACTGGGGGGTGTACCACCCCCCGCCGGGATGTTGTTCTTAATATCCGGGGGTGGAGAGAATGATATTACTCCCAATATCACAGGAAGTGTACACAACCTCTGTTTGATATTGTTGGTAATATTCCGGGGGGCAGAGGATGATATTACCTCCAATATCGCAGGGTGTGTAAACACCCTCTGTGATATTGTTCCTAATGGCCTGTGAAAGAGAAAATATTACTCCCATTATCGCACGGGTGTTCACCCCTGATGACATTGTTTTCTAATATCCAGGGAAGGAGAGTATGATATTATTCCCAATATCACAGGGGGTGTACACCTTTTTGTGACATTGAGTCTAATATCCAGGGAAACAGAGGATGATATTACTCCCAATGTCGCAGAGGGTAGACACCCCCCTGGGATATTGTTCCTAATATCCCAATGGAGAGAGGATGATATTACTCCCAATATCAAAGGAAATGTACACCACCCCTGCGATATTGTTCCTAATATCCAGAGAAGAAAAGAATGATATTACTCCCAACAGCGTAGGAAATGTATACCCGTGCTGTGATATTTTTCCCAATATCTGGGGTGGGGGGGAAGAGGATCATATTACTTCCAATATCGCAGGGTGTGTACACCCCCTCTGTGATCTTGTTGCTAACATCCAGGTTTAGGGAGGACGACATTACTCCCAATATCGCAGGGGGAGTACACCCCCCGTGACCTAGTTAGTAATTTCCTGGGTGGAGAGGATGATATTACTCCCAATATCGCAGGGGGTGTACACAGCCCTGTGATATTGCTCCTAATATCCAGAGCCAAAGAGGATGATATGACTCTTAGTATCGCAGAGGGTGTACACCCCTCCTGTAATATTGTTCTTAATACCCTGGGAGGGAGAGGATAAGATTACATTGAATATCGCAGGGAATGTACACCCTCCCCCTCTGAGACCCTTCCTAATATCCAGGGGAAGAGAGGATAATTTTGCTCCCAATAGCCCAGAGGCAGTACACCTCCCCTGTGATATTGTTCCTAATATCCAACGGGGGAGAGGATGATACTTCTCCCAATATCGCAGGGGTGTTCACATCCCCAGTTACATTTTTCCTAATATCTAGGGGAGAGACAATTATATGACAGCAAATGTCTCAGGGTCTGTACATCCCTTCCTGATATTGTTCCTCATATCCAGGGGGGAAGAGGATGATGTCAAATATCAAAGGGGGTGTACACCCCCCACCACGATATTGTTCTTAATATTCATGAGGGGAACGATGATGTTACTCTGAATGTCGCAGGGGTTTTTCACACCCCCTGTGATATTGTTGCTGATATCCACAGTGGGAGAAAATAATATTACTTCCAATATTGCAGGTGGTGTATACCCCACCTGAAATATTGCACTGAAAATCCAAAGAGGGAGAGGATGGTATTAATACCAATATCGAAGTGTGTGTACACGCCCCTTGTGATATGGTTTTCAATATCCAGGGGGCGGGAGGATGATATTAGTCCCAACATCACAGAGAGTGTACACTACCCCTGTGATATTGTCCCTAACTTCCAGAGGGGAGAGGATGATATCACTCCCAATATCTCAGAAGTGGTACATCCCCCGTGATATTGTTCGTCATATCCACAGAGGCACAGGATGACATTACATTGAATTTCGCGACAGGCGTACACGCACACTGTGATATTGTTCCTAATATCCAAGAAGGGAGAGGATGATATTACTCCCAATAAAGCAGTGGGTATACATTACCCCTGTGTTATTGTCTCTAATATCTGGGGACGGGGGGCGGGGGAGAGGATAACATTCCCTCAAATTTGGCAGGTGGTTTGACGCCCCTTGTGGAATTGTTTTTAATATCCAGCGGGGAAGACAGTAATACCATTTTGGATAGTCCGATTTATCCGCCCCACCTTTCCGGAACTCTGAGACCAGGAGGCGGCATGCGGTTTCCATGTGATCCCCGATACCTTTGCCATCTTCTGTACTGTCAGCCACAAACGCAGGCCCGTTATCTGAGCTGATCCGTAAGGGCAGTCCCAATCTAGGAATCAGATCTCGAAGAAGCAGACGGGTTACTTCAGGAGCTTTCTCAGTTCGTGTTGGATAAGCCTCCACCCACCCAGAGTAGGTACGCCCAAGAACTAGTAAATACTTGTTACCTCCACACTTTGGCATCTCTGTGAAGTCTACCTGGAGATCTTCAAAGGGGGCTGCTCCATAAGCTTGTATGCCGGGCGGAACGGCTGGCACTTGCCTCGCATTACGCTGTCGGCAGATAACACACCGCTGCGTCACCGTTTTGGCAAGTGCTGACAAATGCGAGACGTAGAAATACCGGCCTAACAACTTTTCCAGTTGACTCCTGACCTACATGGCATTCGAAACATGAGTATACAGAAGTCTTTGGTAATTCAGGATCACTGATGAGTAAAACAAGATAGGAGTTGAAGCTTATCTTTGTTTAAAAAATCCTTTGGTCTTGGGATAACAAGATAATGTAAATATGGCTTAAAGGAGAATCATTTCAAAAACAAAGCAAAACAAGGAAATGAAAAATAAAATTTATGGCCTGGCACAGCGGCTCACGCCTGTAGTCCCAGCACTTTGGGAGGCCAAGGCGGGCAGATCACGAGGTTAGGAGATCGAGACCAGCCTGACCAACATGGTGAAACCCCGTCTCTACTAAAAATACAAAAATTAGCCAGGTGTGGTGGCAAGGGCCTATAATCCCAGCTACTTGGGAGCCTGAGGCAGGAGAATTGCTTGAACCCGGGAGGCAGAGGTTGCAGTGAGCTGGGATCGCCCCACTGCACACTCCAGCCTGGGCAGCGGAGTGAGACTCCGCCTGAAAAAAAAAAAAAAAAAAACAAGTAATTATCCGGGCCTGGTGGCGGGTGCCTGTAACCCCATCTACTCGGGAGGCTGAGCCAGGAGAATGGCTTGAACCTGGGAGGCAGAGGTTGCAGTGAGATGAGATTGTGCCACTGCACTGCAGCCTGGGTGACAGAGCCAGACTCCGTCTCAGAAAAGAAAAAGAAAAAGAAAATTTTAAAAATCCTTAAGCGTGACAAGCTTCAAAAACAAAAAAAGAGTCGAAAATTTAAAAAAGGAATCTTTGTATAAATAGAAAAAATGATTTTCGGAGGACTTCAAAAACTTTTTTTCTAAATCTTATATTGCTTTTAGAATTATCTTTCCTCATTGAAAAACTTTTTTTTTTTTTTTTTTTTTAATATGTAACTAGTGAAACTGTCCCCCAGGGTTAACAAGAATTCATACCTGGTTCTGGACAGAAATACAGTTCTAACTGTGAAAGGAAAGTCAGTCGCAGGACCCCACGCTGCCTCAGGCAAACCTGCCTCAAACTTTATTCCTAAGCAAGATTGCTACGAAGATAACAGGAAGCTACCTACCTTCCTCACCATTTCCCCCACAAGGAAATTCCTTGAGGGCCTCAAGATCTTTACCTTAAAACAGTTCTTTTGAATTTCACCTGGCAAGGTAAATTGGTAGCTCATCTTCACAGGTGTGGGACAAAGGACAGAATTCAGTCAGCCCTCTGCTGAGCTGCGACAAACGTATATCTGATTGCTTCCTCTGCCCTATTGTTTATTTATTTATTTATTACTTTTGGCTTATTTCTCCAAGACAAATGCCCTATTGTTTATGCAAAAATGTAGATTCACTGAGCCAGACTAAGGCGTAAGTGACTATTCCTCTACCCGCCTCTCACATGTAAATTGTGTATTCAGTGAAAGGCTGTTCAAGGACTCAAAAGAATGCAACCTTTTGACCAGGCACAGTGTCTCCTGTCTGCAATCCCAGCAATTTGGGAAGCCCAGGTGGGTGGCTCCCTTCAGGCCAGAAATTCAAGACCAGCCTGGCCAACATGAGGAAACCCTGTCTCTACTAAAAATACAAAATTAGCCGGGTGTGGTGGCGCATGCCTGTAATCCCAGCTACTGGGGAGGCTGAGGCAGGAGAATCCCTTGGACCCGGGAGGCCGAGGTTGCAGTGAGCAAAGATGGCGCCATTGCACTCCAGCCCGGGCAACAGAGAGAGACTCCATCTTAAAAAAAAAAAATACAATGTTGTGTCTCGTTTCCTATGACCTGGAAGCCCCCACTTTGAGTTGTCCTGCCTTTCTAGACTGAACCAATGTACACCTTACACATATTGATTGACGTTTCACGTCTTTTTCTTTTTTGTTTCTTTTCTATTGTTTCTAACCCTCAGTATTCATATCATGTCTCTCTAAAACGTAAACACCAAGCTATGCCCTGATCACGTGGGGCACATATCCTCAGGACCTCGTGAGGCTGTGTCTCAGGCACGTCCTTAAATCTTGGCAAAATATCCAGCCTGGACAACATGGTGAAACCTCGTCTCTACTAAAAATACAAAAATTAGCCGGGCGTGGTGGTGCACGCCTGTAATCCTACCTACTCAGGAGGCTGAGGCAGGAGAATCGCTTGAGCTTGGGAGAAGGAGGTTGCAGTGAGCTGAGAGGGCACCACTGCACTCCAGCCGGGGCGAGAGAGAGAGAGACTCTGTCTTAAAAAAAAAAAAAAAAGGAAACCTTGGCAAAATAAATTTTCTAAATTAATTGAGACCTGCCTCAGATACTTTTGGGTTCTTGTAACTAAGCATTCATCAGGCTGCACTTTAGCCCACTTTCTTGTAACTGAAAGTCCCCTAGCCATAGATACTGACAATTTGCACCCCTATTGTTCCCACAGATAGGATCTCTGACGTTAGAATCATAAGGCTTTCGTTTAAGAATTGCTTAAGATGTAGGCCGGGTGTGGTGGCTCATGCCTGTACTCCCAGCACTTTGGGAGAATGAGGTGGGTGGGTCACTTGAGGTCAGGAGTTTGAGACCAGCCTGGCCAATATGGTGAAACCCCGTCTCTACTGAAAATACAAAATTAGCTGGGTGTGGTGGCACGTGCGTGTAATCCTAGCTACTCAGGAGGCTGAGGCAGGAGAATCGATTGAACCTGGGAGGCGGAGGTTGTGGTGAGCCAAGATTGCACCATTGCACTCCAGCCTGGGCAACAAGAGCAAAACTCTGTCTCAAAAAAAAAGGGGGGGGTGGGGGGCTGGGCGCGGTGGCTCACGCCTGTAATCCCAGCACTTTGGGAGGCCAAGGTGGGCGGGTCACGAGCTCAGGAGATCGAGACCATCCTGGCTAACACGGTGAAACCCCGTCTCTACTAAAATACAAAAAGCCAGGCGTGGTGGCGGGCACCTGTAGTCCCAGCTACTCGGGAGGCTGAGGCAGGAGAATGGCATGAACCCAGGAGGCGGAGCTTGCAATGAGCCACTGCACTCCAGCCTGGGGGACAGAGCAAGATTCCGTCTCAAAAAAAAAAAAAAGAATTGCTTAAGATGTTTTCCAGATTCTGAATTCCAGCAGAATGGCTGACACTAGACAGTTTAAAGCCCCTTCGCAGAGTAACCAAGTCAACATGAGAATCCAGGTGTCTGTCTCCAACCTGTGCTTTTCGACCAATCAGTGATGCCCACACCTTGGTCCACTTCAAACCTCTTAAGATCCCCAGCCCCAGACTCCTGAGGGAAGCTGCTTTGAGGTGTCCTCTCCTCTAGGCATTCCGCAGCATTAGGACGACACCTCTCTCTCTCTGCTGGAACCCTCCATCGGTGTTTGGACTTGTGCATCAGGCAACCGACCTGTTAAGGTCACAGCAGCAAAAGCTGAGCTAATGGTGTTATTTCCATCAAGCTGTTAAGCCTGTAAAGATCTTTATCAGGCGAGACTTTGTGGTCCTGTCATACCGAAAGTAGTGCAAGGGTACACCCCTCTGTAGCCGACCAGAATATGCCACTCCAAATGTGCCTCTTGGCATAGAATTATTATTATTATTATTATTATTCTTATTTTTTATGAGATGGAGTCTTGCTCTGTATGCCCAGGCTAGAGTGCAATGGCGTGATCTTGGCTCACCGCAATCTCCGCCTCCTGGGTCCAAGCGATTCTCCTGTCTCAGCCTCCCAAGTAGCTGGGATTACAGGCACGCACCACCACGCCCGGCTATTTTGTATTTTTAGTAGAGACAGGGTCTCTCCATGTTGATCAGGCTGGTCTCGAACTCCTGATCTCAGGTGATCCACCTGCCTCGGCCTCCCAAAGTGCTGGGATTACAGGCGTGAGCCATCACGCCTGGCCCGGCATAGAATTATTTTGAGCTGATTATTTTGACAGCCAGCAGACACAGGAGTCCTGGATACAGTGTATAAATTACCCTTTTGTAAGGGAAATCTACATTTATAAAGGAATCTCCATTGGTCCCGGCATCTTCCTCTTCATATCAGGAGGAGGAGGATTCTAAATCACAAGAGACATCATCCGCATAACAAACCCTGCCCTTGTTGACTCCACTCCTCTCCTGAGGGTCACTTTCCCGTACCCTGCCTCCTCATCTTCTTCTTTTGTTTTAGCAGAAGATGGTATTTAAGCCCAAATTCTTTTTTTTTTTTTTCCTTTTGAGACATTGTCTTGTCTCTGTTACCAGGCTGGAGTGCAGTGGTGTGATCTTGGCTCATCACAACCACCACCTCCCAGGTTCAAGCAATTCTCCCGCCTCAGCCTCTCGAGAAGCTGGGATTACAGGCATGTGCCACCACGCCTGGTTAATTTTTGTATTTTTAGTAGAGACGGGGTTTCACCATGTTGGCCAGGCTGGTCTCGAACTCCTGACCTCAGGTGATCCACCCACCTCGGCCTCCTGAAGTACTGGGATTATAGGCATGAGCCACCACGACCAGCCTCAAAATTCTTTTTTTAAGACAGGGTCTCACTTTGTCGCCCAGGTTGGAGTGCAGTGACGCGAACACAGCTCACTGCGGCCTCCCAGGCTCAAGCAATCCTCCTACCTCAGCCTCCCTAGTAGCTCAGACTACAGGTGTGCACCACCACGCCCCACTAACTTTCTTTTTGTATGTTTTATAGAGATGGAGTTTTGCCATGTTGCCCAGGCTGGTCTGGAACTCCTCAGCTCAAGCGATCCACTTGCCTCAGCCTCCCAAAATATAACCACCCAACGAGTTCACCTTGCCTGCTGTCTAGACAGCTGATTTATCAACACAGGGGAACTGAAATAGAGAAAGAGCAATTTACCAGGGCCAGCTATGTGGGAGACCAGAGTTTTATTATTACTCGGATTACTCAAAATTACCCAAGAATTTCGGGATCAGAGGTGTTTTTTGTTTGTTTGTTTGTTTGTTTGGGACAGAGTTTCACTCTGTCACCCAGGCTGGAGTGCAATGGTTCGATCTCGGCAACCTCTGCCTCCTGGGTTCAAGCAATTCTCCCGCCTCAGCCTCCTAAGTAGCTGGGATACAGGCACACCATCACCATGCCTGGCTAATTTTTGTATTTTTGTAGAGACGGGGTTTCGCCATGTTGGCCAGGCTGGTCTTGAGTTCCTGACTTCAGGTGATCCACCCACCTCGGCCTCCCAAAGTGCTGGGATTACAGGCATGAGCCACTGCGCCTGGCCTTTTTTTTTTTTTTTTGAGATGGAGTGTTGCTCTGTCCCCCAGGCTGTAGTGCAATGGCGTGATCTCGGCTCACTGCAACCTCCACCTCCCAGCTTCAAGTGATCCTCCTGCCTCAGCCTCCCGAGTAGTTGGGATTACAGGCACCAACCACCATGCCCAGCTAATTTTTTTATTTTAGTAGAGACGAGGTTTCGCCATATTGGGCAGGCTGATAATTTTTGTATTTTTAGTTGAGACGGGGTTTCACCATGTTGGCCAGGCTAGTCTTGAACTCCTGACCTCAAGTGATCTACATGCCTCAGCCTCCCAAAGTGTTGGGATTACAGGCATGAGCCACCGTGCCCGACTGGGGATCAGAGTTTTTGTTTTGTTTTTTCTTTTTTTGAGATGGAGTCTTGCTTTGTCACCCAGGCTGGAGTGCAGTGGCATGATCTTGGCTCACTGCAAACTCCGCCTCCTGGGTTCACACCATTCTCCTGCCTCAGCCTCCAAAGTGGCTGGGACTACAGACGCCCACCACTATGCCCGGCTCATTTTTTGTATTTTTAGTAGAGACGGGGTTTCACCGTGTTAGCCAGAACGGTCTCCATCTCCTGACCTCGTGATCTGCCCGCCTCGGCCTCCCAAAGTGCTGGGATTACAGGCGTGAGCCACTGTGCCTGGCCCAGAGTTTTTAAGGATAATTTGGTGGGTAGGGAGCCGTTGGGTCAGGAGTGCTGATTTGTCAGGTCGGAGATGAAATTACAGGAAGTTGAGGCTGTCCTCTTGGGCTGACTTGGTTCCTGGGAGGGGGTCAGAAGACCCCATGAGCCAGTTTATCGGTAGGAGTGGTGTCAGCTGATCCATCGAGTGCAGGGTCTGCAAAATATCTCAAGCGCTGATCTGAGGTTTGACAGTAGTGATGTGATCCCTAGGAGCAATTTTGCAGCCTCCAGCTGCAAGACTCCTAAACAATAATTTCTAATTTTGTGGCTAATTTGTTAGTCCTGCAAAGGCAATCTAGTCCCCAGGTAGGAAGGGGATGTGTTTAGGGAAAGGGCTCTATCGTCTTTGTTTCAAAGCTAAACCATAAACTAAGTTCCTCCCAGAGTTAGTTCGGCCTCCACCCAGGAACAAACAAGGACAGCTTGGAGGTTAGAAGCAAGATGGACTTAGTTAGGCCAGATGTCTTTCACTGTAATGATTGCCTCACTTATAATTTTTGCAAAGGTGGTTTCAAAAGGGCTGGGATAGAAGCCCAAATTCTATGTCACCTCTTTAAATTTACTCATCCCTGAGTTTCTCCATTATCCCTGAGAGATACATGCTAATAAACATCCATCTTTCCCCTGTTAATTTGTCTTTTGTAGCAGGGTCCCCAGTGAGAACCTGGAAGGGTAGAATAAAATGAGCAATTTTCCTTCCCCTACACAGTTAAAAGAGAAGAGCTCTGGCGGGATGAAGACCTGGGCCTGGAGCCTGTCTTGAACACGCCCAGTGGTTTTCTCCCATGTAAAAGGAGCTGGAGAGATTTCTCCCATCTCTAGAATTCCATGAATGCATTCTGTTCCTTAATCTTTCCACTGATCCTGACTGATAATTGCACATACACAAAAGTGCACTTACTTGTAGATGCTAGGATATGTGGAGGTAGGGACAGTATTCCTAGTATATGTAAGAAGGGTATATGTATCCAGTATCCTAGTATATGTATCCAGTCACACATGCAGGAAGCAAGAGAGGCAGCTGACACGGCCACCAAGGGAGGCACCCTGTCCAGACCAAGCCCACAAGCTTCTCTTTCTTTTTTCTTTTCTTTTCTTTTCTCCCTTCCCTTCCCTTCCCCTCCCCTCCCCTCCCCTCCCCTCCCCTCCCCTCCCCTCCCCTCCCCTCCCCTCCCCTCCCCTCCCCTCCCTTCCCTTCCCTTCCCTTCTCTTCGACGGAATCTTGCTCTGTCGCCCAGGCTGGAGTGCAGTGGTGTGATCTTGGCTCACTGCAAAATCCGCCTCCCAGTTTCAAGCAATTCTCTGCCTCAGCCTCCAGAGTAGCTGGTGCCCATCGCCATGCCCAGCTAATTTTTGTGTAAAAATTGGCCCCGCAAGCTTCTTTCTATCCTCAATGAAAATACGTTGTGGCCGGGCGTGGTGGCTCACGCCTGTAATCCCAGCACTTTGGGAGGCCACAGTGGGTGGATCACCTGAGGTCAGGAGTTCAAGACCATCCTGGCCAACATGGTGAAACCCCATCTCTACTAAAAATACAAAAATTAGCTGGCTGTGATGGTGCATGCCTGTAATCCTAGCTCTTCAGGATGCTAAGGCAGGAGAATAGCTGGAACCTGGGAGATGGAGGTTGCAGTGAGCAGAGATCAGGACATTGCACTCCACCCTGGGTGACAAGATCAAAACTCCATCTTAAAAAAAAAAAAAAGAAAGACAGAAAAGAAAATATGTAGTAGAAACAGCAACTGTGTTGGCTGGACACAGTGGCACATACCTGTAATCCGAGCACTCTGGGAGGCTGAGGCAGGCAGATTGCCTGAGCTCAGGAGTTGGAGACCAGCCTGGGCAACATGGCAAAACCCATCTCTTTTAAAAATAGAAAGGAAAGGGCCAGGCGTGGTGGATCACTCGTGTAGTCCCAGCACTTTGGTAGGCCAAGGCTGGTGGATCACCTGAGGTCAGGAGTTTGAGACCAGCCTAAGCAACATGGTGAAACCCTATCTCTACTAAAAATACCAAAATTATCTGGGTGTGGTGGCATGTGCCTGTAATCCCAGCTACTTAGGAGGCTGAGACAGGAGAATCGCTTGAACCTGGGAGGCGGAGGTTGCAGTGAGCTGAGATCATGCCCCTGCACTCCAACCTGGGTGACAGAGGGAGACTCCGTCTCAAAAAAAAAAAAAAAAAAAAAAAAGAAAAGAAAGAAAGAAAAAAAAAAGGAACAGTAACTGTGTTCTCAAATATCTCACGAGATGGTAAACGTTCATTTCAGCACAATTAGGAAAACAGCCAAGAATGAGGGGCAAGAAGAGAAAGGCGTTTTTTCAGCTTGATGCTCCTTTTCGTGCTAACTGTGCACTGCCTGGGCACAGAAGGCAGCGTGCCAGCTCGCCTCCCTTGCCTCTGGGCATTCCTCTGTAGCCTGGAGAGGGGCCCACCATCCCTCCCGTCCCTCCCTCTTCTCTCCCCTACCCCACTCCTCATCCAAGCTGAGAGGGGGCACATTCCCTCCAGTGAGGGTCCAGGCCCGGGGGGCCTGTGCAGGCAGGAAAGCAACCTGTCCACATAGCACTGCTGTGGGCAGGTAGGAAGCAGGACTGCGGGGACTAGGAGGCCCCTTCTCTGTGCCTGATTTTAGCTGCACAGTCCCGCCAGGAAGGGCCAATGGTGAGCGGTCACTGGGACCATGGGCCTTCCAGGATTGTCCTACTGCGGCCTTGGTGTCCACAGTGGGAAAGCAGGCAACGGTGCCATGTGTGGGTAAATGTCACTAAAGCATATGCCATTGTGAGGGTCCAGAGACAGGAATGCATCCTGCATTAGTCAGGGTTCTCCAGAGAAACAGAACCGATAGGATGGAGATAGATGTACATAGACGGATAGTGAGAGAGGGAGAGATTTATTTTAAGAATCGAGACTGGCAAGTCTGAAATTTGCAGGGCAGTCTGGAAATTCTAGCAAGAGATGCTGCTGGCGGTGCGGCGTGAGTCCCAATTCAAAGGCAGTGTGGAGGCAGAATTCCTTCCTTCTTAGGGAACCTCAGTCTTTTCTCTGAAGGCCTTAAATGGATGCATGAGGCCCACGCACATTATGGAGGGTAACGTGCTTCACTGAAATCTACTTAGGAAAATGTTAATCCCATCTAAAAACATCTTCACAGACACATCCAGGGTGCTCTGTGACCACTGAGCCAGGCACCATAGCCTAGCCACATTGACACATAAAATTAACCAGCCCAGGTCCCAAAGCTCAGGAAGTATCATCTTGTCCCAGGGCAGGTAACCCCATATCCAGTGCCACCCGTACACCCCACCGTATTGGAGTTCCTGCTCATCGAGCTTCCTCACCTGTCTGAGCACACCTGGCTCAGGTGCAGCCGTTGTCCATCAGGGACCCGGAGCCTTCTCTTGCTGTCTCCATCCAGGCTCCCCAAGGCTTTGGTCTCTTCCATTGCTGACTTGCCCTGTTGAGCTGGGGCTCATCATATTTCTCTATTGTTGCTGTAGTTTTTGTGTGTGGAATTTTTTTATTTTTGTAGAGACGGGTCTTACTATGTTGTCCAGGCTGGTCCCAAACTCCTGGCCTCAAGCAGTCCTCCTGCCTTGGCCTCCCGAAGTGCTAGGACTACAAGTGTGAGCCATGGAGCCCAACCAGTTAATCATGTTTCAACTGTTCATTGACCTCATTGAGAAATTACATATTTGGGCTGGGCGCAGTGGCTCATGCCTGTAATCCCTACATTTTGGGAGGCCAAGGTAGGAGGATCCCCTGAACCCAGGAGTTCAAGACCAACCTGGGCAACATGATGAAATCGTGTCTCTACAAAAAAATACAAAAATTAGCTGGGCATGGTGGCACACATCTGCAGTCCCAGCTACTCTTGAGGCTAAGGTGGGAGGGTCACCTGAATGCAGGGAGGATGAGGCTGCAGTGAGCAGAGATCCTGCCACTGCACTGCAGTCTGGGCAACAAAGTGAGACCCTGTCTCAAAAAAGAAAAAAAAATCTAATTTCAATTAAAATAAAATTAAAAAGAAGGCCAGTTTCGATGGCTCATGCCTGTAATCCCAGCAGTTTGGGAAGCTGAGGCAGGTGGATTATTTGAGGTCAGGAGTTCAAGACCAGCCTGGTCAACATGGTGAAACCCCATCTCTACAAAAAATGCAAAAATTAGCCCATTGGTAGTGGCATATGCCTGTAATCCCAGGTACTCGGGAGGCTGAGGCAGGAGAATCATTTGAGCTTGGGAGGCAGAGGTTGCAGTGAGCTGAGATCATGCCACTGCACTCCATTCTGGGTGACAGAGTGAGACCCTGTTTCAAAAAAAAAAAGAAAATTATAGCTTTGAAGAATTGGCTTTTCTTCCCCCCGAGACGGAGTCTTGCTTTGTCGCCCAGGCTGGAGTGCAGTGGCGCGATCTCGGCTCACTGCAAGCTCTGCCTCCCAGGTTCACGCCATTCTCCTGTCTCAGCCTCCCGAGTAGCTGGGACTACAGGCGCCCGCCACCACGCCCAGCTAATTTTTTCTCTTTTTTTTGTATTTTTAGTAGAGACGGGGTTTCACCGTGTTAGCCAGGATGGTTTCGATCTCCTGACCTTGTGATCTGCCTGTCTCGGCCTCCCAAAGTGCTGGGATTACAGGTGTGAGCCACTGCGCCCCGCTGGGCTTTTTTTTTTTTTTTGAGACAGGGTCTCAGCTTTTTAGTCTGTCACCTAACCAGGAGTGCAATGGTGTGATCTGCGCTCACTACAACCTGTGCCCCCCGGGGCTCAAGCAATCCTCCCATCTCAGCCTCCCAAGTAGCTGGGACCACAGGTATGCACCACCACACCCAGCTATTTTTTAAATTTTGTTTTGTTTTGTTTTGTTTTGAGATAGAGTGTCTCTCTGTCACCCAGGCTGGAGTGCAATGGTGAGATCTCGGCTCACTGCAACCTCCGCCTCCCAGGTTCAAGTAATTTTCCTGCCTTGGCCTCCCCAGTAGCTGGGAATGCAGGCACGTGCTACCATACCTGGCTAATTTTTTTTTTTTTTTTTTGAGATGGAGTCTTGCTTTGTTGTCCAGGCTGGAGTGCAATGGCATGATCTCAGCTCACTGCAACCTCCACCTCCCAGGTTCAAGTGATTCTCCTGCCTCAGCCTCCCGAGTAGCTGGGACTACAGGTGTGTGCCAACACGTCTGGCTAATTTTTTTGTTTTTGTTTTTCTTGAGACAGAGTCTCACTCTGTTGTCCAGGCTAGAGTGCAGTGGCGTGATCTCGGCTTACTGCAACCTCCGTCTCCCGGGTTCAAATGATTCTCCTGCCTCAGCCTCCTGAGCAGCTGGGATTACAGGCATGTGCCACCACGCCCAGCTAATTTTTGTATTTTTACAAACATGGGGTTTCACTCCTGACCTCATGATCTGTCTGCCTCAGCCTCCCAAAGTGTTGGAATTACAGGCATGAGCCACCGCACCCGGCCAATTTTTGTATTTTTAGTAGAGATGGGGTTTCACCATGTTGGCCAGGCTGGTCTTGAACTTCTGACCTCAGGTGATCCACCCACCTCAGCCTCCCAAAGTGCTGGGATTACAGGAGTGAGCCACTGTGCCCAGCCCTAGAATTGGCTTTTATCAGTTAATAAACTTGAGTGATTTGGAGACTAATTAGAGTGCACACTAATACAATATTTGAATAGTTCCAGCTGGGCGCAGTGGCTTATGCCTATAATCCCAGCACTTTGGGAGGCCGAGGTGGGTGGATCACCTGAGGTCAGGAGTTCGAGACCAGCCTGACCAACGTGGAGAAATCCCATCTCAACTAAAAATACAAAATTACCCGAGTGTGGTGGCACATGCTTGTATTCCCAGCTACTCGGGAGGCTGAGGCAGGAGAATCGCTTGAACCCAGGAAGCGGAGGTTGTGGTGAGCTAAGATCGCGCCATTGCACTCCAGCCTGGACAGCAAGAGGGAAACTCTGTTTCAAAAAAGAAAAAAATATTGAACAGTTCCTGGCATGAGATGTATGAGACATTGGAGCAGTGTGTGAGAATGAACTCTATGCAAAATCAAAAGCAGATGAGGGCCAGGCGTGGTGGCTCAGGCCTGTAATCCCCGCACTTTGGGAGGCCGAGGCGAGTGGATCACCTGAGGTCAGTCAGGAGTTCAAGACCAGCCTGGCTAACATGGCAAAACCCTGTCTCTACTAAAAATGCAAAAATTAGCTAGGCGTGGTGGTGGGCACCTGTAATCCCAGCTACTCAGGAGGCTGAGTCAGGAGAATTGCTTGAACCCAGGAAGCGGAGGCTACAGCGAGCCGAAATCAGCGCCCTAGTTTTCAGTGGCTTCTCGTTCATTTTTCTCAGTGAAGCCTCTCAGATCCTAATCATCCTTTAAGAACAACTCAAGTTCCTCCAGTGTCATTTTCAAATACTCCCCCATGTACCGTAGCTCTGGTGTGTGCTGTGCCCCATCTGGGTTACTGCTACCTTTATTCCCTGTGCCTCACAAGTGAGTGCTGGGATTACAGGCGTGTGCCACCACGCCCGGCTAATTTTTTGTATTTTTAGTAGAGACGGAGTTTCACCATCTTGGCCAGGCTGGTCTTGAACTCCTGACCTCATGATCCACCCTCCTCGGCCTCCCAAAGTGCTGGGATTACAGGCGTGAGCCATCGTGCCCGGCCTACTGCAACCTGTTTTATTAGCAAGGTCTTTATGACTTGTATTGTATCTTGTCCTGACCTCTTATACCATCCTGTGACTTTGAATGCCTTAACTGTCTGGGAATGCAGCCCAGTAGGTTTCAGCCTCATTTCACCCAGCTCCTATTCAAGATGGAGTTGGTCTTCTTCATACGCCTCACGTATTTCTCCTTTTTTTTTTTTTTTTTTTTTTTTTGCGACAGGGTCTTACTCTGTTGCCCAGGCTTCAGTGCAGTGGCATGCTCTCAAGCCTTCCAAGTAGCTGGGACTACTGGTGTGCACCATGACACCTGCTAGTTACAAATTTTTTTTTGCGGCTGGGTGCAGTGGCTCACGCCTGTAATCCCAGCACTTTGGGAGGCCGAGATGGGCGGATCACGAGGTCAGGAGATCGAGACCATCCTGGCTAACACGGTGAAACCCCGTCTCTACTAAACAAAATACAAAAAACTAGCCGGGCGCGGTGGCGGGCGCCTGTAGTCCCAGCTACTCGGGAGGCTGAGGCAGGAGAATGGTGTGAACCCAGGATGCGGAGCTTGCAGTGAGCCGAGATGGCGCCACTGCACTCCAGCCTGGGCGACAGAGCAAGACTCGGTCACAAAAAAAAAAATTTTTTTCTTCTTTTGTAGAGACCAGGATGGGTGTGTGCAGGGGGCAGTGGGGGGGTCTCACCATATTGCCCACACTAGTCTCAAACTCCTGGCCTCACGCCTCCTGAAGTGCTGGGATTGCAGGAATGAGCCACTGCACCCAGTCTAGTCATGTCTTTCTTTTTCTTTTTTTGAGACAGAGTCTCGCTCTATACCCCAGGCTGGAGTGCAGTGGCATGATCTCGGCTGACTGCAATCTCTGTCTCCTGGATTCAAGCAATTCTCATGCCTCTGTGATACCCTACCTTGTTTTAACCTGAGTGACCCTCTCCTAGGAGAGAGAGAGCCAGACAGACTCCATTTTAGTTTCTTCATTGGCAGCCCCCTTTCACCTCCCTCCCTTAAGGCGTAGCTAGTGTAAACTGACTCTAAGCACGTCCAGGAATGCACCTACTGATAAGATAGTGAGGCAAGCCGCACTAGCAGCTCCTGGGGATGAGCACGGTGGATGGCACCCAAAACCCCTGCATTTATCTCTTTGTGATAGTTTAAGCCCCTGCACCTGGAACTGTTTATTTTTTTAACTGCATTTGTAACCAATTAATTTTTTAATTTTTTGCCAGTTCTGCTTCTGTAAAAATTGTTTCAGCTAAAATCCCCCTCCCCTATTTAGACCATGGTATAAAAACAAAACTAGCCCCTTCCTCGGGGCCGAGAGAATTTTGAGCGTTAGCTGCCTCTTGGTTGCCGGCTAATAAAGGACTCTTTAATTTGTCTCAAAGTGTGGCGTTTCTCTATAACTCGCTTGGTCACAACACCTCAGCCTCCCAAGTAGCTGGGATTACAGGCGCCTGCCACCACACCCAGCTAATTTTTGTATTTTTTTTTTTTTTTTTTGAGACAGAGTTTTGCTCTTGTTGCCCAGAATAGAACGCAGTGGCGCAATCTCGGCTCACTGCAACCTCCACCTTCTGATTTCAAGTGACTCTCCTGCCTCAGCCTCCCAAGTAGCTGGGATTACAGGCGCCTGCCACCATGCCCATCTAATTTTTTTGTATTTTTAGTAGAGAAGGGGTTTCACCATGTTGGTCAGGCTGGTCTCAAACTGCTAACCTCGTGATTCACCCGCTTCGGCCTTCCAAAGTGCTGGGATTACAGGCGTGAGCCACTGATCCTGGCAATTTTTGTATTTTTAGTAGAATCGGGGTTTCACCATGTTGCCCAGGCCAAGAGTTTGAGACCAGCCTGGTCAGCAAGGTGAAATCCCGCCTCTACTAAAAATACAAAAATTAGCTGGGCATGGTGGCGGGCACCTGTAATCTGAGCTACTTGGGAGGCTGAGGTAGAAGAATTGCTTGAACCCAGCAGGCAGAGGCTGCAGTGAGCCAAGATCATGCTAGTGCACTTCAGCCTGGGTGATATAGCAAGACTCCATCTCAAAAAAAAAAAAATTAACAAATATTATAGAAAACATGTTGTAAAGAAAATAGAATGGCTGCTTATTTGAATTAAAATGTACCTGTTTTTTTTTCTTTCTTTTTTTTTTTGAGACGGAGTCTTGCTCTTTCGCCCAGGCTGGAGTGCAGTGGCGCGATCTCTGCTCACTGCAAGCTCTGCCTCCTGGGTTCACGCCATTCTCCTGCCTCAGCCTCCCGAGTAGCTGGGACTACAGGCGTCTGCCACCACGCCCGGCTAATTTTTTGTATTTTTAGTAGAGAGGGGGTTTCACCCTGTTAGCCAGGATGGTCTCGATCTCCTGACCTCGTGATCCGCCCACCTCGGCCTCCCAAAGTGCTGGGATTACAGGCGTGAGCCACTGAGCCCGGTCTGTTTTTTTTTCTTTAGAAACCACTTCGGTGCTCAACACCGGGAAGAGGGCCCCCATGGCCACACAGGTGTGGTTGGAGGCAAAGGTGGATTCACAGGGAAGCAAATGAGTCTTCACCCCCTCTAAAGCCCCATACCTACCTCACTTTGAATTATTTTCCTAAAGACTCCTCACAGTATGCAAGTTTCAGGGCCCAGCAAACTTTGCCCATCCCTGGAGGAGGAGACTACTGATAGTGCATCTGTCAGGGGCATTTGAACCAAAGCGACTCCATCTTGAATAGCGACTGGGTAAAATAAGACTGAGACCTATTGGGCTGCGTTTCCAGGAGGTTAAGGCATTCTTAGTCACAGGGAGAGATAGGAGGACACAAGACACAGGTCACAAAGACCTTGCTGATAAAACAGGTAAAGAAGCCGGCCAAATCCCACCAAAACCAAGATGAGGATGAAAGTGACTGCTGGTCGTCCTCACTGCTCATTATATGCTAATTATAATACATTAGCATGCTAAAAGACACTCCCACCACTGTCAGGACAGTTTACAAATGCCATGGCAATGGCAGGAGGTTACCCTATATGGCCTAAAAAGGGGAGGAACCCTCAGTTCCCACCCCTGTTCAGGAAACCTCATGAATAACCCACCCTGTGTTTAGCATATAATCAAGAGCTAACAATATATGTATAAGCTGCCGGGGGAGGAAGGCAGGGCAGGAAAGAAAAACAAGCAAGCAAACAAACAAAAAGTATAAGCAACTGAGCAGCCACGCCACTGGTGGGCCTATGGAGTAGCTGTTCTTTTATTCCTTTGCTTTCTTAATAAACTTGCTTTCAGTTTATGGACTTGCCCTGAGTTCTTTCTTGCTCAAGATCCAAGAATCCCCTCTTGGGGTCTGGATCAAGACCCCCTTTCTGGCAACACATCCCGGCCTTTCCCCCTTTTCTGAAGACAGACTTCAGAAATGAAGAAAAAGAAGGGTGGCCGCTCATGGTGGGTGAAACGGCAAAGCAGCTGGCAGAGAAGGCACCTAGCTGATGACCCCAGAGTCTTCTGGGCCCAGAGTGGGATGGCAGGGCCTGGGCTTCTGTCTGCCCTGGACTTGCTGCAGCTGCTTCCTGGGCTCTGGGTGACCATGCGCTCAGGTCCTCCTGTGGAACTCCTGCTGTCTCACAGGCCAGATGCAAATAAATGAAAGCTTCAGACCGGGGGCAGGTGTAGGTGTGGCCAGTGAGCCCCGGGCTGCTTCCAGGGGCCTGAACAGCATGTCACAGGGCCCCTGCCCCTGCTGAGAAGGGCCCAGGCTTGGGGTAAGGTTCTGCTGTCACTGCCTTGAAATTCTTCACTGTAATTTCTGAGCCAGGGACTTTGTCTTACTGGAATGGGGTCTCAATCCAGATCCCAAGAGAGGGTTCTTGGAGTTTACACAAGAAAGAATTCAGGGAGAATCCACAGAGTAAAGTGAAAGTGAGTTTGTTAGAGAAGTAAATAAACCAAAGAATGGCTACTCCATAGGCAGAGCAGCCCCAAGGGCTGCTGGTTGGCTATTTTTATGGTCCTTTTTTTTTTCCCTAGAATCCGTTCCTGAATTATATTGGTTATTTCTTGATCACGTGCTAAACAAGGGGTGGATTATTCATGAGTTTTCTGGGAAAGTGGTGGGGAATTCCCAGAACTTAGGCTTCCTCTTCCATTTATTTATTTATTTATTGGAGATGGAGTCTTGCTCGTTGCCCAGGCTGGAGTGCAATGGCGTGATCTCGGCTCACTGCAACCTTTGCTTCCCAGGTTCAAGCGATTCTCCTGCCTCAGCCTCCCAAGTAGCTGGGACTACAGGTGTATGCCACCACGCCTGCTTAATTTTTTGGTATTTTTAGTAGAGATGGGGTTTCACCATATTGGCCATGCTGGTCTCAACTCCTGACCTCAAGTAATCTGCCCGCCTTGGCCTCCCCAAAGTGCTGGGATTACTGGCGTGAGCCACTGCGCCCGACCCCTTTTAGGCAATGTAGGGTATCTTCCAAACGTTGCCATGGCATTTGAAAACTGTCATGGCGCTGGCGAGAGTGTGTTTTACCAAGCTCATATATTATAATTAGTGTATAATCAGCAGTGAGGAAGGCCACAGGTCACTTTCCCCGCCATCTTGGTTTTGGTGGGATTTGGCCGGCTTCTTTACTGCATCCTGTTTTATCAGCAGGATCCTTGTGACCTGTGTCTTGTTCCGACCTCCTATCTCATCCGATTACTAAGAACGCCTTAACTCCTGGGGGGTGCGGCCCAGCAGGTCTCAGCTTCAGTTTACCCAGCCCATGTGGAGTCTCTCTGTTCCAACACCTATTGACACTTGCATCTGGATCTTGCACTAGGCTCTGCAGATTATGCTCAGTCTTGAATACTGAGCTTTTTTTGTCCCCTTGAACTTCCCTCCTTGGGCAAGTATCTCAGGGCCTCCCTCTTGCCCACCCTGCTGCTTCCCATCTTTCTGAAAGAGGCGGCTCTGCAGCTGCACAGCACTTGGCCAAGACCTCCTGGCGGTGTGGAGCTCTGAAGACACAGGAGGGATGTCCTCCGAGCTGTTCATGCCTAGACCTACCCCCAGGCTCCCTCTAGCAATCAGCTCCAGTCCTGGGCCTGTCTGCCTTCCGGGAGGAGTGGGGGCCCACAGAGCTGCCCTTCCCGCGCTGTGTATGGACTCAAGGCACTGATGGCCTTCGGTGGGCCACTGCATAAATGGATGTTTCTGCAGTATTGAAGGCCAGTCAGGCAAACCGTGTGCTTTCCTACGCAGTGGGGAATGTGTCGCCCTTTCCTTACATCTTGGAGACCAAAGCCACCATCTGCACTTGTGGGTACATTGTGGCAGTGGTCGGTTAGGGTGGTCTTTCAAAGCAGTTTGAAATGCAGACACTTGTGGGCGTCCCCTAAGGCAGGTGCCCTTTACCTGGAGGCCGCATTGGTCACCTAGACCCGCAAGGCTCACCTGGGCCGGAAGGTGTGGTCAAGCGAGGCCAAGTAGCCCAGAGGCCACCCCTAAGCACCTGTGGACATCATGAGTCCTTGCTGGGGTCCTCACAGAGGGAAGACAGCCCCCAGGGTAAAGCCTCAGGTGCTAAGCACTCGCGCTGCCGCAGGGGGGGAGGCACGTGAGCATCCACTGTGCCGCCCAGGACGGGCCCACCCGGGCTCCAGAGCCTGGGGAGGAAGGCTGCGAGGCTCCCACGGGCTTACATTCAAACCGGGCACACACAGAACGGAGGCCTTCGGCTACGGGACGCCCGGCGGTGGGGTTACGGATGGTACAGCCCTCCCTCCCCGCCTGCTCGAGGCAAATGGTTTCGCCCGGCTACACACACCTCTCCTGGGCGGCAACCGAGGGCGCGGAGGGGGCAAGACGTGCGCTGAGGCCACGCCCCTACTGCATAGTCATAAGGCGGGAGGCTCTGCCTTCGGGGCGGGGCAGACAGCTCCTCGCGCTCGGGCGCGGCCGGTTGGGGGCACGGCCTAGCTCCGGGTGCGGGCGGGGCTGGAGGCGGGGCCGGCCACCGCCCGGTTCCCGCCCTCGCTCTCCTCCCCCAGCGATCAGGCCCCGCCCCGCGCCCGCCGCCGCGCAGGGAGGGGCGGGGCCCGTCTCCGGCAGGCCCCGCCCCCTCTCTGAATATTGATGCGGCGCGCGTCGGCGTCGCCCTCCTCCCATTGAGCGAGGCTGTGTCGCGTGGCCCAGCGTCGGCGTGACGGTTGGACGCGGGCGCGGCACTGCGGGTCCCGATTGCTGCAGCCGCTTGTCAGTGTGATGAAGATTGGCACCCAGGTAAGCTGTCACTCAACCGCTCCGCCGCCGCCGCCGCCGCTCTCGCCGCCGCCGTCCCTATCAATCACACCGGCCCGCGGCCGCCGCCCGCCGCCGCCGCTGCCGCCCGGGTCTGGAGGGCCGGCGCTGCCCTCGAGGGCCCGCATTTGACCCGCCGCCCGGGGCAGGGGGCGGGGAGGGGGCGCGGGTGGGGGAGGGGAGCGGGCACCCGCGGGGGAGGGGGCGCCTTCAGCCCAACCGGCGCGGGGGCGCGCCCAGTTGGTTTCTTAGTGTGGGTTGAGGGACGCGGAAATTTCTGGAAGGCGCCGCCGCCGCCGCGCTGGGCCTGATCGAAGCGCGCGCTCCTAACCGTCCCTTTCGGAGTGCGGCGCGCGCCCCGGCGCGGGGCGGGGGCGCGCGGAGCCCGGCGCGGGCGGGGCGGCGGGCGTGAGGGTCGGGGGCGCGCGGCGGGGCGGGGCCGGGGCGGGCGGCGCGCGTGGGGCCGGTCGGGTCCGCGGCCTCGCGGAGTCCTCAGGGCCGGCGGGGCTGCTCGGAGGGTGCGGGGCGCGCGGCGGCGCAGGCGGGAAGATGGCGGCCGCGACCCCGGCCCCGGCCTCGGCCGTGGCGAGCGGGTGGGTCGGGGTCCTGGGGGCGGTGGGCGTGATGGGGCTCGTGGCCCTCAGCCGGGCGCCGGCGCGGGAGCAGCCCAGGGCCGCTCGCTGACGGCAGTGTTTGGGGCCGGGTGCTGGGGAAGCGGTTCCGGCGTCCCGGGAATTGGTGGGAAGAGCCGCTTCTGTCACACGGGTCGTGGTAATGGATGACAGGAAGTGCCGGGCAGGGTCTGGGCGCCCTGTGGGTTTGCACCTTCCTTGTGAGGGAAATCGTGTCACTTAACGAAAAATGAAGAAACGCGGAGTCTGCTTTATGTCATCCTCGTGGCTCTCGAAATGCCTTATTTGGACAGTGGCTCTGCGACGGGACCAGTTAGGGCCTCCGTTCCGATGGCGGATTCCTGACGGGAGGCCCGAGGGTCCGGGAATGGCGGCGTCCTGAGGTCGGGCCCAGGGCAGGCCAGGCTGAGCGCCACGGCGGGGCCGCAGCCCTGGGGGGTGTTCCACCTGTGTGTGGGGTTCTCTTCCAACTCTACGAGAGTTTGCTTTTTAAAACAGTAGATGATTTTTCCTTAGGAAGTGGTTCCTCTTCAGGATGAAAGAAACCCCCAGCTTTAGTTAGGTCTACTTTCATGATTTTTCCTGGCATACTGAAAAATAGGCTTTCTCTAAACATAAGGAAGAATCGAGGTGAAATGTGAACCTCTGCCAGTATAGTTATTGGTGATGCTCTTGCATTTAGTCATAATTTGGAAGATGGCAGGCTGACCCCAATGAGCCTTTCATCACTCTGCTTAATTTACTTAGAGTGATTTGTGAATCCTGTCCTTGTACACAGGCGTACCTCAGATAATTCGAGTTCTAATCCAGACCACCGCAGTAAAATAAGTATTGCAGTAAAGCAAGTGACGCAACAGTTTTAGGTTTTTCAGTGCATATGAAAGTTGTAATTACAGTATACTACTTAAAGTGTGCAATAGCAAGCATTATATCTATAAAAATGTGCTTACGTTAATTAAAAAATATTTTAGTGCTAAAAATACTAATGATCATCTGAGCCTTTAGTGAGTCCTGCTTGTTTTATACTTTGACAATCTGGCCTCAGTGTGGATGGCTGCTGACTGATCAGGGTGGTGGTGGCTGTGTCAGTTACTTAAAATAAGACAACAGTGAAATTTACTGCATTGATGGACTCCTCCTTTCATGAAAGACTTCTTTGTAGCATGTGATGCTGTTTTGATAGCATTTTAACCACAGTGAAAATTCTTTCAAAGTTGGAGGCTATTCTCAAACTCTGCCACTGCTATCCACTAAGTTGATGTGATATTCCAAATGTTTTGTTGTCATTTCCACAATGTGCACAGCGTCTTCACTAGGAATAAATTCCATTTCAAGAAACCACTTTCTTTGCTCATCCGTAAGAAGCAACTGTTCATTATTTCCACCACATCTGCAGTTCCTTCCTCCACTGAAGTCTTGAACTCCTCCAAGTCATCATAAGGGTTAGAATCAACTTCTTCCAAACTCCTGTTAATGTTATTTGACTTCCTTCCATGAATCATGAATGGCATCTAGAATGGCAGATTCTTTCCAGAAGGTTTTCAGTTTACTTTGCCCAGATTCATGCGAGGAATCACTACCACAGCTATAGCCTTACAAAATGTATTTCTTAAATAATTAAGACTTGAAAGTCAAGATTACTCCTTGGATCCATAGCTGCAGAATGGATGTGGTGTTAGCAGACATGAAGACAGCATTCATCTCCTTGTGTACATCTCCATCAGAGCCCTTGGGTGACTAGGTACATTGTCAGTGAACGGTAATATTTTGAAAGAAATCTTTTTCTGAGCAGTGGATCTCAACAGTGGGTTTAAAATATTCAGTAATGTGTTATTCCATTTCCAGAGCACAGGCAAGAGTAGACGTAACATAATTCTTCAGAACCCTAGGATTTTCAGAATGGTCAAAGACCACTGGCTTCAGCTTAAAGTCACCAGTGACATTTGCCCCTAACAAGAGAGCCAGCTTGCCCTTTGAAACTAAGCACTGAGTTCTCTCTAGGTATGAAAGTCCTAGATGTCATCTCCTTCCAAAGGAAGTCTTTTGTCTATATTGAAAATCTGCTTTTTCGTCTCGCTGCCTTCATCAATGATCTTAGCTAGACCTGGATAACCTGGTGTTGCTTTTCTGTTAGGTAGCACTTGCTGCTTCACCTTGTACTTTCGTGTTATGGGGACAGCTTCTTTCCTTAAACCTCATGAACCAGCCTCTGCTGCTTCCAACTTTTTTTTTTTTTTTTTTTTTTTTTTTGAGATGGATTTTCACTCTTGTTGCCCAAGCTGGAGAGCAATGGCGTGATCTCGGCTCACTGCAACCTCCACCTCCCGGGTTCAAGCGATTCTCCTGCCTCAGCCTCCGTAGTAGCTGGGAGTACAGGCAGCTGCCACCACATACAGCTAATTTTTTGTATTTTTAGTAGAGACGGGCTCTACTAAATGTTAGCTAGGCTGGGACTTCTGACCTCAGGTGATCCACCTGCCTCAGCCTCTCAAAGTGCTGGGATTACAGGGGTGAGCTGCCGTGCCTGGCTCCAACTTTTCTTCTGCATCTTCCTCACCTCTCTCAGCCTTCATAGAATTGAAGAAAACTTGGGCCTGGTTCTCGATTAGGCTTCAGTTTAAGGGAATGTTGTGGCTGGTTTGATCTAATCAGACCACTCATACTTTCCACATATCACCAATAAGGCTGTTTCACTTTCTTTCCCTCCCTCCCTCTTTTTTTGAGACTATTGCCCAGGTTGGAGTGCAGTGGTATGATCATGGCTCACTGCAACCTCTGCCTCCTGGGTGCAAGCAATTCTCTTGCCTCAACCTCCCGAGTAGCTGGGATAACAGGTGTGCAGCATGTGTCCAGCTAATTTTTGTATTATTAGTAGAGGTAAGGTTTCACCATGTTGACCAGGCTGGTCTCGAACTCCTGACCTCAAGTGATCCGCCCGCCTTGGCCTCCCAAAGTGTTGGGATTACAGGTGTGAGCCAACGGACCTGGCCATTTTCTTATTCATGTGTTCACTGGAGTAGCACTTTTTAATTGCCTTTAAGTTTTCCTTTGTTCTGAGAGGTGATTTAAAATTTCAAAAATTTGTGTATGTATTTTTTTAATTTCAAAAATTGGAAAGAAACTTCTGCTTTGCATTTACAACTTGGCTAACTTGTTTTTTTCTTTTCTTTTCTTTTTTTTTTTTTTTTTGAGATGGAGTCGCTCTGTCGCCCAGGCTAGAGTGCAGTGGCGCGATCTTGGCTCACTGCAACCTCTGCCTCCCGGGTTCAAGTGATTCTCTTGCCTCAGCCTACCAAGTAGTTGGGACTACAGACGTGAGCCACCACGCCCGGCTAATTTTTGTATTTTTAGTAGAGACAGGGTTTCGCCGTATTGGCCAGGCTGGTCTTGAACTCCTGACCTCAAATAATCCACCCACCTTGGCCTCCCAGAGTACTGGGATTACAGGCATGAGCCACCGCACCCAGCCCTTTTTTGTTTTTTTTTAAAGAGATGAAGTCTCCCTATGTTATCCAGGCAGGTCTCAAACTCCTGGCCTCAAGTGGTCCTCCTGCCTCAGCCTCAGGCATGATCCACTGTTCCTGGCCTTGGCTATGTTTTTGAGAGACAGGGTCTCATTCTGTTGCTCAGGTTGGGATGCAGTGGTGAGATCATAGCTCACTGCACTCTTGACCTCTTGGGCTAAAGTGGTTCTCCCACCTCAGCCCCCTGAGTAACTGGGACTACAGGGATGTGCCAGCATGCCCAGCTAATTTTGAAAAAGTTTTGTAGAAGTGAGGTCTCATTATGTTGCCTCGGCTGTCTCTTAAGTTCCTTTCCAGAATGGTGAATCCTTTCAAGCCGCCTTCCTGCCTCGTCCTTCCGAAGTGTTGGGATTACCCATATGAATCACTGTTCCTGACCTGAACATCAAAGATCACTGATCACAGATCCCCGTAACAGACATAATAATGACAAAGTTTGAAATAGTGAAGAATTACCAAAATGTAACACAGACACAAAGTGAGCTCCTGTTTTTGGAAAATTGGCACCAATAGGCTTGCTTTCTTCATACAGGGTTGCCACAGATCTTCAACTTGTGAAAAACATAGTACCTGCTGAGTGCAATAAAGCAAAACACAATAAAAGGTAAAATGAGGTGCTTATAGCCAGGCGCAGTGGCTGACGCCTGTAATCCCAGCACTTTGGGAGGCCGAGGCGGGTGGATCACGAGGTCAGGAGATCGAGACCATCCTGGCTAACACTGTGAAACCCCGTCTCTACTAAATATACAAAGAATTAGCTGGGCGTAGTGGCGGGCACCTGTATTCTCAGCCACTTGGGAGGCTAAGGCAGGAGAATGGCGTGAACCCAGGGGGCGGAGCTTGCAGTGAGCCGAGATCGCGCCACTGCACTCCAGCCTGGGTGACACAGCGAGACTCCATCTCAGAAAAAAAGAAAAAAGAAAAATGAGGTGCTTATAGTCTGTTGAATCTAAAATGCAGCAGTGTGTTATACCACTACAGATGCTCCCAGTGCCTTCTGGCACGCTGCTTTCTTACCCCATCAGTGAAGGATGCTTTTCACTTCAGACATTTAAAAGTGTGCCTTAGAATTGATGAAACATGGTCAGTGAAGTATGACTTGTTTCAAAGATTAACCTTCTGCGCTTATGATCTAAGTGCCAGCAGGTTCTGTGGTAATGATACTGAGTACAATGCATTTTGTTGGGATTCCTGTACTCTATATGTAGTTAACGTTTCTCTGGCAGTAACTTTAGAAAAGTACTACTTGTGAGGCCAGGTGCGGTGGCTCACACCTGTAATCCTAGCGCTTTGGGAGGCCGAGGTGGGTGGATTGCCTGAGGTCAGGAGTTTGAGACCAGCCTGGCCAAGATGGGGCAACCCCTGTCTCTACTAAAAATGCAAAATTAGCTGGGTGTGGTGGCAGGAGCCTGTATCCCCAGCTACTCGGGAGGCTGAGGCAGGAGAATCACTTGAACCAGGAGGTGGAGGTTGCAGTGAGCTGAGATCGCTCCAGTGCACTTCAGGCTGGGCGACAGAGCAAGACTCCATGTCCGAAAAAAGAGAAAAAAAAATACTACTTGTAAATAGCAGAAATAGAAAGGTGCTACTTATGAGAAGTAACATCCTATTTGCGGCTTACACTTTTGTTGCAAATTGTTAAAAGTGTCTGAAACTGTTTAGAAGGACAGCCTGAAACTGCTAAAGTGATGCAAAGTATAGACTCTGGTGGGAGAGGGGGCGTCTTAAATTTTCACGTTTGCTTGGCCTCTGGGGGCCTCTTAACAGCACTTTAAAGGAAATAAATAGATGAAGAAGAGAACAAATTATTTTGAAATACAGTTATTAAAATACTGTATTGAACCAAATTGGTGATAGTCCCATTTATTAGCTTAGTAACCGGATTGAGCTGTGGCTCTGGTAATTCATTTGGGAGTAGTGACGAGATTTTTTGTGACACTCTAATGCTTTGGAAAATACCTGTTGCTGTTCCTGCTAAAACTCCAGGGCTTATTGTCTGCCTTTGTAATTGAAGGAGTGCTACATTTCAGCTAGAAGTTTTTGCCTTTTATCATTCATGTTCACAAATACCAAGTTGATTTACTCTCAGCCTATCCATTTGTAGGAATATATGGTGTCCTTTCTTTACTTCCTCAAATGATTATATTGATGACAAAAGAGACAAGGAAATAAAAACGGCACAGATAGGGGAACCCAAAGCCTAACAGTGTGTGTCCTTGGAGGTGAGGGTGAAGGAAGTGGCTGCAGGCCCTGGGAAGTACCATCTTGCATCCGTGTGCAGCACTGAGTGGATACCTCATGGTTCTGTCTTGTGTACACTGTTCAGGAGGACATGTAGAGTGGACATATCACATAGAAGAAGGTCAGTCTGGAAACTGTTAGGAGAAGCACTCAAGGGCTGAGAGGCATGGTCCTTGGTGGAAAGAGCCAGCAGGCCTGGTGCTGGCGGTGCCCTGCTCGTGACAGTGTGCAAAGTCTGGAGCCTGGCCTGTTCCCGCCCTTGGCAGATGGTAGCTCCTTGTTTTGGATTATTAGCCCCTGCCGGTTTAGTTACTGTTTCTGGAAGATTCACATAGAAGGCAGTGTGGTAATTCAGTCAACGTGTTGTCTGGCATGTGGTATAAAACTCCTGTTTAAAGCTCTGATTCTGAGGCCATGCCTCAGGGACTTGAGAAGGGGACAGAGCAGCTTATTTTATTTTATTATTTATTTTATTTAATTTTAATTTTATTTTATTTTGAGATAGGGTCTCACTTTTTCACCCAGGCTGGAGTGCAGTGGCACGATCTCGGCCCACTGCAGCCGGGAGCTTCTGGGCTCAAGTAATCTTCCCGCCACAGCCCCCAAAGTAGCTGGGATTACAGGCACGTGTCATCACACCCAGCTAATTGTACTGTTTGCCGTCTGCGATTGACGCTGGAATGATTGGCTGTT
Organism: Homo sapiens; assembly: GCF_000001405.40. NCBI lineage: Eukaryota > Metazoa > Chordata > Mammalia > Primates > Hominidae > Homo > Homo sapiens. The sequence goes on from NC_000021.9 coordinate 42,981,773, forward strand.
TTAGTCGGGTTCTCAGGGTGGCAGGGAGCAGGCTGACTTCAAGTTGGGTGGGTGGTGAGATAGGTGGTTCAGGATCATGCAGGGATAAAGAAAACAGGAGTCTATGGGATTCTTGGGACCACTGTATTGTTGCTGGGCCTCTGGGCAGATGGAACCATGGTTTGTGCTCTGGCAGGATCCAGTTCTGCACCAGGGCTCTTGGCCTTCCGCTTCAATTAGGTGGTTGCCCTCCACTGTCTGTTCCATCTGTACGCTCCCCTCACAGTGGGGGCTCACCCAGCCTTACCTGCCCTGTACTCTCCCTTTTCCAGCACCCACCTCAGAGAGAGTGCCTGTGCTCTTTCCCCTCACACCACCTACCAGGCGCTGACCTTCGGGCTGGGGGCTGGCCTTGGGTGTTGCAGGGCTACCTGGCCCAGGGAGTGGTGCTTGGGGAGGAATGAGCTTCTGACACCTGCACAAGGAAGGCCCCCTTTGAGCAGGGCCTGCCAGTGGGGTTGGGTCACTCAAAGGGGCTGTGGATTGGTAGGTACTATGATCACAGTTTCCAGAACATAATGCCTGAGTGAGCGCATGTGTTTTGTTACATGTTCTCTCAGACATTTTATGAAGGTTTGTACATTTTTTTGCATTAAAAATGTTAGGAATTTAACTTGACAAGAAAAAGGAGCATAAGGCCGGGTGCAGTGGTTCACGCCTGTAATCCCAGCACTTTGGGAGGCCAAGGTGGGTGGATCACCTGAGGTCGGGAATTCGAGTCCAGCCTGAACAACATGGAGAAACCCTGTCTCTACTAAAAATACAAAAAATTAGCCGGGTGTGGTGGTGCATGCCTGTAATCCCAGCTACTTGGGAGGCTGAGGCAGGAGAATCACTTGAACCCAGGAGGTGGAGGTTATGGTGAGCTGAGATCGCGCCATTGCACTCCAGCCTGGGCAACAAGAGCGAAACTCCATCTCAAAAAAAAAAAAAAAAGTTTAATAAACATTAAATTGCTAAACTTTACGTTCTTCTAAATTTAGTTACGTATTTGAGCATACTTTTTTTTCCCCCACGAAACAGGGGCTTGCTCTGTTGCCCAGGCTGGAGTGCAGTGGTGCAATCTTGGCTCCCTGCAACCTCTGCCTCCCGGGTTCAGGCAATTCTCCTGCCTCAGCCTACTGAGTAGCTGGGATTACAGGTGCCCACCACCACGCCTGGCTAATTTTTGTATTTTTAGTAGAGATGGAGTTTTACCATGTTGGCCAGGCTGGTCTCGAACTCCTGACCTCAGATGAGCTGCCCACTGTTGCCTTTCAAAGTTCCAGGATTACAGGCATGAACCACTGTGGCTGGCCTTTTTTTTCCAATTTTTTGTTATGGTAAAATACACGTAACAAAATTTACCATCTTAACCATTTTCAGTGTGCAGTTCAGTGGTGGTAAGTTCATTCATACTTTTGTACAGCCATCACCACCATCTGTCTCCAGAACCCTTCATCTTGTAAAACTGAAACTCTATACCCATTAAACACTGCCTCCCCATCTCCCCTCCCTGAAGCCCCTGGCAACCACCATTCTACTTCCTGTCTCTGAATTTCGCTACTATAGGGACTTCATACCAGTGGAATTAGGTAGTATTTGTCTTTTTGTGACCAGCTTAGCTCATTTACCATAATGTCCTTAAGGTTCATCTATGTTGTAGTGTGTGTCAGAATTTCCTTCCTTTTTAAGGCTGAATACTCCATTGTGTGGATATACTGAATTTTGTTTATCCATCCCTCAACAGACACTTGAGTTCCTTCTACCTTTTGACTATTTTGAATAATAAAACTGTGAACCTGAGTGTGTAAATACTTCTCCGAGATCCTACTTTCAATTTTTTTGGATATAGATCTAGAAGTGGGATTGCTGGATCATACTGGAATTCTGTTTTTAATTTTTTAGGGAACCTCCATCCGATTTTTCGCAGCAACTGTACTGTTTTATATTCCTTTTAATTTAATTTATTTTTTATTTTTCCAAGGACTCAATAAGGAGAGAGTATCAGTTTACATTCCTACCAACAGTACAGAGGTTCCAGTTTCTCCGTATCTTACCCAACACTTATTTTCTTATGTGTTGTTGCTTTTTTTAATAGCAGCCATCCTAATGGATTTGAGGTGGCATCTTACTGTCATTTTGATTTGTATTTCCCTAATAATTAGTGATGTGGAGCATCTTTTCACATGTTCATCGGCCATTTACATGTCTTTGGAGAAATATCTCTTCAAGTCCTTTGCCCCTTTTTGAATTGGGTTTCTTACATGCATACGTGTGTGCGTGTGTGTGCGTGTGTGTGTGTGTGTGTGTGTGTGTTTTAAAGAGACAGGGTCTCATGATGTTGTCCAGGCTGGTCTCCAACTCCTGGGCTCAAGTAATCCAGTAATACTCCTGCCTCAGCCTCCCAAGGAGCTGGGACTTAAAGACATGGGCCCCTGTGCCTGGCTATGTTCATACGTTTTTACATATTTTTTAAGCTATATTGTGTTATGCTTTTAGTTGGCATTTTAGTGATTTTTAAAACATTTATATAATCCACACATTTCTCGTTTTAAAAATTTAAGGTCTCATACACTTTTGTGAGTCCAGTTTTTTTCTTTTTCTTTTTTTTTGAGACAGAGTTTTGCTCTTGTTGCTCAGGCTGGAGTGCGATGGCATGATCTTGGCTCACCACAACCTCCACCTCCTGGGTTCAAGCAATTCTCCTGCCTCAGCCTCCCAAGTAGCTGGGATTACAGGCATGTGCCACCCCGCCTGGCTAATTTTGTATTTTCAGTAGAGACAGGGTCTCTCCATGTTGTTCAGGCTGGTCTCGAACTCCCGACCTTAGGTGATCTGTCTGCCTTGGCCTCCCAAAGTGCTGGGATTATAGGCGTGAGCCACCATGCCCGGCCAGTTCCAGTTTTTTGTATTATTTTACGGCCATGCTCTATGTTGTGGAGCCTTTTGAGTATTTAGGTTTTGATACTTTCTGTGTTTTGCCATCCGAAAGCTGGAGTCCCTCTGACCCACCAAGCTTAGTGCTGACAGGGAGAGTAGAGAGGGGTGGCTGCTGTGCAGGGAGGGAGTGCAGGTGCCAGTTCCACAGTGCTGTGTGCCCAGTGTAGGCAGTGCCTGAGAGAGGCTGTCCATGGGAAAGGGGTCCTTGCCTCCAAGGGTTAGGGTTCCTCATTTTCTTTTCTTTTTTTTTTTTTTTTTTTTTTTTTTTGAGATGGAGTCTCACTCGCTCTGTTGCCCAGGCTGGACTGCAATGGCACGATCTCGGCTCACTGCAACCTCTGTCTCCCGGGTTCGAGCGATTCTCCTGCCTCAGCCTCCCGAGTAGCTGGGACTACAGGCATGCGCCACCATGCCCGGCTAATTTTTGTACTTGCAGTAGAGACAGGTTTCACCACGTTGGCCAGGCTGATCTCGAACTCCTCACCTCAGGTGATCCACCCTCCTCGGCCTCTCAAAGTGCTGGGATTACAGGCGTGAGCCACTGTGCCTGGCCCCTTATTTTCTTTCTGTTCCTTTTTTTGTTTGTTTTTTGGTTTTTGTTTGTTTGTTTGTTTGTTTTGAGACGGAGTCTCACTCTGTCATCCAGGTTGGAGTGCAGGGGAGTGATCTTGGCTCACTGCAGTCTCCACCTCCTGGGTTCAAGTGATTCTCTGACCTCAGCCTCCTGAGTAGCTGGGATTACAGGTGCAAGGCACCACACCTGGCTCATTTTTGTGTTTTTAGTAGAGACGGGGTTTTGCCATGTTGGCCAGGCTGGTCTCGAACTCCTGACTTCAAATAAGTTGCCTGCCTCGACCTCCCACAATGCTGAGATTACAGGAGTGAGCCACCACGTCCGGCCAGGGTCTTAAAACTTTGATGCGAATTTAAATTTACCAGCTGTAACAGACCATCCAGCTCAGAGTCTGTTAAAACAAATTGCAGGCCGGGCGTGGTGGCTCACACCTGTAATCCTAGCACTTTGGGAGGCTGAGGCGGGTGGATGACTTGAGACCAGGAGTTTGAGACCAGCCTGGTCAACATGGCAAAACCCAGTCTCTCCTAAAAATACAAAAAAATTAGCTGGTCATGGTGGCGGGTGCCTATAATTCCAGCTACTCAGGAGACTGAGGCAGGAGAATTGCTTGAACCTGGGAGGTGGAGATTGCAGTGAGCTGAAATCGTGCCATTGCAGTCTAGCCTGGGCAACAGAGCGAGGCTCTGTCTCAGAAAAAAAAAAAAAAATTAAAAAAAAAATTGCAAAACCATTAAAATGTAAAATACCTTTGATACTAGAATTTTGTTTTGTCTTTAGGGGACATATGTGGGCCTTTGGGTTAGAAATACTTTTTGATACAGATTTTAACAGGATTTACGATCTATGATTTTATTTGAATATTACACTTCAAATGATACCTCGCCAAACCTTGTTTGAAAAATAAAGTGATGGCTGGGCGCAGTGGCTCATGCCTGTAATTCCAGCACTTTGGGAGGCCAAGGCGGGTGGATCATGAGGTCAGGAGTTAAAGACCGTCTTGGCCAAGGTGGTGAAACTCCATCTCTACTAGAAATAGAAAAATTAGCCAGGCATGGTGGCAGGTGCCTGTAATCCCAGCTACTGGGGAGGCTGAGGTAGGAGAATCCCTTGAACCTGGGTGGTGAAGATTGCAGTGAGCCGAGATCATGCCATTGCACTCCAGCCTGGGTGACCGAGTGAGACTTGGTCTCAAAAACAAAAAAAAAGTGATTTCTTGACAAATGTTTTCCTCAGAATGAGTCATTTATTGACTGAACATCTCTTTGGAATAGGAGCTGTGGAAGCCAGGGTGGAAGAGAGATGGACAACTGGCTTGTGGTTTCTGAACCACAGGTGCCTAAAACTTCTCACACACAAAATGAAAGCTCACTTAACTGTCATGATGTATAGTTAGTGTCCTAAAAGGTGTCCTGGAGAAGGTATTTTGGGAGGACTGGTAACAAAACACAATACCTAGAGATGCAGTCTCTGGATCTGACTGTTGTGTTGTCTTCAGTCGTTTTCTGGCTTTATAAATGCCTCAGTGTTACTGTTTGCTAGAACTGGAATTACCCTAGAATTTCCAGTGGAATTGTGGCTGCTCATTAGTCAACACTGCTCTGGGTAGCAGCTAGGAGGTGGCACTCTGGGAGTTGGTCCTCTGCTAGGCGCGGCACCTGGTGAGGGGGATGGGGCTGTGTGGACTCCTCCAGCAAGGCAGCGTCTAGTATATTACATTACAGTACACAGGATAGTGTCACTAAACTGAGTCAGAGAGCACATTTTAGGTGGATTTAAAGAAGTATACTCAGGCCAGGTGCGGTGGCTCACACCTGCAATCCCAGCACTTTGGGAGGCCAAAGTGGGCAGATCACCTGAGGCCAGGAGTTCAAGACCAGCCTGACCAACATGGAGAAACTCTTGTCTCTACTAAAAATACAAAACTAGCTGGGCGTGGTGGCGCATGCCTGTAATCCCAGCTACTCGGGAGGCTGAGGCAGGAGAATCGCTTGAACCTGGGAGGCGGAGGTTGCAGTGAGCTGAGATCGTGCCATTACACTCCAGCCTGGGCAACAAGAGCTAAACTCCCTCTCAAAAAAAAAAAAAAAAAAAAAAATATATATATATATATATATATATGTATACTCAGATTTTCTGACTCCTCTGGGTACTAGAAAGAGGAAAAGAAAGTCTAGTAAGATTTTTTAAAAAGTATCACTTGTCTTTGAACAGCTATAATTTTGGTCAGGGATTGGCAAACCACAGGCCTATGGGCCAGATCCCACTGACCTTTTTTTTGTATGGCCCTAGGGCTGAGAATGGTTTCTACTTTTTTTTTTTTTTTTTGAGATGGAGTCTTCGCTCTTTCACCCGGGCTGGAGTGCAGTGGCGCGATCTCGGCTCACTGCAAGCTCTGCCTCCTGGGTTCACGCCATTCTCCTGCCTCAGCCTACAGAGTAGCTGGGACTACAGGTGCCCACCACCACACCTGGCTAATTTTTTGTATTTTTAGTAGAGACAGGGTTTCACCATGTTAGCCAGGATGGTCTCGATCTCCTGACCTCGTGATCCACCCGTCTCGGCCTCCCAAAGTGCTGGGATTACAGGCGTGAGCCACCGCACCCGGCCTCTACATTTTTAAAGACCTGTAAAGAAAGCATACGTAATACAGACAGTATGTGACCCACAAACCTGAAATATTTACCTTCTGGCCCTTTACAGAAAATGTTTGCTGGTCACACCTCCCACACCTTCAGTTCTTTTTGTTTTTGTTTTTGTTTTTGAGACGGAGTCTCACTCTGTCACCCAGGCTGGAGTGCAATGGCCTACTCTCAGCTCACTGCAACCTCTGCCTCCCGGGTTCAAGTGATTCTCCCTCCTCAGCCTCTTGAGTAGCTGAAATAGGCGCGTGCCACCACACCCAGCTAATTTTTGTATTTTTAGTAGAGATGGGGTTTCACTATGTTGGCCAGGCTGGTCTCAAACTCCTGACCTCATGATCCGCCCACCTCGGCCTCCCAAACTGCTGGGATTACAGGCGTGAGCCACTGTGCCCGGCCAGCCCTCAGTTCTTACTTGGACCAAATCAAAGTTGGTCTGGATCTAAATGGAATCAAATAGCAGAACTGTTGGGAGATATGAAAAACACATGGGGATTTGGTGAGCTACTCTCCTTCAGCTGACTCATGCCTTGCTGTGATTGGTATACAGTATTGTCTATGTAAAAGTTGAGCCTAAAGAAATAGCTCTTAAATCACCATTAGAATTGTAAAGGAATATATGTGAGTAGTTCTAACAGCTGAAGTCTAGAACTCTGCTTCAGTGACTAGTTCCCATTGAGCGCTGGGACACGCTTTGCTGAGAGTCACTGTGGAGGGTCAGATTCTTTCCGGTGGCTCCCATGCTTCACCGAGAGCAGTTGTGCTGATCCCCCAGGCCACTGGGACAGCAGGGCAGGCTCCTTGGTCAGGGCTGGCCCAGGAACGGAGTGGGTTGATGAGAGGGAGCCTGGTCCCTGGGATACTGGTTAGGGTCTACAGGCTGGGGACCCTGCGGGCTGGATGAGGACCCCCTCACTGGTCTTTGGCTTCTCAGGCTGGGGACCCTGCGGGCTGGATGAGGACCCCTCACTGGTCTTTGGCTTCTCAGGCTGGGGACCCTGCGGGCTGGATGAGGACCCCCTCACTGGTCTTTGACTTCTCAGGCTGGGGACCCTGCGGGCTGGATGAGGACCCCCTCACTGGTCTTTGGCTTCTCAGGACTTCTTTCTTTGTAGAATCTCCCTCATCCCTTCCTTTTTCTGTTTGATGTCTCTTTCCTCATTTCTTCTGTAAAATAAACGTAAAAAGGGACTGAATAATTTCCAACTTTTTTTTTTTTGATAAAGGGTCTCACTATGTTGCTGGTTTTGAACTCCTGGACTCAAGCAATATTCCCGCCTCGGGCTTCCAAAGTGCTGGGCTTACAGATGTAAGCCACTGGGCCCGGCCTATCCCCAACCTGTTTTTTTCAGTTTTTTTCCATTTTTTTCAGCTTTTGTGATAGTTTTCTCATGGATCTTTTGACTGGTCAGGATAACATTGCTTAGAGATGTATTTTACTTGATTACTTAAATGTATGTTTCTGTTTCAATTTTTTATTTTTTTTGAGTCAGTCTCACTCTGTCACCCTGGCTGGAGTGCAGTGATGTGATCTCGATTTCACTGCGACCTCCACCTCCAGGGTTCAAGTGATTCTCTCAAGTCTCAGCCTCCCGAGTAGCTGGGATTACAGGCGCCTGCTACCACGCCTGGCTAATTTTTGCATTTTTAGTAGAGATGGGGTTTCACCACGTTGGCCAGGCTGGTCTTGAACTCCTGACCTCAAGTAATCTGCCTGCCTCAGCCTCCCAAAATGCTAGGATTACAGTCGTGAGCCACCGCCCCCAGCCAAAAAGCAGATTTAAAATGTTAGACAAGCTGAACTCAAGGCGGAAGCATTAGATAGAGGGATATTAACATATCATTTACAGGCATAGTTAATAATCATGGGCAGGCATGGTGGCTCACACCTGTAATCCCATCACTTTAGAAGGCCAAGGAGGGCAGATTGCTTGAGCTCAGGAGTTTGAGGCTAGCCTGGGCAACATGGCAAAACCCTGTCTCTACAAAAAATACAAAAGTAAACCGGGTGTGGTGGTGCATGCCTGTGGTTCCAGCTACTCCGGGGCTGAGGTGGGAGGGTTGCTTGAGTGAGGGAGGTCGAGGCTGCAGTGAGCCAGATGGTGCCATTGCACTCCAGCCTGGGCAACAGAGCCAGACCCTGTCTCAAAAAAAAAAAAATAATAATAATAAGCGGACACAGTGTGCCTGTAATCCCAGCTACTCGGGTGGCTGAGGCAGGAGAATTGCTTGAAATCAGGTGGTGGTTGCAGTGAGCCGAGATCACACCACTGCACTCCAGCCCGGGTGACAGAGCAAGACTCCGTCATAAATGAATAAATAAATAAATAAATAATAAGTAACGATCCACTGTGGCTTCCTGGAAACATCCATGTTCACAGCTGGGGTCTGGTCAGTCTGCATAGTGGAGCACACTGCTAGGATGCATCCTTAGCAAGTGAAAAAAGTGAGGCTCAGAACTGTTTGTAGAGTATAGCCTTTTATCTAAGGAAGGCAGATGAAGACTGGCTTATGATAAAGGTGCTAACCCCCAGACTAGTAAAAATGGGGTTCCCTGTGGAGTAGGGAAGGGGCAGTGTTATAAGTTGGATTTCTGGCCATATCTGCTATAGTACTGATCATGGAACTCTAGGGGAGGAAAGATGTTTTCCTTCTACCCATCTTACGTTCATTGGCTGGGGCTCCTGGAACAGAAGACAGATTTACAAAAGAGAAAGGCACACAAATTTATGTAATATAAGTTTTACATGACATGGGAGCCTTTATAAGGAAATGACCCAAGGAAATGGTTAAACCTGAGTGGTTTTGTGTTAGGTTTGATGAGCAATGAAAAGCTATGGAGAACTATGATAGGAGGAGTGTGAGCTAAACGCAATGAACTGGGGGAAACTTAGCAAGGTCTGTTCAGATTTCTCTCTGTATCCTTCTTTGGAGGTCAGCATGTTTCCTCCCCCCGTAGATACGGAGGGCACTTCTCACATGAGGGTCTTACCACCTGCTTTGGGTGAGGGTCAGAAAGTCCTTCCTAGGTTTCGTGACCTGCCTCAGGAGAGAAGGGTTGGGGAAGGTCAGAGAGATGTTCCTGCACAAGCTGCTTCTCAAATTCTTTCAGCTTCAAATATTCAGTGTGCCCAGGTGCCACATTTTGGGGTAGCATGTCCTGAACCTTGTCAAAACTATATGGATGTTTTAATATAGTTTTAAAATAAAATGAAGTCAAAAGTTGGGGGGAAGTAGTCTCTAAAAATTGAAAGCAGCCGAGCACTGTGACTCACAGCTGTAACCCCAGCATTTCGTGAGGCCAAGGTGGGAGGATCGCTTGAAGCCAAGAGTTCGATACCAGCCTTGGAAACAGCCAGACCCCATCTCTACAAAAAAAGAAAAAAAAAAAACCCTGAAAGCAAAACGAATAAAAATAACCAAACCACAAATTGAGTTGGTGGCTTAACTATACAGAGAGGAGTTATTTCAAGTGACTTCAAAACAAATTGTATTGGCCAGGCGTGGTGGCTCACGCCTGTAGTCCCAGCACTTTGGGAGATCGAGGCAGTAGGATCATGAGGTCAGGAGATTGAGACCATCCTGGCTAACACAGTGAAATCCCGTCTCTACTAAAAATTCAAAAAAATTTAGCTGGGCATGGTGGCGGGCACCTGTAGTCCCAGCTACTCGGGAGGCTGCGGCAGGAGAATGGCGTGAACCCCAGAGGCGGAGGCGGAGCTTGCGGTGAGCCAAGATCGTGCCACTGCACTCCAGCATGGGCGACAGAGCGAGACTCCGTCTCAAAAAAAAAAAAACAAACCAAAAAAACAAATTGTATTGTACATCCTAGCAGGGTAAATCCTAAAGACAAAATAACTAAAAAGAAACCCTGGGCAGTTTTTAGTATGTGAATTGTTAGTAATAACATTTTAACTTATTTATTTATTTATGTACTTACTGACTTACAGCTACTTTTTGAGATGGGATCTTGCTCTATCAGCCAAGCTGGATCATGCCACTGCACTCAGCTTCCAAACCTTTGCTCTTGCTGGAGATGCACTACTACAAATAAGCCACAGGACATCACTTTCTTCAGACCCTGCAGAGCATGTTACACTCATGTGGCTTCGGAAGCTGCATTCTGGTCACAGCTGAGCGTCTTTCGTGGTGCTTGCCTCATGGGCCAGCTGCTTCATCAGCTCACCCTGTGTTTCCCATTTTGAATAATGCCGTAATTCATAGGTTGAATTGATGTAATTCACTGTTGCAGGCACCAGAGTTGTACAGATTGTTGACAAGTGTCCTGTCCTTGTGAGTTCGACCTTATCTTAGAAGCACAATTATTTTATCGTCAGAGGTCAGGCTGTGTAGAAGAAATAGCAGGGCTTTGGAGCTGGACAGATTGAAGTCACCCAACCTCTGGTACATCTGTGTCCTCAACAGGGAAACAAGGACAACTAACCTATCTGCGTCTTCTAGAGTAGTCTGGTCACAGCTAGTGTGAACCCCCCGGTCACACTGTTAGTGGCAAAAAACCATTTTATTATGTGGACAAATTCTGTGGACCAGGAATATGGAGAGGAAGTGGCCGTCTCTCCTCCAGGATGTCTGAGTCCTCAGCTGGGACGACTCAGCGGCTGGGGGTGACGTAATGACTGAGGAATGGTATCTTCTGGAGGCGCTTTCTGAAATCCGTCAGCTGGAACACGAGCTGGGGATACTGACCAGAGCACACGTGCAGACTCCACAGGACCTGGGCTTCTTCACAGATTAGAGGAGGTCTTCACAGCACTGGGGGTTCCCTCACAGCACTGGGGGGTTCCCTCATAGCATTGGGGGCTTCCTCACAGCACTGGGGGGTTCTCTCACAGCACTGGGGGGCTTCCTCACAGCAATGGGGGCCTTCCTCACGGTATCGGGGGCTCCCTAATAGCATTGGGGGCTTCTTTGATATCATTGCGAGCTTCCTCACAGCACTGGGGGGCTTCCTCAGCACTGGGGGTCTCCTTTATGTCATTAGGGGGCTTTCTCATAGCAGTGTCAGGGGGGCGTTCCTCACAGCATGGGGCTTCCTGGTAGTCGGAGTGTCACTATGAACAAGATGGAAGCCTCCTTGCCTTTTCTAACCCAGCTCTGGAGTCGCACACCATCATTTCCACTGCATTCTCTTGTTCTCAAATGAGTCACTAGGTCAGCCTGGATTGCAGAGGAAGGGACAAAGACCTCGTGTCTCGATGGGAGAAATGCCATAGAGTTGGGGGATGCACTGGCCTTGGCATGTAGTAGACACAGCTCTGTCTGCCCTCACTGCCCCTTTCCTCCCCTCACGAAGCTCCATTCTTCTCCTGACACTCAAAACGCTGACTGAACGAATGTCCGTCTCGCCTCCACAGGGCCTACATCAACAGGACTCGCGGGCCGAGCTTCCAGGCGCCTTGAGTGGCTGGGCCGGGCCTCCACGTTGCCCTGCTGCAGGGTTAGGTGGGAGCGAGACTGGCCCCACTCCTGTTGACTGTTCCACCAGCACCTTCAGTTTGTGGAAGTGGTTGTGTCCAAAGAGATTTTCGTAAAAACATCACAATTCTAAAACTTTTTTTTTTTTTTCACAATTCTAAAACTTTATGCATTTTTGGCATTTAAAAAGCCCTGGCAAGTCTACTGCCTTATTTCTCCTGCTCCCTTGGCCTGTGGGTCTGTTCCTGTATGGTTACCCACTTTGTTTTTTTTGTTTTTTTTTTTTTTTGCTGTTACTGTGGCTTTGTAGTATATTTTAAAATTTGGTATTCGTTAACTCTTTTTTTTTCTTTTTTTTTTTTTTTGAAACAGAGTCTCGTTCTGTTGCCTGGCCTGGAGTGCAGTGGTGCAGTCTGGGCTCACAGCAGCCTCCGCTTCCCGGGTGCAAGTGATTCTCCTGGCTCAGCCTCCGGAGTAGCTGGGATTACAGGCACACGCCACCATGCCCGGCTAATTTTTGTATTTTTAGTAGACACGGGGTTTCACCATGTTGGCCAGGCTGGTCTCAGACTCCTGACCTCAGGTGATCCACTGGCTCAGCCTCTCAAAGTGTTGGGATTACAGGTGTGAGCCGCCGCGCCCAGCCTTTTTTTTTTTTTTTTTTTTTTAAGGCAAGGCGGGGTCTCCCTTTGTCGCCCAGGCTGGAGTACAGTGGTATGATCACGGCTCACTGCAGCCTCGACCTCCCGGACTCAAGTGATCCCCCTGCCTCAGCCTCTCAAGCAGCTGGGACTACAGACATGTGCCATCATGCCCAGCTAAATTTTTGGATTTTTAGTAGAGATAAGGTCTCACTTTGTTGCCCAGGCTGGTCTTGAACTCCTGAGCTCAAACGATCCTTCCACCTCAGCCTCCCAAAGTGCTGGGATTACAGGCGTGAGCCACTGCACCCAGCCAATTTTTGTATTTTTAGTAGAGGCGGGGTTTCACCATGTTGGCCAGACTGGTCTTGAACTCCTGGCCTCAAGTGATCCACCCACATTGGCTTCCCAAAATGCTAGTATTACAGGCACGTGCCACTGTACCTGACTGTTTTAACCAGTTTTGTTAGAGAGAAGGACTACCAATCTATACATTTTGAAATTCTGACTTTTCCCTCATATTATGAACATTTTGAAAGACAATCTGAGAGTAGAATCTTGATTATCTGCTACCTAGATTCAACAGTTATTGTTATCTGGACCCAATTTATTTATGTTTATATTTTTATTGATCCATTTGAAAGTAAGTTTTGGATATCATGGTCATACAACTAAACATTGAGCACGTACTTCTCAAAATGGTGATATTTATGCTGTGAGCTTATAGCTTTATCACACCATCAAAATAACACTCAATCTCTAATAGTATATAATACTATATATTCACATCTCCTCAAATTTCCTTAAGTTGTCTTTTACAGTGTTTGTTTTTGAAACCAAGATCACATACCACATTTGGTTGTTGTTTCTTTTCTTTTCTTTTTCTTTCTTCTTTTTTTTTTTTTTTTTTTTTAAGACAGAGTCTTGCTCTGTCGCCCAGGCTGGAGTGCAGTGGCGCAATCTTGACTTACTGCAGCCTCCGCCTCCTGGGTTCAAGCGATTTTTCTGCTTCAGCCTCCCCAGTAGCTGGGATTACAGGTGCCTGCCACCATATCCAGCTGATTTTTGTATTTTTAGTAGAGACGGGGTTTTACCATCTTGGCCAGGCTGGTCTCGAACTCCTGACCTCAGGTAGTCCACCTGCCTAAGCCTCCCAAAGTGCTGGGATTACAGGTGTGAACCACCACACCTGGCCGTTTACTTTTATTTTTGCCAGTTTCTTTATAGAGTGCCTCTCAGTTTGGGTTCCTGGGTGTGTCCTGAGGATTGGACTCACAGCTTGCATTTTAGGAAGGACTGCACAGAAGCCAGTAGAGTGTATCCTTTTCATTGCATCATTGTTTTCCCTTTGTAATTAATAAGTGTCTTGAGCCTGGTGCTGTGGCACATGCCTGTAATCCCAGCGCTTTGGGAGGCGGAGGTAGGAGGACGGCTTGAGCCCAAGAGTTCAAGACCAGCCTGGGCAACAGAGTGAGACCCCTGTCTACAAAAAAATGCAAAAATTAGCCAGGTATGGTGGCATGTGCCTATAGTTCTAGCTACTCAAGAGACTGAAGTGTGAGGATTGCTTTAACCTGGGAGGTTGAGGCTGCAGTGAGCCAGAGTCTTGCCACTGCATTCCAGCCTGGGAATAGAGCAAGAACCCATCTCAAAAAAATAAAAAATGAAATGTATCTTGTGGCAGGTACTTTGAGATTATGTACATTTCCTGTTTCTCATACTTTCACAAACTAGTGTTAGCATCCATCGATGATTCCTGTCTGAAACGGCTTACTGTGGTGGTTGCCGAATGGTGATGTTTGAAAGCTGTCGTCATCCTCTACACGTTAGAGAACTCTTGTATTTTAGAGCTTTTTCTGCTCCCCATCTATTCATTTATGTATTTATATTTTTAAAGAAAAACTTATTCTGACCCTTATTAAAGTTAGCAAGGCACTTAGTGCTTTGGGAGGCAAGGCAGGACGATAGCTTGAGGCCAGGAGCTTGAGACCAGCCTGGGCAACAAAGTGAAACCTCATGTCTACAGAAATTTTTAAAAATTAGCCAAGTGTGGTGGTGTGAGCCTGTAGTCCTAGCTCCGTGGGAGGCTGAGGCAGGAGGATCACTTGAGTCCAGGGGTTCGAGGCTGCATGATTGCACCACTGTACTCCAGCCTAGGTGACAGAGCAAGACCTTGTCTCAGAAAAGCAAGACAAAGGGCAGGCTGTTCAGGATGATCATGATAGGTATAGGGACTGCTGCAATGGGATTGTGTAGTGGGGGAGACCTAGGAGCAGGAGTGGGGGCCATGGACGGAAAATTTAACTAAGAGGAAACATCAGGGTGCAGGGGGTTCTGGCTGAACTGACCTAACAGGATTCTTGTGGAAGGCCGCTAGCATCACTCCTCTGGACCATAAACACTCGGGGAGTCCCAATCTCTCCTGAGCAGTGCATTGGCGCCAGCTTTCCAGATGTGTGTGTAAGTCCATCATCCTTTAAGAAGTTTGCTTAGAAAGCCTAGATGCTGAGACTTAAAAATGGAGTCTCACCATGGACAGTTCTCATAAAGAATTGTCTCCCAACAAAGTGGCTGACTGTGTTGTGGCTGTATTGTTACAGACCTTCTCAGATGTGTTTGCTGCAAGTTTTGTTTATTTGGAACTCTTTGGAAGCTAGCACAACTACATAGAAACCCATATAAGTTAGCCACCATGCTCAGCTAATTTTTAAAAAAATTTGTTGTAGAGATGGGGTCTCGTTCTGTTGCCCAGGCTGGTCTTGAACTCCTGGGCTCAAGTGATCCTTCCACCTTGGCCTCCCAAAGTGCTGGGATTACAGGTGTGAGCCTCTGTACTCAGCTAATTTAGCTAGTTTTTGTATTTGATTTTTTTTTTTTTAATAGAGTCTCTGTCATCCCGGCTGGAGTGCAGTGGCACGATCTCGGCTCACTGCAACCTTTGCCTCCCAGGTTCAAGTGATTTTCTTGCCTCAGCCTCCCAAGTAGCTGGGACTATAGGCATGTGCCACCATGCCCAGCTCATTTTTGTATTTTTAGTAGAGATGGGGTTTCGCTATTTTGGTCAGGCTGGTTTCGAATTCCTGACCTCAGGTGATCCTCCCACCTCAGCATCCCAAAGAGCTGGAATTACAGGCATGAGCCATAACGCCTGGCCCCATATGCTGTTTATTTCATTTTTCCCAAGCAAACTAGGACTTAGAGATTGTTTCACAAAGCCCTGCTGACTCATTTTCAACACTTCTCCACAGGACTAGTGCTATGCGTCAGCAGACGCTGCCTGTGTGGGGATGGAGGTTGGCTCAGACACAGTGCGTGGCCTCGGGAGCCTTACGTTCCAGCAACCACTTGACTAACAGTCATAAAAATTAAAATTGTAAAATATTTTGTCAACTGTGCATCAGCCAAACAAAAAAAATTAAAATTGCCTAAAGTGGAACAAGGAGATGTGGGATGAAGTCAAGCAAATTATGTGTCCAAAAATGTATAATGTCAGTGATTAGCTTCAGGAAGCATTTGTATTTAGTGCCTATTGACATCAGAGACAGCGCTAGTAGTTGGGGATGCAGCAAGACGGGCCCCTGGCCCTTAAGGAACTTGTAGTCCAAATGAACAACTGAAGTACTGCGGAGCTGAGCAGAGGGTGCTGTGTGAGGGTCCAGCATGGACAAACTTAACCCCAGTGTGGGTGAGATTCATCAGGAAGGCTTTCTGGAGAAGGTGATGTGGGCGATGCATGTTCTCCACCTAGCCATGCCCAGAGGGAAGTGTGTCTGGGCAGAACTATCAGGCTGGGGAGGACTCAGGGGTGGGAGAGAACCTGGCATGCTGGGGAAGCTAAATGTGGCGATTGGTTTGTTTATACAACTTGGAGTGCGGAAGGGGGTCAGTAAGGGGATGCTGATGCCTGAGGGTGAGGGTTGGGCAGAGGCAATTTTAAGCATGTGAGTCACATGATCAGATTTCCATTTTAGAAAGCTTGGAGAATGGGTCTACTCAGGTAGCTCACACCTTGTGTTGTCCATTTTCACACTGCTGATAAAGTTGTACCCAAGACTGGGCAATTTACAAAAGAAAGAGGTTTAATTGGACTTACAGTTCCATATGGCTGGGGAAGCCTCACAATCATGGTGAAAGACAAGGAAGAGCAAGTCATGTCTTACATGGATGGCAGCAGGCAAAGAGAGAAGCATGTGTGCAGGGGAGCTCCTCTTTTTAAAACCATCAGATCTTGTGGGACTTATTCGCTATCATGAGAACAGCACAGAAAAGACTTGCCCCCATGATTCAACTACCTCCCACCAGCTCCCTCCCATAACATGTGGGAATTCAAGATGAGATTTGGGTGGGGACACAGCCAACCATATCATTGTGCCCCTGCCCCCTCCCAAATCTCATAATCATGTTTCAAAACCAATCATGCCTTCCCAACAGTCCCCCAAAGTCTTAACTCATTTCAGCATTAACTTAAAAGTCCACAGTCCAAAGTCTCATCTGAGATAAGGCAAGTCCCTTCCATGTATGAGCCTGTAAAATCAAAAGCGGGTTAGTTACTTCCTAAATACAGTGGGGGTACAGGCATTGGGTAAATACAGCCATTTCAAATAGGAGAAATTGGCCAAAACAAAGAGGCTACAGGCTCCCATGTAAGTCTGAAATCCAGCAGGACAGTCAAATCTTAAAGCTCCTAAATGATTTCCTTTGACTGCATGTCTCACATCTAGGTTATGCTGATGGAAGAGGTGGGTTCCCATGGTCCTGGGCATCTCCGCCCCTGTGGCTTTGCGGGATACAGCCTCCCTCCCAGCTGCTTTCACGGGCTGGCATTTAGTGTCTGCAGCTTTTCCAGGTGCATGGTGCAAGCTGTTGGTAGATCTACCATTCTGGGGTCTGGAGGACAGTGGCCATCTTCTCACAGCTCCACTAGGCAGTGCCCCAGTAGGGACTCTGTGTGAGGCCTCCAGTGCCACATTTCCCTTCCATACTGTCCTAGCAGAGGTTCTCCATGAGAGCCCCGCCCTTACAGCCAACATCTGCCTGGACATCCAGGCACTTCTGTATATTTTCTGAAATCTAGGCGGAGGTTCCCAAACCTCAATTCTTGACTTCTGTGCACTCTCAGGCCCAATGCCATGTGGAAGCTGCCAAGGCTTGAGGTACCCTCTGAAGCCAAGGCCCGAGTTCTGCATTGGCCCTTTTCAGCCACGGCTGGAGCAGCTGGGATGCAGGGCACCAAGTCCCTATGCTGCACACAGAACAAGGACCCTGGGCCTGGCCCATGAAACCAGTTTTTCCTTCTAGGCCTCTGGGCCTGTGATGGGAGGGGCTGCCATGAGGACTTCTGAAATGCCCTGGAGACATTTTCCCCATTGTCTGGGGGATTAACATTAGGCTCCTCATTACTTATGCAAATTTATGCAGCCAGCTTGAATTTCTCCTCAGGAAATGGGATTTTCTTTTCTTTTTTTTTCTTTTGAAATGGAGTCTCACTCTGTCACCCAGGCTGGAGTGTAGTGGCACAATCTTGGTTCACTGCAATCTCTGCCTCCTGGGTTCAAACAATTCTCCCGCCTCAGCCTCCTGAGTAGCTGGGATTACAGGCGTGCACCACCAAGCCCGGCTAATTTTCGTATTTTTAGTAGAGACGGGGTTTCTCCATGTTGGTCAGGCTGGTCTCAAACTCCTGACCTCATGATCCTCCTGCCTCAGACTCCCAAAGTGCTGGGATTACAGGCATGAGCCATTGCTCCCGGCTGGGATTTTCTTTTCTATCACATTGTCAGGCTGCAAATTTTCCAAACTTTCATTCTCTGCTTACTTTATAAAACCGAATGCTTTCAATAGCACCCAAGTCACCTCTTGAATGCTTTGCTACTTAGAAATTTCTTCCACCAGATACCCTAAATCATCTCTCAAGTTCAGAGTTCCACAAATCTCTAGGGCAGGGGCAAAATGCTGCCAGTCTCTTTGCTAAAACATAACAAGTCACCTTTGCTCCAGTTCCCAACAAGTTCCCCACCTCCGAGACCTCCTCAGCCTGGACTTTACTGTTCATATAATTATCAGCATTTTTGTCAAAGCCATTCAACAAGTCTCTAGGAAGTTCCAAACTTTCCCACATTTTCCTGTCTTCTTCTGAGCCCTCCAAACTGTTGCACCCTCTGCCTCTTACCCAGTTCCAAAGTCACTTCTACATTTTTGGGTATCTTTTCAGCAACACCCCACTCCTGGTACCAATTTACAGTGTTAGTCCATATTCATGCTGCTGATAAAGACATACCCAAGACTGGGCAGTTTTCAAAAGAAGGAGGTTTAATGGAGTTACAGTTCCACATGGCTGGGGAAGCCTCACAATCATGGCGGAAGGCAAGGAAAAGCAAATTATGTCTTACATGGATGGCAGCAGGCAAAGAGAGGAGAGCATGTACAGGGGAATTCCTCTTTTTAAAACCATCAGATCTCATGTGAGACTTATTCACTATCAGGAGAACAACATGGGAAAGACTTGCCCCCATGATTCAATTACCTCCCACTGGGTCCCTCCCACAACACGTGGGAATTCAAGATGAGATTTGGGTGGGGACACAGCTAAACCATATCACACCTGTAATCCAGCACTTTGGGAGGCTGAGGCAGGAGAATTGCTTGAGCCCAGGAATTCAAGACCAGCCTGAGCAATATAGCAAGACTTCATCTCTACAAAAAATTTAAAAAGCCAGCATGGTGGTGTGGGCCTGTAGTTCCTGCTGTTTAGGGGGCTGTGGTGGGAGCATCTCTTGAGTTCAGGAAGTCGGGGCCCCAGTGAGCTATGATTGCAACATTGCAGTCCAGCCTAGGTGACAGAACAAGAACCTGTCTCTAAAAAAGGGAGAAAAAAAGAAAGCTTGGAGAATGGACTGGAAGAGGGAAGACTAGAGGCTCATACAACCAGGTAGGAGCCTCCTACCACCATTGAGGTGTGAGGTGATGGCGCTGAATTAGAGCCACTGCACTGGGGTGCAGGGGAGCAGATGGAAGTGAAATTGGAGGGAAAGCAGAGATTTGGAGGAGAGCCAGGTTATGGTCAAGGCGGAGTCCTGTTAGGAGAGGTTCAGTGACACGTTTGCAGATGTGTAGGGTCTCTGCAGAACAGTTGTCTTGGGGAAGAGTTCCTGAAGTGTTTTCCTCATATTTTAATTGCACATATTCCATTTCATGGGTGGCCGTTATCCGTTATACCAGGCTGCTGTTGAAAGCGGTTTCCAGCCTTTTCTGTTACCAGTGGCTCCCATGCCGTGTTGCAAGGGTGTACCTGTGTTGATAGGATTCCCCCGGGCTGTGAGATTGCTCAGTCACAGCCTTCTCCCTGCAGGCTCTCCTGCTCATTGGCAGCACCCTCAGCCCCACTCTTCCTTGGCACTCAGCCTCCTCTTCCTTGGCACTCAGCTGTCCTTGCCGTGGCTGGCACTCCCACATCCTTGGTCCTCCTTCTCCACGAGGCTTTGGGGGCACCACCTGGTTCTTTTGCTGTCCCATGGCAGTTCTTCATCCTGTGCTGTGTCCTCCTGTCTCCCTGAGCTCCAGACTGTCTTCTAGCACAGGCTGTTCTCTCTCTTCCTGAATGGTCTCATAAAGTCTTAAGGCTTTAAACACATTAAATATCTAAAAATAAAGTTGGCCGGGCTCAGTGGCTCATGGCTATAATCCCAGCACTTTGGGAGGCTGAGGCGGGCGGATCACAAGGTCAGGAGATCGAGACCGTCCTGGCTAACATGGTGAAACCCCGTCTCTACTGAAAAGACAAAAAATTAGCCGGACGTAGTCGCAGGCGCCTGTAGTCCCAGCTACTCGGGAGGCTGAGGCAGGAGAATGGTGTGAACCTGGGAGATGGAGCTTGCAAGTGAGCTGAGATCGCGCCACTGCACTCCAGCCTGGGTGACAGAGCAAGACTCCGTCTCAAATAAATAAATAAATAAATAAATAAAAATAAAAATAAAGTTTTAGCCACCCACCCTGGCAGATTTATTTTTAGTATTGTAGGCACAGGGTCTTGCTATGTTGCCCAGGCTGATCTTGAACTCCTGAACTCAAGTGGTCCTTCCACATCAGCTCTCAGAGTGCTGAGATTACAGGCATGAACCGCCGTGTCCAGTTAGACGTGTCTTTTTGGAGGACACAGTTACCCTCTACATGTACTAACTATACTTTGATGGTGGCCAAATCTGCGTTTCTAGGCCAGACTCCCTTGCTCAGAGTTTTAATGGGGGTGTCTGAGAAGCATCTCAAACTTAAAATGTCCCAACATGCCCTCCCCTCCCAGGCCACAGAAGCTGCTCCCATTGACTGTGGCCCCACTCTTGTACCCATTGACCGTACCTCCTCTCTTGTACTCATTGACTGTGCCCCCTCCCTTGTATCCACAACTTTGCCCCCTCCCTTTTACCCCATTGACTGTGCCTCCTGTGCCCTTTGACTGCACCCCCTTAGTGGCTCCAGAATGACGCTGTTGAGGGTGAGTCCCAGCTCAGCCTCTGGCCATCGTGGTGGCTGAGGCCACATTGCTCAGGCTTCTAAGGTGTAAGTGGCATCACAGCAGTGCCTCCCACGGATTTTGTGAGGGCAGATTGCACTAAGATGGCTCAATGTGCTCAAGAGGCGACCTGGCTGCTGCCACGGCTGCTGCTGTTCTCACTGGACTCCTTGTTCCTTTTTCTTTCATTTGTTTGTTTTTGGAGATGGAGTCTCGCTCTGTCACCCAGGCTGGAGTGCAGTGGCACGATCTTGGCTCACTGCAACCTCTGCCTCCTGGGTTCAAGCGATTCTGCTGCCTCAGCCTCCTGAGTAGCTGGGACTATAGGCGCATGCCACCATGCCCGGCTAATTTTTGTATTTTTAGTAGAGACAGGGTTTCACTATGTTGGCCAGGCTGGTCCCAAACTCCTGACCTTGTGATCCACCCGCCTGCACCTCCCAAAGTGCTGTGATTACAGGCGTGAGCCACTGCCCGGCTCCTTGTTCCTTTGAACTGTCTCGCTCAGGACAGGACGGTAGTCCTTCTGCATCCTGCAAGACTTGGACAGGATTTCTTTCCATTTAACACTGTCTCCTAAAGTGCTGCTTTCCTTGGGGAACTTTGCTGTTCTTGCTAGTCCAGAACAAGTGGCACAACTGCCCTTGACCTCCACATGACCTTCTCAGGGCAGCCCAGACTCTAAATGTCTGTGACCTGCACCAGCAGCAGCAAGGCCATGCCGGCCGTGGTCCAGCCCGGCTGCTCTCCCCCACTCTGCAGTGTTTTTCCACACCCATGCTGCAGGTGCTGGTTGCGTTCCTGCTCCATCCTTCAGTGCGGAAGTGGCATTTTGCGGTTTTCTGTTGTCATGAAGCAAGTGCGCCACACTTGCCTGTCTTATGTGCGTGTGTATATGAGCATGCCCATCTCAGTCTCCCTGAGCGCCTCTTTTCCACCCGTCTCAGGCCTCTGTGTTAGCTGTTCCCTCTCTCTGAAACACCAAACTCCCTGATCTCAGCCTGTCTCTCCAGTCTCGACGTAACAGCATCTTCCCAGCGAGGCCTGCTCTGACCACACGGCCCGGGAAAGCAGCCCAGGCCCCCTCTCACTTCACCCTGTGCCCATTCTTGACCCTGTGTATTGTGTCTCTCCCTTGCCTGGTTTGTGTCAGGAAGGCAGAGGCCCTGCCTGTCCTGCTCACTGCCGCACCCCAGGCCCAGCATGCTGCCTGGCATGGGCAGGCATTGACTTGATATTAGCTGGGCAATGAATGACAGTGACTGAAAATGTAATAGCAAGTCAGGGCCTAGCACAGGAAAATAAGTGATTGCTATGTAAGTGAAGGGTTGCTAAGTAGGATTTGGGTCATAACATACTGTTAAGGATAATTTTTTTGTTCTCTACATGTAAAAATATGTATTTTTAAAAATTGGATGTCATGGGCTGGGTGTGGTGGCTCATGCCTGTAATCCCAGCACTTTGGGAGGCCGAGGCGGGTGGATCTCCTGAGGTCGGGAGTTCGAGACCAGCCTGACCAACATGGAGAAACCCCGTCTCTACTAAAAACACAAAATTATCCAGGCATGGTGGCACATGACTGTAATCCCAGCTACTAGGGAGGCTGAGGCAGGAGAAACACTTGAACCTGGGAGGCGGAGGTTGAGGTGAGCCGAGATCGCGCCATTGCACTCCAGCCTGGGCAACAAGAGTGAAACTCGGTCTCAAAAAAAAAAAATTTGATGTTATGGAATGAGGGAGACAAAAAATGCTCTACAACTATTAACTGATGCTTTTCTGGTTTTGTTCTCCAGACACCATTCGCTTTTCACCCAAGATGATTTGATGTCTTATAAAACTCTGATGAACCATGATGGCTACACAGACATTAAGTATAGACAGCTATCAAGATGGGCAACAGGTGAGCTTGAACTTGATTCTGCATTCTAATTACAAATCAACCTGGCACTCAAGCATGAACATTGCTTTGTATACTTGCAATTCAATTGCCATGAGGTTGCATGCTCAGTGTTAGTGTATTATGCATTTATTGTACATTCGTGTTCAGAAAAAAAGCCATAGAATAATACTATTTCGTTAACTGATACCAAGATTGCCAGGAATCTTGACTTCCCTAAGTCATATGACAGTTTCTTGGGAATTTACCTTTTTAATGTCAGTGTTAATTAGCACTGTTACTTTGAAAGAAAACCCGGTTGATTTTCATGATGACAGATTCCCATGTTGACTGGTGGCTCTTCTGAGTGTCTAACTGGATCAGCTTTTGAATGGGAATCTTGTAGCCTCGTCTCCCCAGTTGTAGGCATGAGAGGGGCTGTCCCAGTAATGAATTTGCAGGGGCCCCAGTGCTCTATCTTTGTACCTTGCTCGTGCTTGGATGGTTGTGCCATACACGGGCAGCTCTCCATTGCCCTCCCACCATAGATGAGACTTTGTTCTCCTGGAAGCTGTGGTGTTTTGTGCTTTTGAGTATCTGAGTGTTTTGTGTTCTGTGACCTGAATGAATTGAGGAGCAGGTGGATCGAGACTTGGCTGAGGCCCTTGTGGTCTTTCTTGGCTTGCGATCTTGTTAAACACGGTGTTCTGAACCCACTGGCATTTGGCTCATCATCCCACTGACTCTGGAGCCAGTGAAGGGATTTGGCCCTGCCCTTTACTTTCCTGCCCAGCAGGCAGGGGCAGTGCAGTACACCCCCCTCGGCTCTCCTCCCCACCTCGAGGACTTCGGTGGCAAGGATCAGGCTCCGGAAAACTCACTGGAGCCATGCTGGTGAGGTCTGAGGAGGGGTTAGGAGCTGAGGCGCTGGGTCCCCCTTTCCCTGGTGGTTAGTTTTACCAACCAGTCCTTGTTCAGTTCCTGTGGCAGAGATTTTTGTTGTTGGTGGTGGTGGTGTTAGTGTTTTTTTTTCTCTGTATAGCAATTAAAGGAGGGAGATTCTGTGATGTAGTCAGCCTGCTTCCTTAGCCTAGAAGTCCTTAGTCCTTTGGTATTTCCAATTGACTTTTTTTTTTTTTTCTAAAATGCAAATCTAATAATGTCCCGCCTGAGCTCTCCAGTGGCTCCCTGTGGATTCCTGTGGGTTTCATGCAAAGACTGAGCTGCTCTGTGGCCCGAATCGTCTGGCCCCTCTGGACCCCAGGACGCCCCCAACATCTCTGCCTGGCATATCTTGGGCACCTCTCTGCCTGCCCTGGAGCACCGGTCCTCACTGTTCCCATCACTCTTCTCCCTCCTGCCTGCCAGGTCTTTGCTCCGACCCCACTGCTGCCTCCTGTGCACCAAGGCACGGTGACCACCTCCAACACAGCCTGGTTGCTACCAGCCACCTCCTCCCAGGCAGCTGTGCCAGGTGCAGATGACACCTGGAGCACTGCCCTTTTCATACCCGAGTGTTTCCAAGGGCCTCGGAAGTGTTTAATCAGCATTATTTTAAATAAACATTGAAATATATCTACAGCGTAGACCTATCATAATTATTTTGCCATTTTTCCAAGGTTGAACATTTAGGTTTCTCTCTTTTCACAATCATTTTTTTTTCAAATACTGAAATGAATCTTTTAAGGCTTCTTATTTTTTATTATTTATTTATTTACTTATTTATTTATTTTGAGACAGAGTCTTGCTCTGTTGCCCCGGCTGGAGTGCAGTGGTGTGATCTCAGCTCACTGCAACCTCCGTCTCCCAGGTTCAAGCAATTCTCCTGTCTCAGCCTCCTGAGTACCTGGGATTACAGGTGTGTGCCACCACGCCCAGCTAATTTTTTTGTATTTTTAGTAGAGACAGGGTTTCACCATGTTGGCCAGGCTGATCTTGAACCCCTGACCTCAGGTGATCCGCCCACCTTGGCCTCCCAAAGTGCTGGGATCACAGGCATAAGCCACTGTGCCTGGCCTTTTTAAGGCTTTTTATACATGCTGGCAGATTGCCTTACACAAATACTGTGTCCACTTAGGCTTTATTGCTTTTATTTTTTTTTTTTAAGAGAAACATAAACAGTTTTCCTAATATGTTGTACCATTTAAAGGCAGCAGAATAGAAGTCATCTTATTGCAAAAACAAGACATTGGAGGGAAGAGAGCACAGGGCTGGAGGATGTGAGAGGCGTCCTGTGCGGGTGGGCGTTCATGGCTGGCCCCCAGTCTGTCTGGACAGTGGGGATGGCCCCGCTCCCATGAGGTCTCCCCGCCCCCGCTGCCCCAAGCTGCTTCCTCAAGGGGCAGAAGCATGGCCAAATCCACCGCGGGAGAAATGGCCCGTCCTGGTCCTGAGGAAGCTGAGGTCAGGACAGTCTAATCTGCTGCTCATGGATAACTAGAAGTTTACTTTCACGAAATTTTGTTTTTGTAAACTGATTTTTTTTAACGATTTAAATGTTTTTTACCTAAATGACAAAGGCATTGCTTGTTTAAAGCAGTTTAAATGATAGTATCTTTTAAGGCTTTAAGTAAACACAGCTGGCCTTTTCCTTTCTGAATGCAGTGACATTTTTATGGCTATGTATTGCTGAGGTTTGAGGGTAGATATGGGAGAAGTTCAACCTTGTCCCAAATATGTAGCGTATGGGTTAGGTTGTGTCTGTGACATGGTAAGAAGACCTTGGACTATTTGTCTATGCTTCTCTGACTGTAGTATTGCTACACGTGAGGAGATATAGCAATAGACGGAGGAGTAGATTGCACGTGTGCCGTTCTCTTCATTAGGCCATCGCCAGTGTTATTTTAAAATCATGAGCATTTCACAGACATTGGTTATCTCAGTTCTTAAGCAGTTTGGAAATTTTACCTTTATTTTAAAGCACATTAAATTCAAAGCTGTTTTGTTGGTAGCATTCTTTACATATGATTGCAGTCATACTGCTGTCTGGCAATTCCCCACTCCAACTGCATTCCTGTTGGAGCATGGAATACCTCGTAGTAGTTTGTGTTTGCTAATAAGAATTATCTTCCTCCTTTTACAGATGCAAGTAGTAACAGAGTTAAAGACAGAACAAGATCCAAACTGCTCTGAACCCGATGCAGAAGGAGTGAGCCCTCCCCCTGTGGAGTCTCAGACCCCGATGGATGTGGACAAGCAGGCCATTTATAGGTAGTGCCCGGGGTGCCGGCTGTGGGGGCCTCAGAGGAGTGAGGAGTGTCCACAAGTTTGTTAAAAGGAACACCAGAACTAGTAGCGAGGCAGAGTTGTGAGGTGCCATTATGATGTGATAACTGCTCGGCTGAAAATTTTCTCAGATTAAGATGTTATTTCTGGCCAGGTGTGGTGGCTCATGCCTGTAATCCTAGCACTTTGGGAGGCTGAGGCGGGCGGATCACTTGAGGTTAAGAGTTTGAGACCAGCCTGGCCAACATGGTGAAACTCCATCTCTACTAAAAATACAAAAATTAGCCAGACATGGTGGCACATGTCTGTAATCCCAGCTACTTGGGAGGCTGAGGCAGGAGAATCACTTGAACCGGGGAGGCGGAGGTTGCATTGAGCTGATATCGCACCACTGCACTCCAGCCTGGGCAACGAGAGCAAAACTCTGTCACACACACACACACACACACACACACACACACACAAAGATGTTATTTCTAATACCTATAAAAGTTTTAGAATATCAATCTATAAATTTTGTGTAACCTTGCAAAAAGAAATATTCAGGCACAGATGATTTTACTGAGAATTCTACCCAACATATAAAGAAGAAGAGAGCAGCAAGTCTGCATAGTCTCTTTCAGGAAGTAGAGGAGGAGTGAATGCTTCCCAACTCACTTTATAATTGACATCACTCTGACACTAAGACCAAAGACAATACCAAATAAGGAAAATACAGGCCAATATCCTTCATGAACTTAGATGTAAAAATCATCAATAAAATATTAACAAATCAATTCTAGCAATATGTAAAAAGAATAATACGTAGCGACCAAGTCAAGTTTTTCCTGGGAATGTCAGACTTGTTTAGTATTTAAAAGTCTGCCAGGCGCAGTGGCTCACACCTGTAATCCCAGAACTTTGGAAGGCCGAGGCAGGTGGATTACCTGAGGTCAGGAGTTCAAGACCAGACTGGCCAACATGGCGAAACCCTGTCTCTACCAAAAAATACAAATATTAGCCGGGTGTGGTGGTGCATGCCTGTAGTCCCAGCTACTCTGGAGGCTGAGGTGGGAGAATCACTTGAACCCGGTAGGCGGAGGTTGCAGTGAGCTGAGATCATGCCACTGTACTCCAGTCTGAGTGACAGAGAGTGAGGCCCTATCTCAAAAAAAAAAAATTTTTTTTTAAGTTCAGCATAGAATTATATATAACTCAGCAATTCTACTCCTATGCATATGTATACCTAACACAAATGAAAAAAGTCCACACAAAAACGTGTACATGAATTTTCATAGCAGCACAGCCTATCATGGCCAAAAGCTGGAAACAGTGCCCATGCCCATCAACTGATGAATGAACAGACACATTATGGCATCTCCATGCAATGCAAGAATATTTAGCAGTAAAAGGAATGAAGTGGCGGGCGCGGTGGCTCATGCCTGTAATCCCAGGACTTTGAGGGGCCAAGTCGGGCAGATCACTTTAGGTCAGGAGATCGAGACAAGCCTGGCCAAAATGGCGAAATGTTGTCTCTACTAAAACAAAAACTAGGCCAGGCATGGTGGCTCACGCCTGTAATCCCAGCACTTTGGGAGGCTGAGGCGGTTGGATCATCTGAGGTCAGGAGTTTGAGACCATCCTGACCAACGTGGAGAAACCCTGTCTCTAAAGATACAAAATTAGCCGAGTCATGGTGGTGCATGCCTGTAGTCCTAGCTACTTGGGAGGCTGAGGCAGGAGAATCGCTTGAACCCGAGAGGCGGAGGTTGTGGTGAACCGAGATCACGCCATTGCACTCCAGCCTGGGCAACAAGAGCGAAACTCCATCTCAAAAAATAAAAAAAATTAGCTGGGCATCATGGCGGGTGCCTGTAGTCCCGGCTACTTGGGGAGGCTGAGTAGGAGAATCGCTTAAACCTGGGAGGGCAGAGGTTGCAGTGACCCGAGATCGTGCCGCTGCACTCCAGCCTGGGCGACAGAGTGAGACTCCATCTCAAAAAAAAAAAAAAAAAAAAGGAATAAAGTACTGATACCCGTAAAACACTGGTAAGCCTTGGACACTTTATGCTGAGGGAAACAAGCCAGACACCACGGTCACAGGTTAGACGGTTCCCATTTAGACAGAATGTCTAGGAGAGGCAAATATATAGAGATAGCAAGTAGGTTCTAACAGGCTGGGGTCTGGGAAAAAATGGAGAATGACTGCTATTGGATACAGGGTTTCTTTGCGGGGATCATGGAAATGTTCCAAAGTTGACGGCGGCAATGCTGTGCAACTGTAAAAACCGTTGAATTGCATACTTTCAACGGGTGGACCGTGTGGCGTGTGCATTTTCACCCAACAGAGGTGTTAGTGAAGTAGTGCAGGCATACACGCAAAGACATTCTCACGGAGATGTAGAACGTAAATGGATTCTTTTTTTTCTTTTCTCCTCAGGCATCCACTATTTCCATTATTAGCTTTGTTGTTTGAAAAATGTGAACAATCTACACAGGGCTCTGAAGGCACAACTTCTGCCAGTTTTGATGTAGACATCGAAAATTTTGTAAGAAAGCAAGAGAAGGAAGGGAAACCTTTCTTTTGTGAAGATCCAGAAACTGATAATTTAGTAAGTAAAATAAATTTTATTTTTAGTTTTCAAAATGTGAAATCTGTTCATGAAATTTTAGGCTTCTAAGTAGAACTTTAGACTGCTTGTAGTTCTGCTAAAGGAGAGACTCATACAACTCTAAAAGAATTTTTATGGTGTGTGTAATGTGGATATCCCCAAGTCTTCCAGCCTTCTCTAGGTATCTTTTATTTATTTAGTTTTTATTTTTAGATTTATTTTATTTTTGTAGACACATCTTACTGTATTCCCCCAGATGGTCTCAAACTCCTGGCCTCAAGCAATCTTCCCTCCTCAGTCTCTCAAGGCCCAACCTACCCTTTCCTTTAAAAATAAAATAAAATAGGCCAGGCGTGGTGGCTCACACCTGTAATCCCAGCACTTTGGGAGGCCGAGGTGGGCAGATCACAAGGTCAGGAGTTCGAGACCAGCCTGGCCAACATCTGGTCTCGATGTTGGCCAAAATCCCATCTCTACTGAAAATACAAAATTAGCCAGGCATGGTGGCACATGCCTGTAGTCCCAGCTACTCAGGAGGCTGAGGCAGGAGAATCACTTGAACGCAGGAGGCGGAAGTTGCAGTGAGCCGAGATTGTGCCACTGCACTCCAGCCTGGGTGTCAGAGTGAGACTCTGTCTCAAAAAATAAAAATAAAATAAAATAAAATAAAATAATTTGAGCCTCCATGCCAAATGGACACGGGGATTCAGTTCTCTGCACAGTGTTTGTAAAGGTCCGTAGGGCTGGGGTGTTCGGGTGGCATGTCTGTGACCTGTGTCTGTCCTTGGCTTATCATGGACATGGACACAGACTTGAGCTGTATTCTCCAAGACAGCTCTGTCTTTTTTTTTTTTTTTTTTTGAGACGGAGTCTCGCTCTGTTGCCCAGGCTGGAGTGCAGTGGTGTGATCTCAGCTCACTGCAAGCTCCGCCTCCCAGGTTCAAGCCATTCTCCTGCCTCAGCCTCCCGAGTAGCTGGGACTACAGGCACCCGCCACCACGCCCGGCTAATTTTTTTTGTATTTTTAGTAGAGACGGGATTTCACCGTGTTAGCCAGGATAGTCTCGATCTCCTGATCTTGTGATCTGCCTGCCTCAGCCTCCCAAAGTGCAGGGATTACAGGTGTGAGCCACCACGCCCGGCGACAGCTCTGTCTTGAGGCTGACAGTGATTTGTGATGCCCTCCCCCCAGGGCCAGGGCTCCAAAATCCAGCGTTTTCTGTGCCCTCCAGAGGCAATGGAGAACATCTTGGTTCCGTCATCACTGGATTGCTCTGAATGAGCTGCACCTGAGGCACCTGTACAGCACTGTCAGCTTTGGGCAGACCACACTCTCTGGGTGTGCTCTCCTGCCAGAGTGTAACCACGTGTTTACTTCTCAGAGCTGGGTACACAAAGATCCGGCATCAGGGAACCTTCACTGGATTCCCTTCGAGCCATCTTGGTCCCATATCAAAACCCTGGTTAGGGCCTTCAACAGAAAAGGTTTTTGGAAAACTCATTTTTCCTGAATAAATTGCTGAGGTCTTAGTTTTTAAGAAAATTCTCATTATATACTCGATGCTTACCATGAAACAGATTTTGTGGGTGAGTTATCTGACTTGAATCTGTCTCCTCCTCTCTGAGATGAGACTAACAGTGCATGCTCTTTGGGTGAGGATCCGATGCTCTCTCCACCCCTGAGTCTGTGGTCCACATCCATCTTCCCATTGGCCCACACCTGGCTTGGCCCAGTGAGTAGAGCACAGGTGTCCTCTGCACCCCACTAGGCTGGCAGGGACCAAGGTTCTCTTGACTGGTGAGTGTTTAGCACAGGGCCTAGCAGAGTTTGACACTCCATCATTTTTGTTACTGAGTGATTCATTTATTCACTGCATAGATACCTACGAATTCCTACCACCAGATTTACAGGTGAAGGAGATGGGCTTCGGAGCTGCTGATTCATAGGCAGCTGGTGCTTATGAAAATGGCTGCATTATTGGTATTAGTTATCTATTGCTGTGGGACAAATTACCCCAAAATGTAGTTACTTAATATAAAACTATACAACTTTGGCCAGGCGTGGTGGCTCACGCCTGTAATCCCAGCACTTTGGGAGGCTGAGGCAGGTGGATCACCTGAGGTCAGGAGTTCGTGAACAGCCTGACCAACATGGTGAAACCCCATCTCTACTAAAAATACAAAAATTAGCTGGGCATGGTGGTGCACACCTGTAATCCCAGCTACTCAGGAGGCTGAGGCAGGAGAATCACTTGAACCCAGAAGGCAGAGGTTGTAGTGAGCTGAGATCGCACCACTGCACTTCAGCCTCCAGCTTGGGCAATAAGAGTGAAACTCTGTCTCAAAAAACAAAACAAAACAAAATGATATAACTTTTAGAAAAATCGCAAGAGAAAATCTTGAGGATCTAGAACTAGGCAAAGACACCAAAATGGAACTTTATGAAAATGTAGCACTAGCCTAGGGTGAGTGTGGATGTATCACTATTTGTGGATGTAGAAACAGGAGTAGATGAGGGTGAGTCACTTGTCCTGCCTGCCACAGAGCGAATCAGTGGAAGGGCTAGGCTTTGGCTCACAGCCCACACACCTAGCACTGGGATGCACCGAGGTCACCACCACGCGCCTTTGTCTTCCCTGCACACCAGATGCAGCCAAACACCAAAGCCCAGGTCAGTGGCACCGGAACAACACATCAGTTTAGAGGATTTCTGATGTTATTCCACTTTGGTTATTGGCAGTAGAGATGGTTCTATCTAATGACTAAGAACTGGTATGTAGGATCATGATAACTTACAATAATGCCACCTTTTTCTCTGAAAGTCTTCATTTTCTCTGCTCTAGATGGTAAAAGCAATCCAGGTTTTGCGCATTCATCTTCTTGAGCTGGAAAAGGTTAACGAACTCTGCAAAGATTTCTGCAGTCGATACATTGCTTGTCTGAAAACAAAAATGAACAGTGAAACTCTGTTGAGTGGAGAGCCTGGAAGCCCGTACTCACCAGTGCAGTCCCAGGTACTTACATTTGGGGGTCTCGCTTTCCCTCTCTGCCACTGTGAACATCTGCATTGAGTCATGAGACCACCAGCTCTTTCAGAATTCACTGGGTCATCTTTATGACTTTCTACAAGAAGGACCCTCTAGGTCTCTGACCCCAGCCTGGTTTGGGAATGAACTCCCTCAGATTATGAAGTGAGTCCTCAATCTGCATACTGGGCCCCCGGTCCCATGTTTATGGAAGGCACAATTCCATTCATTTCTTTCTTTTATTTCTTCTGAAAATATTTTACTTATTCTTTTGAAAAATTGTGTAAAATACACATAATATAAAATTTACCATCTTAGCTATTTTAAAATTTACAGTTCAATGGTGTTAAGTTTATTCACATTGTTGGGCAACCATCAACACCATCCATCTCCAGAACTTTCTCATCTTCTCAAACTCAAACTCTGACCCCATTAAACACTCATTCCGGATTCCCCCTCCCCTAGCCCCTGGAACCCACCGTTCTACTGTCTGTCTCTGTGAATTCGATGACTCCAGGTCTCTCATGTTAAGCGGAATCGTACAGTGTTTGTCCTTCTGGATCCTTTGCTTGTTTCATTGTGCAGAATGCCTGGAGGGTTCATCCATGCGGAAGCACTATTGTGTTTTAGCCATTCTGATGATATGTAGTGATATTAATATTTCTTTGTGGTTTTAATTTTCATTTCCCTGATGGCTAATAATGTTGAACATTATTATACCCTCTGTGTATTTTCTTTGATAAAATGTCTGCTGCTTATGTCTTTTGCCTTTTTTTTTTTTTTTTTTTTGAGACAGAGTCTCGCTCCATCACCCAGGCTGGAGTGCAGTGGCGCGATCTCGGCTTACTGCAAACTCCGCCTCCTGGGTTCATGCCATTCTCCTGCCTCACCCTCCTGAGTAGCTGGGACTACAGGTGCCTGCCACCACACCCGGCTAATTTTTTGTATTTTTAGTAGAGACGGGGTTTCACCGTATTAGCCAGGATGGTCTCGATCTCCTGACCTCGTGATCCGCCCGCCTTGGCCTCCCAAAGTGCTGGGATTACAAGCATGAGCTACCACGCCTGGCCGTCTTTTGCGCATTTTTTAGTTGGATTTTTTTTTAACTTCTGAGTGTTGAGAGTTCTTTGCTTATTGTAGATACTAGTTCTCTGTTGGATATGTGGTTTGCAAGTGTTTTCTCCAAGTCTATAGTAGCTAAGTATTTTTCTCATCCTCTTAACAGGTCTTTTTCAGAGCCAGCCTTTTTAATTTTAATAAAGTTCAATTTATTAGGTTTTCCTTTTATGGATCATTCTTTTGGTGTCAAGTCTAAGAACTCTTTGCCTAACCCTAGGTCCCAAAGACTTCGTCTTAAGTTTTTTCCTAAAAGTTTTTAAATAGAGACAAGGTCTCACTATGTTGCCCAGGCTTGTCCCAAACTCCTGGGCTCAAGTGTGAACCACCATGCCTGGCCTCAAAAGTTTTATAGTTGTCCATTTTGCATTTAAATCCGTGATCCATTTTGAGTGGATTTCTCTATAGAATAACTCTCAAAGCTGGGCACATTGTTTCCTCCCACCCTGTGATTCCTTTTCAAAATTGTTTAGCTGTTCTGGTTCCTTTGCCTGTCCACATAAATTTTAGAATGCTCTTGTCTAGAGCTACAAAAACATCTTGCTTAGATTTTGATAGGAATTGTATTATACCTGTATATCAATCTGGGGAGAATTGACATCTTTACTGCATTAAGTCTTCCAGTCCACAGGTATGGCATGTCTCTCCATTGATTGACAACTCTGATTTCATTCATCAGTGCTTTGTAGTTTTTGACACATAAGTTGTGTACATGCGTTTTTAGAATTATACCCAAGCATTTCCTTTCCTGGCCTGTGCCATCTCGAATAAGAGTGGCAAGAGCAGACATCCTTGCCTTGTCACCGCCTTAGGGGACACCTTTCAGTCGCTCACTGTCGATGATGTTGGTTGCAGGTTTCTTTCTAGATGCTCTTTATCAAGTTAAGGAGGTTATCCTATATTGCTTTTTTTCTGAGAGATTTTATTTTGTTCAATTTTGTTAAATGCTTTTCCAGCATTGATTGATATGATTATGTGATTTTTCTTCTTTAGCCTGTTAATAATGGACATTACATGGATTGGTTTTTTGAATATTGAACAAGCCTTCTATTCCTGGAATAAACTCCACTTGGCCATGGCACATAATTCTTTTCATATGTATTCTTGAATTCTATTGGCTAATATTTTGTTCAGCATTTTTGTCTATATTTGTAAGGGATATTGGTGTATAGTTTTGTTTTTCATACTGTCTTTGGTTTTGGTATCAAAATACACAAACTTACATAAAATGGATTGGGAAGTATTCCCTCCTCTTATTTTTTTCTGGAGATTATGTAGACTTGGTGTTATTTCTTAAATGTTTGAGAAATAGAATTGATCTATTTCACCTAAGATGTTAAATTTAGGAGTTTAGAGTTGGTCTAGTATTCTCTTCATAGCCTTTTGGTGTTAGCAGGGTCTATAGTGATCTCTTCCTGTTTTATTTCTGATATTGATCTTTTGTGTCTCTATTTTTTTTTTAGTCAGTCTTTCTAGAGGTTTATGTAATTTTCAAAGAACAGTATTTTGTTTTATTGATTTTTTTGGTTGTTTTTCTGTTTTCAGTTTCATTGATTTCACCTTGATCTTTATTATTTCCTTTCTTCTGCTTTCGGTTCATGATGTTCCTCTTTTTCTAAGATCTTAAGGTGGAAGCTGGGATGATTGATTTGACTAGCTTAACTTTTATTACAGCCTAATTAATGTGGCAGGCTTTAAGCGTAGCCACTAAGCTTACACATTCCGCTCGATGATGGCCCACAGAATCACCGCCTTGGGGTGGCGTCCCCTTATGCTATGTAACTGCTCACATGTCAGGGCACATGAGTGTGCCAGGCCCGGCACTGGAGGCTCCTCTCCCCTGCCAGCTGCCCACCCAGGCGTCACAGTCAGTGGATAAAGTGGCCCATGTGGATCTAACCCCAGATGCATAGAGTCCTCCATGGGGCATGTAGAAACATTTGCATGGGGCTCGCTGTAGGCCGGGCACAGTTCCAAGCACTGTACAAGCAAGAACACTGGGGAAAGCCAAGATCACACTTAGTCCGTGCCGGGGTCAAGAGTCAAGGTGGGTGCCAGGGGCTGACTCCCCAGCACAGCTTGGAATACCTCAGCCCTGGTCACTTCTAGTGCCTCCCAGGCCTGTGCTATAATCTCTTGAATGCTCTTATCGGTCAGGGAGAGCTTGGTTCATGGAAAACTCAAGAGTCCACCAAGCCAAGTCTAATGAAAAAGATGTGTGATCAGAAAGCAGGGTCTTCCTCGATATACTCCTGGGCTGTAAGGCACGTGGAATATGGCAGTGAGATGAAGATAATCTTTTGGAAGCCACAGTGCAGGCTGACGTTGCAGGCTGGCTTGTTGTGTTTAATACACAGTTGAACATCTCTTGCTTTCCGTGTGTGCTGCGTGCATTCTGAAGCCGCGTCATCTGAGGATGTTCTTTCCCTCAAGCTTCTCTTTCCTTTTTTAATGGTGTCATTATGCTACTTATGTTAAAGTTTTAAACATGGGTTTTCCGTTTTCTAGTAATTCCTTCAACATGTGTGTTCTGACTTGCAGCAGATTCAAAGTGCCATCACAGGCACCATCAGCCCTCAGGGAATTGTGGTGCCGGCGTCCGCGCTGCAGCAGGGAAACGTAGCCATGGCGACGGTGGCAGGTACGATGACAGAAAAATGGACACACTCTCCATGAGTTTTTGCAGAAAATGGTCCTGTGTGTTAGAATGACAGTATAAATATAATTTCAAGTTCATGCCATTTTCTAATATAGCAATGTTAGAAGCTAGAGGTCTCTGAATGCCTCTTTCTTGTTAATACTCAATAACAAATATTTTATGCAGATTGTGTTTCTTTGTTTCTCTACCAAAAATATATTGGAAAGAAAAAAGGTTTTATGTAGGAATTGAAAATATACACCAAAAACCAGTTGTCATTTTCAAATAACATAGCTTTTTGTTGTGCTTTTAATAGCACCGTGAAAATCTTAAGTTTTATCATTAATTGATGACAAATAAAAATGCAGTCTTAGCATTGGTATTACTTGTAGAACAAAACCGTTACAGGAAAGGGACAGATTCCAGAGTTCCCTGATGCGTAGAGAACATTGAAAACACAAAGCATCATGGAAATGGGACACGGCAAAGAGGGAGGGGTAGAAATTTACACCAAAGACCTCACATAATAGCACAAAGGGAAACCTCAGTGGGAAAAAAAAAAGCACCATTGATCCAAAAATATAACTAGAATTAAAATAGTTATTATTTAGTACCCTTGGCCAAATCCTTAACATGTGCTAATTTTAGGAAATAGTAGAAAGCAGAGGCTAGCAAAAGGAAGGGAGCCCTCACACCCCAGGTCAGTTGGTGGTGTGTGAGCCGGGCTGTGTGGGCTGCCAGGCACATAGCGCCCACCCACCTGCCCACCCACTGCTGCAGGTGCCCGAGTAGCCCACCCAGGGAGTTTGTTTTGATACTTTATAGTGACAAGTCAACTGGCAAAGGATTGTTGATCTTTTGAAATGATTAAAAAGCTCATCAAACCAGGGATTTTATTCCTTTTGTAAGTATATCAAGAAGAGGGCTGGTCGCAGTGCCTCACATCTGTAATTCCAGCACTTTGGGAGGCCAAGGCAGGAGGATCAGTTGAAGCCAGGAGTTAGAGACCAGCCTGGGCAACAAAGCAATGTCCCTGTCTCTACAAAAAAAAAAAAAAAAAAAAAAAGAAGAATGGTTTAAATCATTGAGACTTAAAAGCAGCCTCATATTTTTATTCTCCCTTTCGAGGTGGCACAGTGTATCAGCCTGTCACGGTCGTCACTCCCCAAGGCCAAGTGGTCACACAGACATTGTCGCCTGGGACAATTAGGATCCAGAACTCCCAGGTGCGTGCGCCATTTTATGGAAGGCTTTGGGGGCGAGTGCTGCCCACATAGGGGCACAGGTAGAACAAGCATGAGCCCTTCCCTCTGCCTGAAGAGCTTTGTCTTGTGTAGCAATTTCTGGTTTCTCTGAATGTCAGTGTTTTGTTTCTTTGTACTCTTATCTCTCGCATTGTAGAGAATTTGCAAAGTTCAGAAAATTCTGAAAGAACAGGAAAAAAGTCACTCATAACCACCCCCTGCCACCCACACACACACACACACACACACACACACACACACACACACACACACACAGAGTTATCCAGTGCTAACGTTGGATCATGTGCACGTGCACCAGGGGCAGAGGTCTTGTAGGCACACACTCCCCAGGGTCCCCACAAAGGGCACGGCAGAACTGCCAGGCAAGCTTTTCAGACCAGTGAGCCTGGCCCACACCTCCATCATGACAATGTCATTGGGCCAGGGCTTTCAGGCCTCTCTGTCACCCAGGCTGGAGTGCAGTGGCGCTATCTCTGCGGCTGCTGAGCCTTGCCCGTCTTTGGTGTGTGTTATCAGTTCTTACTTTAAGAACATTGATTCTGGGCCGGGCACGGTGACGTCTGTAATCCCAGTACTTTGGGAGGCCAAGGTGGACAGATCACGAGGTCAGGAGTTCAAGACTAGCCTGGCCAGTATGGTGAAACCCTGTCCTTAAAAATACAAAAATTAGCTGGGTGCAGTGGTGCACGCCTGTAATCCCAGCTACTCGGGAGGCTGAGGCAGGAGAATCGCTTGAACCCGGGAAGCAGAGGTTGCAGTGAGCTGAGATCGTGCCACTGCACTCCAGCCTGAGCGACAGAGTGAGACTCCATCTCAAAAAAAAAAAAAAAACATTGATTCTGGCCGGGTGCAGTGGCTCACACCTGTGATCCCAGCACTTTGGGAGGCCGAGATGGGTGGATCTCTTGAGGTTAGGAGTTTGAGGCGAGCCTGTCCAACATAGTGGAACCCCGTCTCTACTAAAGATGCAAAAATTAGCTGGATGTCGGGTGCATGTCTATAATCCCAGCTGCTCGGGAGGCTGAGGCAGGAGAATTGCTTGACCTGGGAGGTGGAGGTTGCAGTGAGCCGAGATCGTGCCACAGCACTCCAGCCTGGGCAACAAGAGCAAAACTCCATCTCAAATAAAATAAAATAAACAAAAAAAAAACACACATTTTTTTGAGACTTTGCAAACCTAAAAATGAGTTTATTTTAATCTCATATTTGATATGCAGTCTGTTTACTTGTAGAATTCTGGGTTGAAAATCCTTTCTACCCAACATTGAGAAAGCATTACTTTTGTTTTTCTGAGACGAAGTCTCACTCTGTTGCCCAGGCTGGAGTGTAGTGGTGTGATCTCGGCTCACTGCAACCTCCACCTCCCAAGTTCAAGTGATTCTCCTGCCTCAGCCTCCCGAGTAGCTGGGATTACAAGTGTGTGCCACTATGCCTGGCTAATTTTTGTATTTTTAGTAGAAATGGGTTTCACCACGTTGGCCAGTCTGGTCTC
Organism: Homo sapiens; assembly: GCF_000001405.40. Classification (NCBI taxonomy): domain Eukaryota; kingdom Metazoa; phylum Chordata; class Mammalia; order Primates; family Hominidae; genus Homo; species Homo sapiens. The sequence goes on from NC_000021.9 coordinate 43,019,762, forward strand.
GAAATCCTGGGCTCAAGCAGTCCGCCTGCCTCGGCCTCCCAAAGTGCTGGGATTACAGGCGTGAGCTACTGCACCCAGCTCTCAAGAAGGTTGGTGTTCTTTTTTCCAATCTTTTGTGTTTTTCTCATCTTTTAGAAGCTTCTCTTTTTTTGCAGGTGCTCTGATTTTTTTTTTTTTTTTTTTTTTTTTAAGAGACGGTCTCGCTCTGTTACCCAGGCTGGAGTATAGTGGCACAAACACAGCTCACTGAAGCATTGACCTCCCAGGCTCAAGCAATCCTCCCACCTTCACCTCCTGAGTAGTGGGACTACAGGCATGTGCCACCTTGCCCAGTTAATTTTTAAATGTTTTTGTAAAGACGGGGTCTCACTATGTTGCCCATGCTGGTCTTGAACTCCTGGGCTCAAATAGTCCTCCTGCCTTGGCCTCCCAAAGTACTGGGATTACAGGTGTGAGCCACTGTGCCTGGACTAAAGTTAGGTTTATATGTGAACTCTTAAACAGGCTGACCTATCCATGCTGCGGACCCTACGGAGCGATTTTGCTTCCTTCCTTCCTTCCCTGGTCTGCGCAGTGCGCAGTGGCAGCATCATCTCAGCAGGCACCTGGGGAGGGAGACGCTGTGTGAGGGAGGCCGTGCCAGGGCCTGGAGCACGGCCTTGTAACGAGCAGATCTTCTCTCGTGTTTTGTGAGAAGGAATTTAACAAAGAAATGCCATTCACATCTTTTTCTTTTAAAATGAAGTTGGCAGAGTAGCCTACGCTTTCCTGGGTGACAGGAGGGAAGGTCCGTATCTCTAGTGCCTGTGGAGGCGTCTGGAACAAGGAGTCAGCCTGTGCCCTCCTGTTCTGCGGACCCTCTTTCTGCCTTTGTGCTGTTTCTGTTTCTTTCCCCTCTGCTCCCCTGGCGTGTCCTGCTCTTGAGAGTTGGATTTTCTGGTGTCCCTGTTCATTCTCATTGGTCCTTGACATCCCTTTTCGGCTAGGAAGTCACATGTTCTCACTGACCTCGCTGCAGGAGGCACAGGTGGGAACAGGTGGTGGGTGAGAGGACCACGGCATTCCTGCCTGCAGAGGATGGGCTCTGAGCCTCCCTGCCTGAGAGGCCTCTGCAGAGCCAAGTCACTAGTGCAAAGACTTATCATGTGCCAGCCTGGGCAACAGGGCGAGACCCTGCCTCTACAAAAAGTAGAAGAAATTAGCTGGGTGTGGTGATGCGTGGCTGTGGTCCCAGCTACCCAGGAGGCTGAGCTGGAAGAATCACTTGAGCCCAGGAGTTCAAGGCTGCAGTGAGCCGTGACTGCACCACTGCACTCCAGCCTGAGTGACAGAGCAAGATCCTGTCTCAAAAAAAAGAAAGGCTGGTCATGTGGAGGGAGCCGTGTCCTGAAACATCAGTCCACACAGGGTTCCCGTGCATGGGCCTCGACTACAATCATTTCCCTGTCCGATCCTTGGCTGTTTTCTCCACCTGCAGTTGTAAGTACTTGGATATGTGAGAATTTCCTATGCTTTCTAATGTTATTTTTCAACTTTAAAAGCTTCAGTTACAGTTAAACCAAGATCTCAGCATCTTGCATCAAGATGATGGTTCATCTAAGAACAAGAGGGGCGTCCTGCCAAAGCATGCCACGAACGTGATGCGGTCCTGGCTCTTCCAGCACATCGGGGTAAGGACGGCTGGGCCAGCCCTTGCCTTGCAGCCCTCTGCGACGCTTGCTCTCTGGCTTATGTGTCATGGAAAAGGGTTACTTCTCTGGGCTCAGAAAATCAAAGGCCTGACTTTCAGGACTTTGTGGCATGTCCATAATGTGGGGAGCGTGGGGCACTGCTGCAGGGAACTTGAAGGGCAATGAGGGCTGCCGTGAAGGAGCACCCGAGCACATGTGAGGCGTACACGTGTGTCCGAGACAGCCCACCACGAAGGGTGATGGGGTCAGGTGAGCCAGAAAAGTGGGCAGAGAAGGGATGTTCTTGGGCAGCAGCTGGGGAAGTTGCTGTGTTTCTGTGTGTTGGATTAACAAGGAAGCTGAGATGGGTTAGAGACATCGCAGGGCCGGGTGCACCCACAGGTGGGCCACCGGGTGGGTGCCTTTAGCTGGAAGCGAGTTTGTCCCACAGGGCGCGCCGTTTTGCCCAGCACGTGTGCACCCGGCTTCCTCCCCCGGGCCATGGCCGCGTCTTCTCCCTGTCCCCAGGACATCTTAGGAAGTGCAGTGGTGGGCCTGCTTGCTGAGTTGATGGGGGAGACCTGCTCTGCACGCTGTGTGGCACCATTGCTGCCAGCCTGCTGATCCAGGGCAGGAGAGAGCAGGCGGGGCTCTCCTGGGACAAGCACAGGGAGGCCAAGGCGGGAAGGCAGACGCCAGTTTGGCTTGGCCCTAAGTTTGCCCTTCTCCCCTGCTGTCGCCACTGATTGTTGTGAGGCTGTGGCCATATCCGCCTGTGTCCCAGCCTCCTCCTCCTCGGCCTTCTGCACTGCATCTGCCCTGCCCTCCCACTGTCTCCTCTCCAGGGTGCCTCCGCTGGGGCTGAAGCCTGTTTGTCCTCAGCACTCTGTCCTTGCCCTCCCCTGACTGTGGGCCCCTGAGCCCGTAGCCATCTCGCCATTTCGCGGCCCACTTTCCTCTGGCTGCCTCGGGCTCCTCAGTTGAGGATAGGGTCCATGGGAGTGACTGGCCTGAGGGCTTGAAACTGGTGGGTAGTGTTGCTGAGTGGTCCTGGGAGGAGAAGGGCCCTCTCCTGGGCAGAAGGCCTGGCAGGAGCCTGGGCTGCGCCTCTTCTGCTTGCCTGCCCTGGCCTCTTGGTCTCCACCGAGCCGCTTCCATGGGCATAAAAGGTAGCAAGCCACACATGTCAGGAGAAAGGCGTGCTACCTGTGAGCAGCGGGGCTGCTCCGAGAAATTGGTTCAAAGAGATCAGTCACAAGAAAACGGAAAGATTTGTGTGTAAGAATGTTAGTGTCGTTCAATATAATAATGGAAAGCAGGTCGGCATGTAGATGGGGACGTACTGGTTTGATGGAGTATCATATGCATAGTTAACATGAGGAATGAGGGCTCTAAGCAGTCGGGAGGTTTAGTGAAGGATAGGAAGTCAAAAGGCAGCATGTTGGTATATTTACACACATTGCGATTATTACAGCCAATCAGTATATGTATAACATAATGATAGAACAACACCAAGTGGTGGGATTGGGTGAGTACTCTCCTTTCAGGTTTCCTTTAATGTTTTAATAATTTCTCAAACAATAAACCCTGCCCATCATGTCCAGTGAAGACGCCGCGTTTTTTCCTGTGGGGCGTCCTCAGTCCCTCCTCACCCTCGTTTCTTGGCAGCGCCGACCCCCTGTAGTTTCCCGCATACTCTGGGGCAGCATCTCTGGCTGTTTGGTGTTTTCTGCTTGTGTGCTCGTGTTTCCTGCCCTGTTTCTATTTTATGAGCTTTTTAAAGGGGGAGAACAGTATTTCTGTTTCCATGACCTTGAGCTCAGAGCCACACACTCATTGATGGAGTCAAGTTGAGTCACACTGCCGTTAGTTTGAGGAAACAAACCCATCACTGCTGAGGCACATCTGAGGCCGCTCCGTCCCCATGTGATGGGCAGGGGTGTTTCCACGCCGCACTCAGTGTTCCTTTCACGTCAAAGCCAAAGTAAACTCTCACTGCTGACTTTGCTGGTACCGTTCATTCTCTTGGGTCCTTGTTGATCCCAAATCAAGGGCTTTAGTGCATTCAGGTTTTAGAGTAAATGTCGTGTTGGTTTCCACATATAGACAGTCATCAACCTTGGAGAAATTATTTACCATAGCTAGAAATCATTTTCGGTTGGTACTTCTGTGAGTTTTGCTATCTAGTTCTGATTGGATTTTTTTTTTTTATTTTTCTGCACTCCCAGGCTGGAGTGCAGTGGCGCGATCTCGGCTCACTGCAACCTCCGCTTCCTGGGTTCAAGCAATTCTTCTGCCTCAGCCTCCCGAATAGCTGGGACTACAGGTGTGTGCCACCATGCCCGGCTAATTTTTTGTATTTTTAGTAGAGATAAGGTTTCACCGTGTTAGCCAGGATGGTCTTGATCTCCTGACCTCGTGATCTGGCCACCTTGGCCTCCCAAAGTACTGGGATTACAGGCGTGAGCCACCACACCTGGCCAGATTTTTTTTTTTTTTTCCCAGATGGCCAGGCTGGTCTCGAACTCCTGACCTCAAGTTATCCACCTGCCTCAGCCTCCCAAAGTGCTGAGATTACAGGCGTGAGGCACCGCGCCTGGCCCTCTGGTTGGATTTTTTGTATGTGAAATGTTTCAATCATACATAAAAGAAGAATACCATAGCAGGCACTCCTGTCACCAGCCCTGGGTTCAGTTCCTTACTGACAGCACAGGTGAATCCAGCAGAGATCTCACCCCAGGAAAGCCGTCGATGGCATCAGCTTATCCCAGTGTCAGTTGATTCCTGTGGTACCCATGATGGAAATTTGTCCCCCAGCCTGCCTGGCCATTTCCTACTCCACCTGTTTCACCAGCTGTGGGATGGGGGCAGTTTGTAAACACTTCATGCCTCAGTCTCCTCTTCTGTAAAATAAAGACACTGACAGTGACTGTCTCAGCAGGTGCTTCTGAGGAATCAGTGAATTATTATAGAATGGACCAAGGTAATTGAAATGTGCTGTGTATTGCTTGTGGCAGAGGCTCCCGGGCCAGAACGCATCCACCCATCCTCTTTATATGGATGTAGTTTATTGTTCATAAGTTAAAGTTCAATAAAGTTGATAAAGAATCTATAGATTGTATCAAGCCTGGTGTAGACTCACCGCTGGACTGCATAGCTGCTCCTCATGATGTCGCTGCTGTTATCGTCACCGCTGAACCGTTAAACGTGGGGGGCGGTCTGCCTTGGCCTATGCACTAACCAGCCACTGCAGCACTAGGACATTCCTGGGACGAGGAGAAACACTTTGTTCGTGAGACTACAGTTAGGTTTTGGCTAGAAGCACTGTTGACGTGACCATTATTTTCTAATGATTATGTAATGCTCACATTTTGCCTAAATCGTCTTGATTTCCTTTGTAAACTCGAAGGCCATGGTAACCTTCTTTTTTTATTTTCAGCATCCCTACCCAACAGAGGATGAGAAAAAACAGATTGCTGCTCAGACAAATTTGACACTACTCCAAGTCAACAACTGGTAAGGTGCCCTGCTTCCTGAAATCATGCTGTCAGCACGGTAGAGCACTTGGAAACCCTGGCACCAATACATGGTGAAATCTTGCTGAAAATAGGAGGTCTCTCTTTTTCTTTTTTCCCAACTGAGACGGGGTCTTGCTGTGTTGCCCAGGCTGGTCTCGAACTCCTGGCCTCAAGTGATCCTCCCACCTCAGCTTCTCAAAGTATTGGGATCATGGGTGTGAGTCACTGCACCCGACTAAAAATATGAGTTCTTTTAATGGGCAATGGGAGCAGGAGACTTAGGAATAAACCAGGTTCAACCTAAGTTTTCATATCAATACCTCATTATGGACTGCATCCTGCCTGCCTCTTTAGAGCTGTTTCTCTAGGGTGCTACTGTCCCCAAGCCCCACATTCATACAAAACTGTGATGTGTTGTTAGTGGATGAGCCTCTGGATGGTGGGAGGCCAAGAGTGAGAGGTCCTGCCCCATGAGGGGACCCTCTGCCACTCTTTCTTGTGGGGGTCCTGCTCCACAGAAGAGTCTGGGAGCCATTCCTAGCAAAGAAACACCCAGGAGGACATTTCATAAAACGTCCCCTTCTAGTCCTGCTGTCAAACATTGCTGTGGACACTTAGACTCTGGCCAGATGTATTTTCTTCAGTAAGGGCTTGTGCGTGTTCCTAGGTGGCACTGAAGTGGGGGGTGGTCTTCCATTTTGGTTATTAGTCACTTGTCACATTTTTTAAATTTACTTATTCAGATGTAGGAAACAGTTTCAGCTTAATAAAACTGGCATGCATAAAAGAAGAAAGCACAAATTCTTCCAGTTGTAAACATTATTATCTTTATCTTAGCTGTGCTAAAATGTGAACTTGTTGAAGTTCCAGCAAGAAAGTCTTTGTCTTTGTGCAGTCGTGTGTGCGGGAGGTATGCTTCGGGGTTGCATAAGTACTTCCATGATCCTGCATTCTTGCCATTCTTTTAGATGTGGGTAGTCACAACAGACTATACTATTTGCGTTATTTCCTGTTAAATCTTTTAAATAGAATATTAACAAAAATTTAAAGATTCTGAGTATGTTGTTGCTGCAGTGGTTGTTATATTCTGCTCATGTGCTTGTTTTCCTGGAGCTATGTGGAAACCACATACTTTGGTTGGGGCACACCTGTGGTGGGTGGGCTGAAGTGGGAGGGATGCGTCTCTGGATGTGCTGGTGCCCCGTCACTGCTCAGCACCCTCCTGCTTTTCTGCATTCATGATTTCCTGGTGTTCCCTGACTTGCTACTATGTTACATTAACGAATTGTCTTATCTAGGTTTAGTATCAACTTTTAATTTTTAGTAATAATAACAGTTTAATAATATAACTTAAAAATTCCAAATTTCTGAAATCTTTAATATTTGTAGCTACTTTTACTTTTTGTGACTTTCTTTTCTTTTGTATTTACAAACATTACATCTTGGAGTGAGATACACACACCCATCATTAGTTCATGCCTCTGCTGGTAGCAGCTTTGAATAAGAATGATTTAAAAACACATTACAGGCCAGGCGCGGTGGCTCACACCTGTAATCCCAGCACTTTGGGAGGCCGAGGTGGGCAGATCACGAGGTCAGGAGTTCAATACCAGCCTGACCAACATGGTGAAATCCTGTCTCTACTAAAAATAGAAAAATTAGCTGCGTGTGGTGGTGCACACCTGTAATCCCAGCTACTGAGGAGGCTAAGGCAGTAGAATGGCTTGAACTCGGGAGGTGGAGGTTGCAGTGAGCCCAGATCGCACCATTGCACTCCAGCCTGGGCGACAGGGTGAGACTCAGTCTCAAAAAAAAAGAAAACAACCAACACATTACAGTAGCAGTGGGGCCTTCCCTCCCAGGTCTCGCTGGGGTTGTGGGTGGCCATGGAGCTTGTGCTGCAGGGATCACCAGGTTCCTCTAAATGAAGCATGGCGGGATCCGATCTGCTTCATTATTATTAGACTGTGTGCTAATATAATTGTAGATATTTTTAAATCTTGGACTTTTAAAATTAAGCAACCTTAGAGCTGATCCAGTTCTAGTGTTGTTGTTTTGCAGAGGGGGGCATTAAAAAAAGAAAGAAGTTGTCACAGTGACAAACCAGAGTAGAATCTGAGTCTAAAAGTAATGCTTTTGTTTCCCTGATATCGTGAACATGGCTACTCAGCTATCCAGATAGAGAAGTCTGGCTTTTAATAGATGAGCAATGTGTGACTCTAGCAAGAGGTCAACTACTTTATCATTCATGTTACTGAAAAAAGAAGACAGAAACGAGGCCTTAAGCATGGTTGGTATTGCTGCTTTTGCGTTAGGTTGGGGTAATGCATGAATCTGGACGGGTTCTGGTTTGATAGGCGCTTTCACGGGACAGATGTTGTTTTTCTTTCCGTTTCTTTCCATTTCAGCTCTTTTTGTAGCAAAGTGGCCCAGTCAGTGGCATAGGGTGGTGGGTGCAGCAGAACGCATGTCTGGTTTGCTATCTTTGTCCTCTAGTCACTGCAGGAGGAAAAGCTGGCCTAGGGATTTGAGTCTCCTTGCACTTTCTCACATTTAAAGGCAACAGCTCATAGCATAAGAATGGGAACTGAAGACAGCAGCCTTTAATCTTAATGTATTTTGAGATTGCTATCATACTCATTTGATATGAAACAATGTCCAGCCTGCCTTGCCAACCTGTGACTGTTGGGCCAGGTGCAGTGGCTCACATCTGTAATCCCAGCACTTTCGGAGACCAAGGCAGGCAGATCACAAGGTGAAGAGATCGAGACCATCTTGGCCAACATGGTGTAACCCCGTTTACTAAAAATACAAAAATGAGCTGGGCGAGGTGGTGGGCGCCTATAGTCCCACCTACTCAGGAGGCTGAGGCAGCAGAATCGCTTAAACCCAGGAGGCGGAGGTTGCGGTGAGCTGAGATCGTGCCACTGCACTCCAGCCTGTGCGACAGGGCGAGACTCCATCTCAAAAATACAGAAACAATGTCCAGCCTGCCCTGCCAGCCTGTGATTGTTGCTGCTCTCGTTCTCTGTGGAGTCTTATCACAGGCGTGAGTGCCTGGTCTGACAGAGTCGCCAGCGTCTGTCGGGGATTTCATCACTGCTGGTGCCTACGTGCTGTGCTGGCCACATGTCTAGGACCACTGGAGGACTTACGCCTCCAGTCATCTAAGAAACAGCTCATCATTGGGAATGGTTTTTGAAAAGATGCAGCTCTTGCCTTAGATCGTGCTTTGTGGTGAAACAAGAGGAGGTGGCAGTCCCATTCTCTGATGGCTCAGACACGTTGCCACCCAGAGGCTCGGCCCCGTTGGTGATCTGGTGACGTCCAGACGAGTGCAGACTGCCCGATCGTCTCAGGCATGATGGCACTACAGAAAGTCTTGCTTCTTTAACATTTTTCTTCCTTAGGGAAAACAGTGTCAGATTCACAAATTCAACAGTATCATCTATGTCGTTATGAGTATCTAGTTCACAAACATGCCCTAAAGGAGTTGAGACAAAAAAAAAAATGCCATGGACGAGTTGGTGCTTATTTGCATGATTTTTAAAACAACAGGCTCTGTGTTTCTGGGCATTTAGAGAATTCAGAAGAGCTGTTGAGTCCTCTTAAGTAGTTACTATAGTGGAGAACTTGAGTCATTCTTTGTAGCGTGCTTCGTAGAGCAGCGTGTTTGTTAGAAGGATTTGTTAATCCTGTATAGGGTCTTTACGAAGGCTGTTTTCATGGAAGCTTCTCTTTGTTGACTCCAGGTTCATCAATGCCAGAAGACGAATTCTTCAGCCAATGTTGGATTCAAGTTGTTCAGAGACCCCCAAAACAAAGAAAAAAACTGCTCAGAACCGGCCAGTTCAGAGGTTTTGGCCTGATTCTATTGCATCAGGAGTCGCACAGCCACCGCCGAGCGAGCTCACCATGTCGGAAGGTACAGGTGGCCGGCCAAGGCCAGACATGGTGGACCATGGGGTGGGGATTATGAACAAGAGGCCTGGATCAGGCCTGTTAGCTGTGAGCCTCAGGTAATGTGGTGAACGAGAGTGCGTGGTTCTCTTTCTCTGCAACTAAAACATGAGGAAGCTGCATTCTGCGTGCACGGGAGCTCTCAGTAAGAGTTAGGAGCACCAGTAGTAGAGAATGTAAAACACGTGATAGAGATATGAAATCATTAATTCTGTCTCAAAGACACAGTCATGCCCATGGATCTTCTCCTTTGCTTCTGTGTTTGCTCTCCTTTTCCCTCCGACGCCGGGTGTGGAGGAGGGACTTACCCCGTTCTCACCACGTGGCTTCTTTCTCTTCATCCCCCATGCCCTTCTCTTGTTTTTGCTTGTTCCCTGTGGCCTCTGCTCTCCATCCCCTGACGTAGGCAGCCATTCTGATGTGTTTTATAGGCATCTTTCTGTTCGCATGAGGTCTTCATATTTTGGATGGTTTTGTGTGCATGTGTTTTTATTTTTTTTTATTTGTTTGCTTTGTTTTTTTTTTTTTTTTTTTTTGAGACAGAGTCTCACTCTGTTGCCCAGGCTGGAGTGCAATGGCGCAATCTCGGCTCACTGAAACCTCTGCCTACCAGGTTCCCGCCATTCTCCTGCCTCAGCCTCCCGAGTAGCTCGGAGTAGCTACAGGTGCCTGCCACCACGCCCGGCTAATTTTTTGTATTTTTAGTAGAGACGGGGTTTCACCGTGTTCACCAGGATGGTCTTGATCTCCTGACCTCGTTATCCGCCTGCCTCAGCCTCCCAAAGTGCTGGGATTACAGGCATGAGCTACCGCGCCCGGCCCAGAAACAGTTTCTTAAATCCCTGTTGAACATTCCCTAAACATATATAGGTGTTTTATTTTAACTTTAGGTCAAACGAGCAAACAGCACCCAATTGAGTAATAAAGTGTTTTTCTGTGAGTACTAATTTAAATAATGACACACCTTCATCCTGCCGCAGGAGCTGTTGTCACCATCACCACGCCCGTGAACATGAACGTGGACAGCCTTCAGTCTCTGTCCTCGGACGGGGCCACCCTGGCGGTGCAGCAGGTCATGATGGCAGGGCAGAGCGAGGACGAGTCTGTGGACAGCACAGAGGAGGATGCGGGTGCCCTGGCCCCTGCCCACATCAGCGGGCTGGTCTTGGAGAACAGTGACTCCCTGCAGTAGGGGCAGGAGCAGACGCACCTGACTTTTTGGAGTTTGCACAGCAAACATTTTACACAGTTTTATTTCTAATATGTTTTATATGTAGATATAGAAGAGTGCACTTTTGTATTTCATAGTAAGCTTAAAGCGCGTCTTTGCCGGTGCAGCGACTTCTTTCAAGTGTGTGTGTGTGTGTGTGTGTGTGTGTGTGTGCGTGTGTGCGTGTGTGTGGATTTTTAAAGAAATTCTTTAAAGGTTTAACGCTAGATTGTGAGGAATGACACACCACTCCCTCCCCACCTTGAATCCCTAATTAGATTAAGGAATAGCGCTGCCATTTTCTAAACCGTGATGCGGTTGTCACTTAGTTCTGTGGTTCCAGCAGATCTCAGTGGGCTGGTTGATTTGTGTGGCCCATGGATTTGAAAGAAGCTGCTGCACCCGAAACTGCCAGTGTGCGGTGACAACGGCACACGCCTAGACTGAGTGTGGTTTCGTCGTGAGTGGATGGACGGCAAGCTTAGCAAGCCTAAGTCCCCTCATGTTCAGTGAGCCTGTTTCATTTGCTATATAGAAAAAGAAACTCCTATTTTTACCTTGCTGGAATTATTGGATAAAAAAGCTATTTTTATAAATTCGTTATGAATTGGATGATGACTATATTGAGGATAAAATTTCTAGAGAAGAAACAATACATGCTTGCTATTAATATTTCAATTTGGAATGTTCTGAATTGACCAAATTTAATGAACCTGCCCAAAGTTAGCTACCGTTCCATGGTTCTTTGCTCTCCCCGGGTAGTGATGAACATTTACTACTATAAAAGAAACAGCTATTTAATGAAATTTTGATATCTGCAAATTTTTGTTGATATGTAATGCTCAGATTGCATTTTACACTTGATCTAAACATATATCGAAAGATATCTGCTAAACAGGACTTCAGGTAAGTGAGGTGAAATGGTAGCCAGTGACCCGTTAGGAGCTCTCACCGTACATACTCCAGTCTAATTTAAATCTGACCACAGTTGCATGGTCGCTTTACCATGTTAGCTGTGTATTGTTTTAAAAGTTTTAACTTCAAAATATGTTATGCACAGAATGTTTATTATAAACTAATATAAAATGTGCTCTACCCCATTGGCTCAGAGCTAGGGCAAACAGCAGATATTCAGACTTTATTACTTAACTAGCGGACATCCCTGGAGTCCCAGCAGCGAGCTGGTCTGGCGAGGGCACCTCGGCAGCCCCCACGGGTTGGCTCCTACGTTTGCGTTTGTGGCTGGTCTCCTGGTGTCAGTGTTCTCTTGTACGTTGTTGCTTTCGACTTTTCAGAGCCCTCCTGCTCACTTGACCACGTGAGATTTGGAATAACTGTAGGACTTCTGTTTCCTGGTAACAAGATGAACCGAGAGAGTGGGCTGGGTTCTGTTTTCTTTGGTTTTGATTTGTTTTCATTGTTTACTTAGGAGTGGTGCTTTTTCTCAGAAAACAGGCCACGGTGTTTCATACAGAATGTCTTCATATCATCTGAAATGGTATGGCTGAAGTTCATTTGTTTACAGGGTCGGGAATGTCTTCAGTTCTTGAGAGTCAACAGTAATGATTGGTTGTAAGCCAAGGGACATTTTAAGCTAGTGAAGAGTTTTTTCTGGAATTGATTTTTCCCAAAAGAATATATTAATTGAGGTTAAGAAGTCAGTGGGAAACACACAGAAATTTGTTTTAAAATCTTTCAGGAGCTTTACTGAAAGACTTGGTTATCAAGTCTTTTGGGGAGAGAATGACATTTTTTTTTTGAGACAGAGTTTTGCTCTTGTTGCCCAGGCTGGAGGGCAATGGTGCAATCTCAGCTCACTGCAACCTCCACCTCTTATGTTCAAGCAATTCTCCTTCCTTAGCCTCCTGAGTAGCTGGGATTACAGGCATGCGCCACCACACCCGGCTAATTTTGTATTTTTAGTAGAGATGGGTTTCTCCATGTTGGTCGGGCTGGTCTCGAACTCCCGACCTCAGGTGATCTGCCTGCCTCAGCCTCCCAAAGTGCTGGGATTACAGGTGTGAGCCACCGCGCCCGGCCGAGAATGACATCTTAAAGCCACCATTGCGTTCCTCATTTGTGAACTGTCTTCTCATATTTTAAGTCAAGTCTATAAGATCATTTTTAACCTAAGTTCCAACTTTGTTGGACTCCTTAAAATAAGCACCCATGAAAGCCAGCCAGCCCTTCCTCCTTCCCTCACCACCCTCCGTCTCTTCGGCTGCTTGCTCTTTAGTGTAGATTAGTGGAAGCCATTCACAGAATGTAGACTCATGTATAGGTCACCGTTTCTTTCCCCCACTAGAAATCACATTCACTAAGCAGTGGATTGAATTTAAGAGTGCTGCCCCTGCCCGGCGCAGTAGGGCGTGCCTCTAGTTCCAGCTACTCGGGAGTCTGAGGCAGAGGATGGCATGTGCCAGGAGTTTGAGGCTGCAGTGCACTATGCTTGCACCTGTGAATAGCCACTGCACTCCATCTTGGGCAACACAGTGAGACCCCCATCTATAAAAAGAGAGCACTGCCTGAACCTCGGTGGCACTGGGAAGCTCTGGCCTGAGAGTTAAACACCCATGCTGAATGATACAGTGTGCATTCTCTCCAGCTGCAAACTTTCTTCAACTTTCCTAAATTCTTACTAAATTCAGAGGAATAGGATAAAGATCACTTAGAGAAAGGGTGCTTATGGACATAGCCTGAGTTTCCTTTAACCTCTCTGCAATGGGTGCTTTTAACTAGCTTCTACATGGCAAGCTGTTTCAGTTTGCAAAATCACTGCCCAGCATGTTTGAGGTCAGTTGGCACCTTAAAACACCTGTTCTCCAGCCCTTGGACAGTGGAGAGAATCTGTAAAAGTGTGACCCCCTCTAAGATTTCGTTTTAAATGATCAGATTCGGTTCCAGTTTTATTCTTGTTGAGTTTTTCCCTATGAAGGCTCCTTTTGAATGTGTCTTGAGACCCAAATTGAGCATGTTGCTGTTATTCCTGCCCTGCACCTGTGGAGCAGGAGTGGCAGGGCTGGCTGTGCTGGGTTCCAGCTCGCTCCCACCGAGGGACTAGCTTGGCCTTTGCGCTTTGATTCCAGATAGTAAGATGAGTGGAAGTGTTTATCGAGCATGCAAAAGAAACCCTCACGGCTAAGGGCTCTGGGAGTTGTGTCTGTGTGACCTGAGAGTGATCCATCTCCTGCCTGTGTGAGGTAGCAGTGGGCACTTTTCATTGAGACAAACTCCAGGGTGTCCAGAGGGGGTTCTGCCCCTTGTGAAGGCCCATTCCTGGCACTTAGAGACAGAAAGAACTCAGCAATCTTTCGTTCTAGTTATATTCGGTCTTTGAAACTGACAATCTTTGAAATGTGAATACTGTAACAATATGTTTTCTTGGATTGTTGTCTTTAAAAAGGATTTTTGTGAAGCAATTGATTTATCAAAGCAAAAAAATTAAAAATAGAAACTTGCTTTATGGATGTTTTATTTTATAAAGCTCATGTCACCAAAAGCTGCTTCTCCATTTTATGTAAAACATTGAGAATGTTTTCATGTTTTCTGGTGACATGTAGGGTCTGTAGTCACCCCTGCATATTGAGAAACTAGGACCACACTGCATCGGACTAGTCAGGTCCATTTACATGTCCAAGAATCTTTTCTTAAATTCCTTACTTTGTTCATTCATTGGCTGTTCAGGCAGAAAATGGAAACAGGTAGCTTTTATGTTTTTTATTATAGTTTTCCACAAATCTAATTATTTTGATAGTTACAAGAAGATAATGATTCATCAGTAAGCTAACATAATCCCTTTCATAGTTCATATTATAAATTTTCATGACAAGAAAGTTCCTGAAGATTTAAAAGGTACATTAAAACAATTTCAGAGGGTTTTTAATCTTTGTTGTCCAGAGTGTTATAACTCCCAACAACTGTTCATGCTTAGAGGCTAAAGTCAGCAGACTTAGTATTTTAAAAACCACATGCAAAATTATGAGTCTTGTTGGTAATTAGTAGTGACAGCTGACTGTATTGTTTCAAGCAATGTTTTCATTGGTTACAGAAAACTGAGGCACTGTGTTGTATTTCCAGCTCCCTTAGTTCAGAGGTGAGAGGACGGGCATGAACTTTATTAATGTGGGGCCTCAGGCAGCCCCAGTCTCTCTAGGCTTCCAGGGCTTCATTTATGAAAAGGAAGAACTGGCTTATAAGGTTTATTCTAGCCTTACAATGATGTTTATGACTAATAAGATTCTATCTCTCCATCTAAAGACTGATGAGGAAGTGAGTAATGGTCTAGCAAATCCAGAAAATAAGAAATATTTGGATTAAATATTTAGTGTTTCACAGTTTTTGAATTATATGAATGTCATAAACAATGTCTACTGTTTTTAGCTTTCATGCCATTCTATTATGTATACTCTCAGAAGAAATTCTTAGTACAAGGCCGGGCGCGGTGGCTCCCGCCTGTAATCCCAGCACTTTGTGAGGCCAGGGTGGGCGGATCACCTGAGGTCAGGAGTTTGAGATCAGTCTGGCCAACATGGTGAAACCCCATCTCTACTACAAACACAAAAATTAGCCAGGCATGGTGGCAGGCACCTGTAATCCCAGCTACTCGGGAAGCTGAGGCAGGAGAATCTCTTGAATCCGGGAGGCGGAGGTTGCAGTGAGCTGAGATTGTCCCACTGCACTCCAGCCTGGGGCATAGAGCGAGACTCTGTCTCAAAAAAAAAAAAAATTCTTAGTACAAATTATTTTTGCCCTTGTACAGTGGGATATTTTTACCTTCACTAAGACCTAGGATAGTTGTTTAACTATCATTGTTTATAAAATCTGCGAGACTAGTGACTATATAGCATCTAAGCACATGTGACTGAAAGCAGTGAATGCCCGGGGTGGCATCTGGGCCTGGGGCCAGCTTTTCCCAATCCCACGTCTTCACCATGCAGCCCAGGTCGGGTCTGGCACCTGCAGGCTCCTCTCTGCCAGGCCTCCTCAGGTCTGGCTTTTGTAGTCTATAAAGGACTAGTTAGTGTTGCTTACTTGGATAATTTGTAAGTATTCTGTATAAAAATCGTATTTAGAAGGTATTATCTTATACAGATGTTTCCATTCTTTATCTCCCACAGCAACCCACACTCTCATGGCTTCTGCTGCGGGAAGCGCTCCTTCCTGGGATTCCCTGGCACAGTTCAGATGAGTATTTCTCCACCTTCACTGGCTGCTCTCCTCTAGCTCCACAGTCTCTACAACCCAGGTCTACACTAACACACAAGACAATGTAAACTGTTAAGGGCTTCACAACTTATTTCTGACATGGATTGCTGTGTTAAGATAATATGAAAGAAAACTCAGTGAATATAAAGTAAAATATTTTAAAATATAACTGATTTTTCTACAGGCCATTTTCTAAAAATGTCTAAGCAGCTAAGGACTTCAACCCTGTAAAAAGCAAGAATGGTTTTAATATAAATCAGGAATTCTAGACCGGGCGTGGTGGCTCACACCTTTAGTCCCAGCACTTTGGGAGGCCGAGGCAGGCAGATCACCTGAGGTCAGGAGTTTGAGACCAGCCTGGCCATCACGGAGAAACCTGGTCTCTACTAAAAATAAAAAAATTAGTCGGGCATGGTGGTGGGTGCCTGAAATCCCAGCTACTCGGGAAGCTCAGGCAGGAGAATCGCTTGAACCCAGGAGGTGGAGATTGTAGTGAGCCGAGACCACGCCACTTCACTGCAGTCTGGGCGACAGAGCAAGGCTCTGCCCCAAAATAAATAAATAAATAAATAAATAAATAAATAAATAAGGAATTCTTTTATTCCAGCATCTTTCAAAAGAAACATTTTAGGCTGGGCGCAGTGGCTCACACCTGTAATCCCAGCACTTTGGGAGGCCGAGGCCAGTAGATCACAAGGTCAGGAGTTCCAGACCAGCCTGGCCAGTATGGTGAAACCCCGTCTCTACTAAAAATATAAAAAATTAGCCGGGCATGGTGGTGCATGCCTGTAGTCCCGGCTACCCGGGAGGCTGAGGCAGGAGAATTCCACGAACCCGTGAGACCGAAGTTGTGGTGAGCCAAGTTCACACCACTGCACTCCAGCCTGGGCGACAGAGCGAGACTCCGTCTCAAAAAAAAAAAAAAAGAAAAGAAAAGAAACATTTTAATGACAGCTTTAGTTGCTTAGACATTTTTAGAAAATGGCCTGTAGAAAAATCAGTTATACTTTAAAATATTTTACTTTATATTCACTGAGTTTTCTTTCATATTATCTTAACACAGCAATCCATGTCAGAAATAAGTTGTGAAACCCTTAACAGTTTACATTGTCTTGTGTGTTAGTGTAGACCTGGGTCATAGAGACCGTGGAGCTAGAGGAGAGCAGCCAGCGAAGGTGGAGAAATACTCATCTGAACTGTGCCAGGGAATCCCAGGAAGGAGCGCTTCCCGCAGCAGAAGCCGTGAGAGTGTGGGTTGCTGTGGGAGGGTAGATGGCAGGAGGACATGGGGCTGGGCAGCCGGGAGGGACTCGTGGCCTGGGAGACAGCAGTGAAGAGGAGAGGGGAGAGCAGAGGCAGGCGCCATGGGTTCTGGGCATGGCCGTGAGCCACTGGAAGATGATACGGGAGCTTATCTTTGTTCCCTTGGGGAAGAAGCCCTTATTTTGAGACCTCAAAGGCATAAATCCTAAGGCAAAATATGGGTGATTTGGCCAGATCAAAATTCAGTTTTTCTGTGCATTGGAGGACACAGAGGACCATTAACAGGTAGTGACTGAGAGGAGCACTTTCCTCGTTCCTTCTTTTTAATGGATAAAGCCGGCAAGGAGCCAGTGTTAGGGGGATTCCTGCAACTCAGCAGGTAACCAACTAGAAGTCTCTAGAACCATGACAGCGGATATTAATAGTTCATTGAAAGGAGACCAGATGACCAAGCAGCACGTGAAGACTGCACGGCCTCGCCACGCCCAGGGAGTGTGAGCTGGAGCCCAGGGGCGTGCCGCCCCGTCTGCCGGCCGCAATGAGGAAGCTGGGATTGGGGATCTGCAGAAACGGGAACTTGCGTGGTGCTGGCGGGAATATCACGGGGCCAGCCATTCTGGAATGAACCTGACAGGACAGTCATGTGTCACTTAACAATGGGCTGTGCTCTGAGAAATGCCTCTGTAGGGGACTCCATCCCGTAGGAACATCACAGCGCACTCACACAGCTCACTGTACACACAGCCTGTGCGGCTTAGCCTATTGCTCCCAGCCATGGGCCTGTGCGGCACGTGACCCTGCTGACTACCCTGGGCAATCGTAACATAATGTAAGGATTTGTGTGTCTAAACAGCTAAATTGGCCGGGTACTGTGGCTCACGCGTGTAATCCCAGCACTCTGGGATGCTGGGGCAGGCAGATCACTTACGCTGAGGAGCTCAAGAGCGGCCTGGGCAATAGAGTAAGACTTCATCTCTACAAAAAAATGTAAAAATTAGCCAAGCATGGTGGCTCATGCCTGTAGCCCCAGCTACTCAGAGGCTGAGGTGGGAAGATGTCTTGGACTCAGGAGGGAAAGGTTTCAGTGAGCTGTGATTACACCACTGCATGCCAGCCTGGGCGACAGAGCCAGACCCCGTCTGAAAAAAAAATGCTAAACAAAGGTACAGTAAAAATACAGTCTAAAGTGTTAAAAATAGCACCGGGCACTTACCAGGAGCTGCTCGGATGCCTCAGGGAGTGAGGGCGAGTGAGCATGGAAGCCTAGGATGTTACCGTATGTACTTACGTGCACTGGCAGCACCACAAACACGGGAGATACACTGTGCTACATGTTATGAGGACAGGGACTTCTCAGCTCCTGTTGTAACCTCACGGGACCTCCTTGGTCTGCTCAGTCCATTGTTGGCTGAAACATCGTGGGTAGCACAGACCTGTGCAGAGACGCTCACTGCAGCCTCGCCTGTGGCGGCAGGGGTTACAGAAGCGGCGTGGACACCCCTGTGGAGGGCAACGGGGTGAGCTGCTGGGCGTGTCGTGGGGGTGTGGCTATGTGACAGTTGGCACAGGACATGCTTGGGTCTACTTCTGTCAACAGCTTTATTTCGTGGCAGTGGATTGCCTGTTGTTTCTCTCATAGTTTATTGAATGCCGGGGTTTTTTTGTAGAATGTGGAGACCAAGATAAATAGTCCTCATGCCCAGAAACAGGCACTCCCCTTCAGACAGGCCCTGGGTGGGTGTGGTCACCAGGTGAGCGGGCTGTGGGCTTGGGGCTGCCTTCGTCCCTGCAGGCACCACAGGCTTCCGATTCTTCCAGCAGTGGCCATAGCCAGCCTGTGCATGGTGTGGGTGCCAGAGTGGCCCTGCCCCTTCTTAGATGCCAGCAGGCCTTGGATGCTGTGCTGTGCCTGGTGTCTGCTCCTGCCCTCCCTGGCAGAGGGCTACTGCTGCTTGCTTCCGGCTCCTTGGCGTGCTCCTGGCCCAGCCTCCATCGCAGGTGGGTCCTATACCCTTGGGGTGCAGGGCTCGTGCCCACTCCTGCTCCTGCTGCCAAACTCTGCCTTATACCTGGACAGTGGCTTGGGCGGGAGAGTGTCTGAGCCAGGGCAGGCCTTGAGTTGAAAATGTTTCCTGCCTCTCCCCGGTGGCTCTGTACCTGGTAGAAGGAGGGAAGAGGCTGCAGGTTCCCCATTCCCTGTTTTCTCCTTTCCTGCCCTCTGGCAGCTGCCAAACTCGGGGTGGGCGGGGAGGCCTTTGCCCTGCGCTCCGGAGTGCACACAGAGCTCTGTGCATGGTGTGAGAGTTCAACAGAAACGGGAATGAGGAAGGGGGAACAGTCGGGTTTGGAAATGGTTTTTACTCAGAGTTGAAGGCACTGCCTTTTACCTTGAGCAACGTAAAGCTGTTCTGATTCCTGATTCTCTGTATGGAAGGATTCTCTCGGGCAGTGTCCAGGGTCTTATGGCAGGAATGACATCTCCAGTCCCCTGTCCCCCTCTGGAATTTTGCCTATCCAGGGGATCCCCCTCTCTTGACCCTGGGGAGGTTTATGTGGCCTGCTGGGGTGGCAATTGCCATGTGACTGACGGGTTGAGGGGGCTCAGGCTTGGCCCGGGTGCCATGTTGGAAGGAAGCCCAGGCCGCGGGGATAGGCCATGCAGGTGTGCTGTCTGCCAGCCGCGTTGACCACCAGCTACACACAAGTGAGCCTACAGGTGCCTCGAGCCACCCCAGCTGATGAGCAGAGCAGAGCAGAGCCCAGCCGCCCCTGTGAGCCCCGCTCCAGATACAGATGTGTGAGCAAAATAAATGTTGCCACTGTCTGAAGCCATTTTTCTGGGGGTTGTCGTTAAACAGGCTTAGTGCCTGAGGCGGGACTCTGTGGCCGGTTCTCTGTCATGTCACATTGGACCTTGGCATGGGCCATGCCCGTCGTGTGCTGGGCATGTGCTGGACCATGTCAGCCCTGCACCAGCCTTCCTGGGGCCTGCCATGGACCCACGCTGCCCGCCGGCGATGCCGTCTCTGGATCCAGTCACTGAGCGGGGGGTGTTAGACCCATAAAGAAGCAAAGTTTAGGGGGAGCTTGGAAGGGAGTGGGCTGCCCCGGGCCTCTTCACGCGACGCCAACGCCACCTTGGTGTGAGCCAACAGAGAGGGCTGTGCCCCAGGTGTGGGGTTGCGGGCAGGAGCTGCCCACTCAGGCTCTCTGAGGCGTCTTTGAGTCGTTCTCTCTCAGTTCAGACTTCCCTCCGACAGCTTCCCAAAGCTTTGATGGAGCTGTCCTGAGTCACCTGCACAACCTTGCTAGCTGCAGCCTAAGGAGACACTGAGCGAGCACACGGTTCACATTTCTAAAATGATGCTTTAATCAAATATGTTAAGCTAACTCTTTTTTTTTTTTTAACAGAGTCTTGCTCTGTCACCCAGGCTGAAGTACAGTGGCACAATCTCGGCTCACTGCAACCTCCGCCTCCTGGGTTCAGGCAGTTCTCCTGCCTCAGCCTCCCAAGTATCTGGGATTACAGGCGTGTGCCACCACACCCAGCTAAGTTTTATATTTTTAGTAGAGACGGGGGGTTTCACCATATTGGCCAGGCTGGTCTTGAACCCCTGACCTCAGGTGATCTGCCTGCCTAGGCCTCCCAAAGTGCTGGGATTACAGGTGTGAGCCACCGAAGAGAACACTTTTTAAATGTTATTTCGGTGCCAGTACTTGCTTCAATTAAGCGCTCATTAGTTAAAAAGAATGCTAGCCTCCATCTGAGCCCCACCAAGGCCTCACTGTCCTTCCTGGCGGGAGAAGCCAGCGGATATGCCCTTGAGCTGAGGGCTGTCGAGGATGTGGTGGTCCAGGGCATCCCTGGACTCACTGTCTGACAGGCAGGGACAGCCCCTGCAGAGGAAGAGGCTGAACACTGGACAGGGGTGCCTGCCACTCCACAGGGCCTGTCCAGTGCCTATCCTGGTGGGTGAGTAGCAGGCTCGCTGCCTACTCCGGGCCCACCACCACCACCAGGGCTGTGCTGCAGGTTGCAAAAGGCCCAGCGGCGCCCGAGCCACTCCTTATCTGGTGAGGAAGATGCCCAGACACAGGGCAGCTCTCAGCACGGGAAAGGAAAAGCCTGACCTTTGGGCCACATCACAGACACCTGGTTGATTTAATAAGACTGAATCGTGGCCGGGCATAGTGGCTTAAGCCTGTAATCCCAACACTTTGGGAGGCCAAGGCAGGTGGATCACTTGACCTCAGGAGTTTAAGACCAGCCTGGCCAACATGGCAAAACTCCATCTATACCAAAAATACAAAAATTAGCTGGCATGGTGGTGCATGCCTGTAGTCCCAGATACTTGGGAGGCTGAGATGGTAGGATCACTCGAGCCCAGGAGGTGGAGGTTGCAGTGACCCAAGATCGTGCCACTGCACTCCAGCCTGGGCAACAGCACCAGACCTTATCTCACAAAAACCCACAAAAATCCTGAATTGTAAAGCCACTAATAGACTAGCTCTGCAATGAAGTACTCAAAGAAAGGATTAGAAACCCAGTGTTCCTCAGATGCAGTCTTTAGGACTTAAATAACTTAAACGGTGGCCTGTAATGAGCTGCACCTGTGTCCCTGTGAGGGTGCCTGCCAAGCCTTTGAAGCCATGTGTTGTCTTAGGCGGGTTGCATGTCTTCTTGCACTGCTGTTTTTGCTAGACATTTGCTCACAATCCTTTTTTACATTTTTAAACAAATAGCACAAATATGAACTTGGGCTCGGACCAAGACAGTAGTTCTGAGCTTAGTGAAATTCACAGCACTAGGGTGAAGTGACTGGGCACGGCAGTCTCTTGCTGACAGCCTGTCCTTTTATTTGACATCATCCTTCGCCTGGCTCCTGCTGTCACTCTCTTGCGTGTAGGTTTTTGTAAGCATTGGCACTTTCAATGATCCCTTCTGGAAACCAGCCCCCCGCCTGAGCTTTCAGGAATGTATCTGTTTCCACCACCTTTCAGCGATTCTTCCTGCTCCCTCTGCCAAGGTCTGTTTCTCCAGGATCGGAGGGGGTCGTGTGAATCAGCCCAGATGCTTTCAGCAGTGAACAAGAGGCCCCAGCACCCGGCTTCCGCCCCGGGGCGTTGGTTCTCTGGCGTCTCTGTGGCCATGGGATGCCACCATAGCAGCCAGGGCCACACCAGGGGATGCTGTTGCTCCCAGCCCTCTCTGCAGAGCCCCGGGACCCACCCTGTGTGGACTGCTGAGGTCACATGCCCACCCAGACTAGTGACTGGCCAGGGAATGGCATGTACCCATTGGCTTCTGTCAACTGAGGTCAATCCCTAGTCCCTGCTCCTGCCCTCCCATCATCGTGGCTGTGGGAAGAGGCAAGGAGACCTGAACTGTCGGGAATGAGGAAGGGGATGGATGCTGAGTAGATCGACATCCATGACCCTGGGTTTCCTCCTTCCCCCACCTCGAGAGCTTTGGCAAGATTAGACAAGTATGTAAGGAGAAGGAGCGGGACTGGCTCCCCTGAAGCTGAGCAGTCAGGGCCTGAATGATTTGAATGGGATCCAAGTAAACCCCATGGCCCCACATGGCAGAGTCTTTGCATGGAATCCAGCCTGGACTCACGACCCTGCTGCCTCACAGGCCTGGCACAGCAGTGCCTGCTAGTTCCTTGCCTCTGGTGGGTAGGGGACTGATTGGTCCTGCTGATGGCAGCAGCGGGCTGTCTTTGGAGCAAAGTTGGAGCTAAGTTCAGGTGCTGTCATAGCCTGACTGGGTGTGCACATGCTTGGGGCAATGCTGACACGCCAGCCCCTTGCCACCTCGGCCCCCTCTGGACTTTGGGCACTGATAAGCATTAGGAGGAAAGCCAAGTGGGGGCTGAGGGCAGCTTGCTGCTGGCCTGCAGGCACCCTTGACACCTACAGCCCGGGCATCATGAATGGCAGCAGGAGGCAGATAGGTTCCTGGGTGGAAGGGGGCAGGTTCTTGGTGAGGCCCCACCTTCAGGCCAAGAAGGGCTTGAAGGCTGGGGGCCAGGCTGCCAGTCCTGTGGACTGGAGTGGGAACTTATGGTGCCTTTTTCGGGCCTGCCCATGGCCACCCTTGGACCAGTTGGCACAGCATGCACTTCCTCCCCTTTGAGGCCCATAAAAGCCCCAGGCTCAGCCAGAGCTGGGCAAATGTTGGGATGACCACCTGCAGACAGGAGCAACCCACTCTAGGGCCCCCTCTTTGCTGAAAGCTGCAGAGATGATGGAAAGATGACAGGGAGATGATGGGACGACCAGCTGCAGAGAGGAGCTACCCTCTCTACTGATAGCTGAACACTTGTTGGGACGACTTGCCTAACCCTTTCTGCTAGGAGCTGAACAGACGTTGGGACACCCTGGCTGCAGAAAGGAGCTGCCCCCCTGTGGGTTTCCTCAGAGCTGTTCTGTCACTCAATAAAGCTCCTCTTCATCTGGCTCACTCTCCACTTGTCTGCTTACCTCATTCTTCTTGGACAAGAACTCAGGACCTGCCAAATGGCGAGGCTAAAAGAGCTGTAGCATAAACAGGGCTGAGATGTACCCTTTGCTTGCCACATTACAGGTGAAGTGAAGGAGAGAAGAGCTGCAGCCCTTTGGGGAACCCAGACCTGGGAGCTCCCCAAGCCAGGGCTGTGATTCCTTCTTTGGGGCCCTGTGGTTCCTGGTGTCTCTAAACTTTTGGGTGCCACCGTGTTCCCCAGTGCCAGCTGTGGAAGCTGCTTGCAGTGTGCTTGGTCTGGCCGAAGCCTCACAGGGAGCCGGCACCTATAGCTGCTTGCCCTGCTGAAGCAGCTGGCACGTCTGTGTGCAGTGGCCAGACCCCACGCACGCTCAAACACGCCTCGCCATTCCACGCCTGACTCGCCCTTGGTAGGCATGGGACTCAGGCCTGTAGTGTGAGCCTAGTGCAGCCTGCCAGGCCAAGTGGGTGAGATGAGCCCAGCAGGCCTGAGCAAAGGTGCCCCAGCCACAGAGGTTTTGGCCAGAAAAACGACAGCCTGAAGATCTCGTAACACAGCGGCATTTTCTCTCCCAGTTTGCAGTGCTCCCCCATCTCGGTGCTGTGGGGTCTGCTTGCAGCTCAGCGTCTGTTCGAGCCCATCTGTTCACACGCTCCTGTCATCCTCCTGTGTCTGTGAAGTCTTAAACCTTTAGTTAAGTCAATACGTGTTCGGTGAGATGCGATTCTCTATTTCATTCACTAAATCAAGACTAGCTGACATGTCTTTGTTGTTATTCCACGTTACATAAATTCTACGTTATTTCTAAACGTAAAAAATAATGTAGCTGGGCACGGTGGCTCACGCCTGTAATCACGCCTGTAATCCCACTTTGGGAGGCTGAGGCAGGCGGTCACAAGGTCTGGAGTTCGAGACCAGCCTGGCCAGCATGGTGAAACCCCCATCTTTTTTAAAAATACAAAAATTAGCCAGGCATGGTGGTGCATGCCTGTAGTCCCAGCGACTCGGGAGGCTGAGGCAGGAGAATCGCCTGAACCCGGGAGGTGGAGGTTGCAGTGAGCTGAGGTCGTGCCTCCAGCCTGGGTGACAAAGCAAGACTCCGTCTCAAAATAATAATAATAATGTTAAATAAATAAAAATAAAAAAATAATGTAGGGAACCTTTAAAAATCCTGAGGAGATAGCCCACAGACCACTCCTGGCCCATCTTGACCATTGATGCTGGCCTCATGAGGGCCAGGTGTGTGCTCCTGGGCGTGGGCCCAGGGAGCCTGCAATTTTGACCCTAATGGGGACCGATCTGCACAGCTGAGCCAGCCTCTCTGCAGTCCCCATCCCATCCATGGCAAGCCCCCCATACTTTCTTCTCATGGTCAAGGGTTTGGTGACGCAGCTATGAGCAACTCCTGCTGGCCTGTAAAGCTCCTCTGTCCTCCAATGTTGTGGCCTCTGCTGTGAGAACATCCGTCAGGAGACAGTGAAGACCTCCACAGCTGGGGGCTCAGTGGGTCCAGAGCATTAGCGCCCTGACCCAGGGGCTGACCCAGGCCCTACGTCACGGGCATGTGTCCCCGGCTAGGAAGTCCTGAGCCAGCCAGGGTGCTCCTGCAGGAGACAGCACCAGCTGAACCACAGCTTGGCCTCCGGGGAGGACTCACAGGCCACGAGGTGGCGGTGCTTGTGGCTGCTGTGAGTGCCTGCCCCGGAGAGGGGCTGTGTCTGTGCGCTCACCAGCGGCTCCAGAGCCTGCCGGGCTCAGCAAACAGACATTATGGTGCCCCGATGGGTGAGCAGCCCCATGCACAGGTGTGTACCTGCTGACTGTGCGGAATTGTGACTCTCAGGACACTTCCGTAACAATGACCATTTTGACTGCATTGAGAATGACTAGCCTTGGCCACTTCCCCTGCATTTTGCATGGAGCCCAGGGCCCAGCTCACTCCGATTGTGACGGAGCGTGAGACCCTTGCAGACAGCCAGGGGAGGTGGCAGCCTGAGACTGCTGCAGCAGGGACAGTTGGCATTTAGCGTCACTCTTGAAGATCGTTTTTGAGAATTTGGGTGTTTGGGGTTTTTAGTGTGGCCTCAAATAGATTGAGTTGTCAATGCTACAGCTCCGGAGCCTCAGCTGTTTGTGCCACCCCACACTGGGGTGGATGGGGCCGTGCCCTGCCCTCCCTGAGGCTCACTCACTGTGCCCCTCTCCTGGCTTCTCTCCTGCCTCCCTGATCAGCAAGTTCCTAGGGGCTCCCCGAATATCATCACTCCCTGGAGCCACAGAGACCCTCACAGCTCCCTGCTTGGGGCTCCTCCGCATCCCGCACAAGCTCCCCCTTCAGTTCCTGACGTGTACCCCTGCCCTCTGCAGGTGCTATGTAGGGGCCCCGCCAGCCTCCGAGGCCCACAAGGGCTTCTGGTTCAGGAAGGCTCTGTGGTTACCTCAACTCCAAACCCTCTCCACCCCCACCCCCAGGCAGCATGCTGGCACCCTAGCCCCGGGCACCCTGAGAACACCAAGTGCCGTTTCCTGGAAGAGGAAATGTTTCTGCCAAGAAGTTTCCACGCCTCTGGCCTATGATTGACTGACTTGCTTTTGAAACCCGTTCAGGAGAGGTCATGCCTATCCCCTTCCTCTACCCGCTGGCCTGCCCTGGCTCACTTGGCTGCATAGTGGGAAACAGGAACTTTTCCACTGGCCCTAAGCAAAGCCTACTCTCCAGAGACTGGCAGAAAACCAAGTGCCTGAGGAGAGTTGGGTGCGGGGAAAGCCGGAGGCTCCCGTGGGGCCCTGTAGCGGGAGTGCCTTCCCAGTCGCTCTGGGAAGCCCTGCCCTCTCCTCCTCCCACCTGCCTCCCTGCCAGTGTCCTCCCCCAGCAGACCTGCAGGAACAACACCGTCATGGGGGCCCGAGAGTCGGGGACCTCCCAAGCCAGCACTACAGCCCAGCACAGATGCCACCAACCTGTGGAGAAAAGCCTTTGTTCGTGTCCACAGCGGCTCTGTCTCCATCCTTTAGGTAGCTTGATACCAGGGCATAATTCAAGCCATTGCTGAGATGCCCAGAGACCAAGAACATGAAGCTGGCCAGGCTTGGTCATTAGGAAAGCCCTGGGCACCAAGACCTGCCCCCTCACAGCTGCTACAGCTGGCTGGCTGGCTGGCTGGATCCTTCAGGGTGGGGCTGCAGTCATCGTTTCATGAGCCACAGCCAAGAGGTGTCATAAGCAGCTGCAGAGGTTTGTGGAGGACATATGAACAGCCACCCATCTGCAGTCGGGGCTGCTGTGGACAGGTGTGCAGGTTGTGAACGGCACAACTCCATGCCTCCATGCCCTCAGAGTCTACGCCTGGATGGGCACGTGCAGCACCCCGTGTGGACTTCTCAGCTCCCCTCCGTTTTCAGTGTTCCTGGCTGGGCAGGACGAGCAGATCCTGCACAAAGAGCAGCCCTCACCCCCATCTGCAGTCTGATCTGCTCCCCTCCGTCCTCAGCAGGCCCCTGCACCCCCGTCCTCACCCTCCACACCTCCCCAGCCCTCCCACCTGCACCTGGACTGCACCAGCCACACTCCTGACTCAGGCGTTTGCCCACCTGTGCCTTCAGCCAGGCATGCTTTTCCCCAGGGCCCGCTGGGCACCCCTGAGCCTCTGCCCAGCCTCCGCTCAGATACCACGTCTTCAGTGAGGGCTGCCCCCACCTACGCACTGTGGTAAAATGTACCATCTTAACCATTTTTTTTTTTTTGAGACGGAGTCTCACTCTGTCGCCCAGGCTGGAGTGCAGTGGCGGGATCTCGGCTCACTGCAAGCTCTGCCTCCTGGGTTCACGCCATTCTCCTGCCTCAGCCTCTGGAGTAGCTGGGACTACAGGCGCCCGCCACCACGCCCAGCTAATTTTTTTCTATTTTTAGTAGAGATGGGGTTTCACCGTGTTAGCCAGCATGGTCTCGATCTCCTGACCTTGTGATCCGCCCACCTCGGCCTCCCAAAGTGCTGGGATTCCAGGCGTGAGCAGCCGCGCCCGGCCCCATCTTAACCATTTGTAAATGCATAGTTGAGTAGGGTTAAGTACGTTCATGTTGTGTAACCATCACCACCATCCATCTCCAGAACTTTCTCACTTTCCCGAACTGAAACTGTTCTCAGCCAACAATGATTCCTCATCCCCCTCCTCAGCCCCTGGCAACCACTGTTCTCGTTGCCTCTCTGAGTTCAGCTGTTCTAGATTCTTTACATAAGTGGGGTCACGCAGGATTCGTGGGGTCATGCAGGGTTTGTGCTGTTGTAGCACGTGGCGTGGTTTCATTCCTTTTTAAGCTGAATCATTGTCCGTTGCCCGGATAGTCCACATTTTGCTTCTCCATTCATCTGCATGAGGTAGATCTTATCTCCATGTCTAGATCTTATCTCCATTTTGTAGACATGGAAATTGGGACATATTGCCCAAGAACCCCCAACTGATAAGTGGCAGAGTTTGGATTCAAACCCAGATCAAACTGGGTCCAGAGTTGTGGCTTTTTTCCAGGCTCGTCCAGCAAGTGCCAAGGCTGGGAGGTGCTCGTCAACAGGCACTCCATGTTGGCCAGGCTGGTCTCGAACTCCTGACTCAGGTGATCCACCTGCCTCGGCCTCCCAAAGTGCTAGGATTACAGGCGTGAGCCATCACATCCGGCCTAACAGGCACTCTGTGCACGGTGTGTGTGTGTTGGGGGTGGGGAGTGCTATGGGCTAGATTGTGTCCCCTCAAAACTGACATGTTGCAGACCTAACCCCCACTACCTCAGAATATAACCTTATTTGGAGACAGGGTCTTTAAAGAGGTGATTAAAGCTAAATGAGGCCATTAGACCCTAACCCAGTGACTGGTGTCCTTACACAAAGGGTAATGTGGATGCAGATGCGGAGGGAGAATGCCCTGCTAGGATGAAAGTGGAGAACAAGGGGGTGCTTCTCCAAGCTAAGGACCACCAAGCAGGGCCAGCAACCCGCAGAAGCCGGAGAGGCCTGGGACGGAGGTTCCCTCAGCCCCAGAAGGAGCTGTGGCATTAAAGAGTTCAAACTCGCTGGGTGCAGTGGCTCACGCCTGTAATCCCAGCACTTTGGGAGGCCAAGGCAGGAGGATCACTTGAGCCCAGGAGTTAGAGACCAGCCTAGGCAACATGTAAAACCCTGTCTCTACAAAAATTAGCTGGTGTGGTGGTGTACACCTGTGGTCCCAGTGATTCAAGAAACTGAGGCAGGAGGATCACTTGAGCCCAGATCAAGGCCCCAGTGAGCCATGTCCACACCACTGCAAAGTGCGAGACCCTGTCTCGTAAAAAAGAAACACTATAAGCTATGCACTACCTTGTACGGAAAA
The DNA here is from genome assembly GCF_000001405.40 of Homo sapiens. Taxonomy (NCBI): domain Eukaryota; kingdom Metazoa; phylum Chordata; class Mammalia; order Primates; family Hominidae; genus Homo; species Homo sapiens. Next base: position 43,048,434 of record NC_000021.9, read on the forward strand.
CGTTGCAACCCTGTCAGACTTCTCTTGTCTCTGCCTCTATGTAAGCGAGACCTTCCCTTCCCACTCTGGAGCGCTGGCCCATTCTTTTCGAGTCTGTTTCCCGAGTGATGGTTCCCAAGCTTTAAGCTTGAATAAACCCTGGACTTCACTGTATTTTATGAATCTCATTATTCAGGGTTGATGGAACCATCCCTGCCAACACCTTGACCCTGGACTTCTGGCCTCCAAGTCTGTGAGACAGTAAGTTGTCGAAGCACCCACTGTGGGGCCCTTTGCTACAGCAGCCCTGGCGGACTCACACTGGGCCACACGGGGAAAACCGAAGGGGAAGCTCGAGGGCATTTAGGGCCCACCTGGATGATCCAGGAGTGTCTCTGCATCTCAGGAGCCTCAGCTTCACACCTGCTGGACTCTTTTTCCAAAGAGGGCCCATTCACAGGTTTCAGAGATTAGGGCCTGGTAGCTTTGAAGGACCACTGTTCAGCTCACCAGAGCTCTACTGTTTTTAGAGGGGAGGGGCGGACAGGGTCTCCGTCTGCCAGTCAGGCTGGAGTGGCGCTCACCTATAAACTTACTTGCATCCATATGTCCAGAAACTTGCTTGTGCTCCTTTCCTGTCTCCCTCCTTTTCTTCCTTCCTTCCTTTTTTTTTTTTTTTTTTTTTTTTTTGAGACAGGGTCTGGCTCTGTCACCTAGGCTGGAGCACGGTGATGCAATCTCGGCTCACTGTAGTGTCGACCTCCTAAACTTACGCAATTTTCCCACCTCAGCCTCGCAAGTAGCTAGGACTACAGGGCACACTGCCACGCCTGGCTAATTTTCGTATTTTTAGTAGATACGGTGTTTCCTCATGTTGTCCACGCTGGTCTTGAACTCCTGAGCTCAAACAATCCACCCATCTTGGCCTCCCAAAATGCTGGGATTATAGGTGTGAGCCACTGCGCCCAGCTGCTTTTTTCTTTTTGTAAGTATAGATGTTATCTATCAACATCCTTCTGTGGAAAAATGAAGATTCTTCCTCTCCCATGCTCCTCCCCACTAGTAGGAAATATAATTCCATTCTCGGATTCCTTCAGGACAGTTTTATAATTGAGAATAGATTAATATCCAGTGTTTACACGATTATGATGAAGCAACTATTATTCCTAGCCTAGTCATGTTATGTAATTACATTTCTTACAGAGCTCCAATATTTTCTCCCCTTTTTTTGAGACAAGGTCTTGCTCTGTCACCCAGGCTGGAGTGCAGTGGTATAATCACAGCTCACCGCAGCCTCAATCTCCCTGGCTCCATCAATCCTCCTGCCTCAGCCTCCCAAGTAGCTGGGACCACAGGCACCCACCACCATGCCCAGCTATTTTTAATAGAGATGAGGTCCTGAACTCCTGGACTCAAGTGTGTGTGTTGAGTCGAGTCCTCCCAAAGTGTGTCTGCTTTGGCCTCCCAAAGTGCTGGGATTACAGGCATGAGCCACCGTGCCCGGCCTCTTTGTTTTCTAGGTTCTGATGCAACTCCCAACTCTCCACCAGGCATGCAGATCTCTTGATAGGCTCACAGCACTCTGGCGACCTCTTGATTTCCTTATCTCCCCTGAAGCATCACTCCTGTCTTTTTTTTTTTTTTTTTTGAGACAGGGTATCACTGAGTCATCCAGGCTAGAATGCAGTAGTGCAATCATGGCTCACTGCAGCCTCCAACTCCTGGGCCCAAGTGATCCTAATGCCTCAGCCTCCTGAGGAGTTGTTTTCCTTTCTTTTTTCTTGTAGAGACAGGGTCTCACTGTGTTGCCCAGGCTGGTCTCGAACTCCTGGCCTCAAGCAATCTTCTCGCCTAGGTCTCCTCTGTCCTACTGCTGCTGGACTCACAGTGGCCCTGGGACCTCCTGTGACACCATTTCCTCTCCTGTTTTCATTCCCTCCTTTTGGTGGCGTGTGTTCCTGGGCAGAAAGCCTGCCCTGCATGATGGAAGTGGGTCTCCTGCCTCCGGTGCTAAGGGAGAGGGTGCTGGCCTCAGGGCTTCCAGCCTGCATTCCTTCCTCTTCTGAATTCCGTCAGGGTTCATCTCCTGGTTTCCATGTGTGCTGGAGGCTGAAGTTGATGCCTTTCTCATCCCAAGCCTCCCTGTGTGAGCTGGGCTTTTCATCCTTTTTTGGGAGTGTTTTAGACTTCTCATGTCTTGAGTGACCTCACATTTCACAGTGATGTTCACTGTGTAGATCTTTCGCGGTCCATTTTGCTGGGCACTGGGTGGGCCTCTCGGTCTGCAAAGTCATGTCTTTGAGTTCTGGGGCAGTTTTGTGAATTACTTCATTACTGAGATCCTTCCTTGTTTTCTTTTTGGAACTCTTACTTGCCACGTGCTGGGATCCAATAAGCTCAAAGAATTTCACACACAAAAACATAAGGACAAATACATCAGGATACATCATAATTTCCAAAACAACATTGTAAAAGAACAAAGCTGTAGGATCCATACTTTCAATTTCAAAACTTACTACAGAACTATAGTAATCAAAACAGTGTGGTACCACCATAAGGCCAGACACACAGATCAATGGAATAGCACTGAGTCTAGAAATGAGCCCATACATCTGTGAGCAACGGTGCCAGGCCATTCCATGGGGGGAGCATCGTCTCTTCAACAAGAGACGCTGAGACAGACAGACATCCACAAACTCCCATGTTAAACCATCTACAAAAATTGACTCAAAATCGAACAATGAGCTAAATCTGTACAGATCTTAGAAGAAGACATAGGGGTACATTTCCATGAACCTTGGATTTGCCAATGGATATGACACCCAAAGCATGAGCAACAGGAAAAAACAAACAAACAAATTTTGACTCCACCAAAACTAAAAACTGCCGTGCATCAAAGAACATTAAGAAAGTAAAGAGACCGGGACCAATGGCTCACGCCTGTCACCCCAGCACTTTGGGAGGCCGAGGTGGGCAGATCACTTGAGGTCAGGAATTCAAGACCAGCCTGGCCAACATGGTGAAACCCTGTCTCCACTAAAAATATTAAAAATTAGACGAGGCGCAGTGGCTCACACCTGTCATCCCAGCACTTTGGGAGGCCGAGGTGGGCAGATCACTTGAGGTCAGGAATTCGAGACCAGCCTGGCCAACATGGTGAAACCCTGTCTCCACTAAAAATATTAAAAATTAGACGAGGCGCAGTGGCTCACACCTGTCATCCCAGCACTTTGGGAGGCCGAGGTGGGCAGATCACTTGAGGTCAGGAATTCAAGACCAGCCTGGCCAACATGGTGAAACCCTGTCTCCACTAAAAATATTAAAAAGTAGACGAGGCGCAGTGGCTCACACCTGTAATCCCAGCACTTTGGGAGGCCGAGGCAGGCAGATCACAAGGTCAGGAGTTTGAGACCAGCCTGACCAACATTGTGAAACCCCGTCTCTGGTAAAAATACAAAAATTAGCCAGGCATGGTGGTACGTGCCTGTAATCCCAGCTCCTGGGGAGGCTGAGGCAGGAGAACTGCTTGAACCTGAGAGGCGGAGGTTGCAGTGAGCTGAGATCACGCTACTGCATTCCAGCCTGGGCGACAGAGAAAGACTCTGTCTCAAAACAATAAAAAATACGAAACACAAAAATTAGCTGGGCGTGGTGTTGGGAACTTGTAATCCCAGCTACTTGGGAAGCTGAGGCAGGAGAATAGCTTGAACCCAGGAGGTGAAGGTTGCAGTGAGCCAAGATCACACCATTGCACTCCAGCCTGGGCAACAGAGCAAGACTCCATCTCAAAAAAAAAAAAAGTAAAAAGATAACCTACAGAATGGGAGAAAATATTTGCAAGTCTTATGATAAGGGCTTAGTATCCTGAACATATAAAGAGCTCCTACAACTCAACAAAAAGACAACCCAATTTAAAAACAGGAGATGGATTCTCCCAAAAAATAACCAACAGGCATATGAAAAGATGGTCACTCAACATCACCAATGATTACAGAAAGGCAAATCAAAACCATAATGAGACACCTCTTCATACACACTAGCATGGCTATAATAATTTAAAACAAGAAAATAGCAAGTGTTGATAAGGACCTGGAGAAACTGGAACCCTCGGGCACTGTTGGTGAGAATGGAAATCGGTGTGACCAGTATGGAACACAGCTTGATGGTTCCTCAAAAAATAAACATGGACGCCGGGCGCAGTGGCTCACGCCTGTCATCCCAGCACTTTGGGAGGCTGAGGCAGGTGGATCACCTGAGGTCAGGAGTTCAAGACCAGCCTGGCCAACATGGTAAAACCCTGTCTCTACAAAAATACAAAAATTAGCCAGGCACAGTGGTGCACACTTGTAATCCTGGCTACTCGGGAGGCTGAGGCAGGAGAATCGCTTGAACCCAGGAGGTGGAGGTTGCAGTGAGCCGAGATTGTGCCATTGTACTCCAGCCTGGCAACAGAGCAAGACTCCATCTCAAAAAAAAAAAAAAAAAAAAATTAAACATGGAGTTACCACATTAACCAGCAATGCCACTCCTGGGTACACACCCAAGAAAAGTGAAAAGAGGTGTCCAGACATACTCGGCCATGAAGGTGCACAGCAGGTTACTCACAAGGGCTGAAAAGCAGAAACAACCAGGTGTCCATCACCGATAAATGAGGAACCAAAATGTGGTCTATCCACACAATGGCTTATTATTCGGCCACAAAAAGAAACCAAGTACACGTGCTCTGACATGCCTGAAAATACCATGCAAAGTGAAATAAGTTAGACACGAGGCCACAATTGTGTGATTCCATTTATATGAAATGTCCAGAACAGGGAAAACCTATTTTAGACAACAGAGACACAAAGTCGATCAGCAGTTGCCAGGGGAGGAGGAAGACGGGAGGGGAAATGATTGCTTCACGGGGTGATGACAGAATGTTCCAGAACGTGACAGAGGTGGTGCCTACACAACTTTCTGGATGTACTAAATGCCGCTGATTGTTCACTTTCAAGTGATTGATTTTTAGGTTATTTGAATTTCATCTCAATTAAAAAACCCAAACACGCAAACTGCTCCCGCCAGCTCAGCCCCGAGCAGACGGCGCAGCCCGTGGAGGATGCTGAGCCACCCAGGCTTCTCCCCGCCCCTTCCTGGACTCTTCTCTCTTTTGCCTTTAATCCACTCTGCGCAGTCATTGCCTGTGTTCATCCTACCTGGCCGACTTCTCTCTCAATATTTCCTTGGTGAAACATCCTAAGAGGAAGTTACATTAGAGAAAATCACATATTTCATCTCATAGGCCGTAAACAGGGCCATTTAGGAAGCCATGTGTTAACGAGGGGAGACGGATGCTCTGTGCCGTGTGCAGGGATAACGGTGCCAGGCCAGGCAGTTACCAATCACGCGTGTGTTTAGGGCTCAGGAAAGCGAAGGAGAAGTGGGCAAGGGTGGCGGGCCCGCTCCGCACCGCCCAGCGCTCCGGACTTCACTTCTGGTCCCGCTCCTGGGCGGCCACGAAGTTCAGCAAGTCAATGGCGGTGACCACCCCGAACACCATCTGCCGCTGACTGGACTTCCCGGTGCTGTGGTCTGAGGGGAGAACGAGGCAGTGGGTTTGCAGGTGCCGTGGGAGGCTGGGTGGGCTGCTGCGGGGCAGGAGGCTCCTGAGGGCCTGGGGCACCTGTGCACCATGGGGGCCCAGGGTGGCTGGAGCCCAGCGGCGAAGGCTGTGTTCCTTTTTTTTTTTCTGAGACAGGGCCTCACTCTGTCCCCTAGGCTGGAGTGCAGTGGTGCAGTCTTGGCTCACTGCAACCTCCACCTCCTGGGTTCAAGTGATTCTCGTGCCTCAGACTCCCGAGTATCTGGGACTTCAGGTGCACATCACCACACCCAGCTAATTTTTGTATTTTTAGTAGAGATGGGGTTTTGCCATGTTGGCCAGGCTGGCCTTGAACTCCTGACCTCAAGTGATCCACTTGCCTCGGCTCCCAAAGTGCTGGGATTACAGGCGTGAGCCACTGTGCCTGGCCAAGCCAGTGTTCTTCTGACATGAGCCCCATGAGCCCCCAGGCCAGGTTCTACCCACCACGTGAGTCCCCTGGGCCCCAGGCCAGGCTCCACCCACCGCAGGTCAGGACACACCCTTCCCTGGCCCACCGGCTGAGCTCCTGAGGCACTCATGACTTCAGAGCCGGTGTGGGCATGAAATTCAAACCCGCTTACAGGGCCGGGCACAGTGGCTCACACCTGTGATCCCAGCGCTGTGGGAGGCCAAGGTGGGAGGATCATTTAAGCCCGGAAGTCTGGGACCAGCCTGGGCAACATATTGAGACCCTGTCTCTACAGAATATTTTTAAAAATAAATTAGTCGAGCATGGTGGCACACGCTTGTGGTCCCAGCTACTTGGGAGACTGAGGCAGAAGGATCAGTTGAGCACAGCAGGTCGAGGCTGCAGCGAGCTATGATGGCACTACTGCACTCCAGTCGGCAACAGAGCAAGACCCTGTCTCTAAAAACAGACAAAAACCCCTTGCCACCATGGGCAGCACACAGCTTCCATCTCTGGCCTGATTCTGTCTTCACCCCTCCTGCTTTCTCCTGGCAAGCGTAGACCCGGTGTTAATGCTGGCCGAGGCTCCCATGCCACATACCCAGACAGGGCTGTTGTGATGGTTAATTTTAATACAGATTAACGGGGCCGTGGGAGCCCAGGCATTGGTCACACGTCGTTCTGGGCATGTGTGAGGGGATTCCGGATTAGCACAAGAGTCAAGAGGCAGATAACGTGTGCTACTGTGGAGGGCCTCACCCAAGCAGTTGAAGGCCTGAATAGAACCAAAGGTGGAATTTCCTGCCTTGGGGCTTGAACTGCTGGCTCTCCAGTCTCCGGCCTGCCGCCTCACCCTGCAGATCTCAGGGTTTGTCAGCCTCCGTGATCTCATGATCCAGTTCCTTAACACAGATCTCGTTCCCTCTCTCTCCCCGCTCCCCACACATCCTCTTGGTCCTGCGTCTCCACAGGACCCTACACCAGCTGTCATGAGGCACAGAGGGGTGAGCAAGGTGCGGGTGAGGAAGAGCCCTCGGAGCCCGTCCCAACTCCGCCACGGCTGTCACTCCTCTCTTTGTAGGCAGAGGTCCCTTGGGGTGGCCCACTTAGAGCCCCAGGAAAAGATAGGGAACACAGATGAGATCAGCTCCTTGCATTTTGGGGAAACGGAGGCACAGCAACTGTTGGAGAAGGGAGCCCTGGGAGCCCTGAGTGCCGCAGGCTTCTGTGGCCCTGGCAGCTCGGCCCAGAGTCAATGGACTAGGGCCAGCCAGGGGACTTTCCGACAAGGGCCAGCTGGTGGTATTTTAGGTCTTGGGGGCCGTGCCGTCTCTGTTATGAGCACGCAGCCCTGACGTGCTTGAAAGCAGCCACAGACGGTGGTGACAAGCGTGGACATGCTCCAGGAAGACTTGATTTGGGGACCCTGACATTGGAATTTGCATCTTTTTTTTTTTCTGAGATGTTCAAACACAAGTAAATGTGAGATTAAGAGGGGGATCCCTCCTACCCAAGCTTGGGGGTGGGTCCAGGACCCTGGAAGGCCTCCATTTGCCATGGGGAGGCTGTGAATCTGAGCCTGAGAGCCATTCTGAGGGGTGGGTGATACCTACCTGCAGGCCCCCCCACCACGCCTGCCCAGGCCTGGTCCTGCGCTGCAGAGCCAAGGACGGGAGATGGGGTTAGACTTGGGGCCCTCACGGACCAGCCTCAGCCACCGAGCGCTCACCCCCTGCACACAGGCCTGGTGGGTGGGCAGGCTCCAGGCTCCAGGGCCCCTCCCAACTCTTCCTGTGGGCCCCAGGCCCAGGGCTGCCATCTATGACCCAAAACCTGCGAGCGACTCTCCTGGCCTGTGGGGATGTGGTGGGGACGCCCGGGGATGCGCTCAGGAGTTGCAAAACCTCATGAGCTTGCTGGGAGCGGGGCTCTGAGGACAGCCCATCAGTGGCTCCTGTGAGACCCACATGAGGCTTCCATTCAGAGCAGCCCTCCGAATGCCAGGGTCAGGACTTGAAACCCTTCTAGATGTTTCTGGGCTTGTCCCTGAGAATCCCCAAGACTGCTGGCCTCCCCGGAGGCAAGGGGCCTGGACTCCTGAGCCTCTGCATGCTGGACAAAGGGCCCTACCCAGTGTGGCCTGATGAGGGGTCCCTGCAGGAATCACAGGTACAGCCCACCAGCCCAGGGCATGTGGGAGGCCCAGGCATAAAGACTGGGTGTCACTGAAGGTCGGCACCACCCACTCCCCTAACACCCCGCAGGGGATGGGGGGCCCAGCTGCTGCCCATGGCAGAGGCCAGGCTTGGTGGCCTGACCCCAGTGAGAACCCCACGCACAGAGCAGGGCCCCACTCACACTGGATCTGCTCGTGCACCACCAGGGCGAAGTGGTCCATCTCCAGGATGTGCGAGAGCCTGCCCAGCGTGTCCGTGAGGCGGATCTGCAAGGGAAGCGTGGTCAGTGGCAGGGGGAACATGGCCCCACGAGTTTTCTGTGGAGTGAGAGGGGATGCGATGGTGGGTCCTGCAAAGCCCACCCGGGAGGCAGTGGCAGCCGAACGTGGGAAATACGTGGATTCGGGTGACGTCTCGGGTGTGTGTGTGAGATGGGAAAGAAGTCGAATTCACTCCTAGGTTTGGGCAGAACCCTCAGCCTTTCCAGTGTCAAGAGCCACACCTGCATGTCCCAGGGGATCCGTGTGGAAGGTCACACAAACTTTCCTGGGCCACCCTCAGGGCAGCAGAGGGTGGGTGTCTCAGGACAACCACGGAGTCTGACCAGCCCGGCAAGGAGCCACCGTGGGCTTCTCCCAGAATGTTCTAGCTCTTGTTGGATAACCAAGTGCATGCACAGGCAAATGAGGCTGGGCAGGAGAAAGACCCCGGCAGACGCCGCATGGTGCCCGGGACAGCCTCTGAGCGCGAATGACCTCCTTAAGTCCCCAAAACACGGCTGGTGTGGATGAGCCTGCACTGATGAGAGCCTGCTCTCCGGCTGCTGCACTTGTAAAGTGGGTGCTTCTCAGCTTCATGGTTTGAGGGGTGCAGCCAGCTTCGGCCTAAGTGGTGTTGAGGGTCGAGGACCCAGCACCCCCACACGGGAAGCGCGGTGTCCCGCCTTCGAGGCTGGAGTACTCTGGCACCCTCTGGGGTCCCGAAGTGCCTGAGTACCTGTTTGAGCCGCGTGTAGGTGACTGCGCACCTGTTTGAACTGCGTGTAGGTGACCGCGCACCTGTTTGAGCTGCCTGTAGCTGACCGGGCACCTGTTTGAGCTGCCTGTAGGTGACCGCGCACCTGTTTGAGCTGCCTGTAGGTGACTGGGCACCCGTTTGAGCTGCCTGTAGGTGACCGCGCACCCGTTTGAGCTGCCTGTAGGTGACCGGGCACCCGTTTGAGCTGCCTGTAGGTGACCGGGCACCCGTTTGAGCTGCCTGTAGGTGACTGGGCACCCGTTTGAGCTGCCTGTAGGTGACCGCGCACCCGCTTGAGCTGCCTGTAGCTGACCGCGCACCTGTTTGAGCTGCCTGTAGGTGACCGGGTACCTGTTTGAGCTGCCTGTAGGTGACCGCTCACCTGTTTGAGCTGCCTGTAGGTGACCGCGCACCTGTTTGAGCTGCGTGTAGGTGACCGGGCACCTGTTTGAGCTGCCTGTAGGTGACTGCGCATCTGTTTGAGCTGCCTGTAGGTGACTGGGTACCTGTTTGAACTGCTTGTAGATGACTTTGCCAACTTGGTCTGACGGCTGCACCTTCCCGGCAAGCAGGGACGAGAGCATGTTCCCAAGCGTCACCATTCCCAGGATTACCCTGTGGGACGGGGGCAGGCAGGGGTCAGCGCTCATACCTCACCCCTCCCAGGACGGTGGGGCACACGCTCAGCTGCCCCAGGGAGGAGCGCTCTCTGGCCACACATGGAAGTCCTCTGCCACGAGCCTACACGCGGCAGGAACCAGTCTGGGCCCTGGTGGGGAGAAAGAAACCAAGAGTCCTTGGACCCGTTCAGCCAGGGTCAAGGGTGACCAGCCGTCAGGTTTCCGCGACGTGGGGCTCTCAGTGGTCACTGGGCATGTGTGCCAAGGCTTTCTGCTGTCAGACATGTCCTCGGGGCATCTCTCCCCTGACCTCCAGGTGGGCCCAGGACAGCCTGCACACAAAGGGTGGGTGGGCTGAGGTCTGAGGGCCTGGAGTGAGCACGGCAGCCCTGCCCCAGGCTGCTCAGGGACCGGCAAGGGGCCTCCAATGCCCTGAACGTCTGTATGAGGCGGCCCAGGCGGGCCTATCAGCCCAGCTGCAGGGTCTGCATGGCTGCCCTGTCCAGTGACACTGACGGGGTGGAGCTGGGCAGACAGAACCCAGGACTGAGCTCTGAGCAGGGGCTGAGACTGACCCCGCCTCATCCACCACGGGCGCCTGGTCGAAGCCCTTCTCCCGGAGGATCTCGATGGTGTGCCCACAGGTGATGGTCGGGAGCACGGTCAGCGGGGCTGACAGGCCCAGCTCCTGAACACGGAGGTGCCACCACCTGAGGGAAGAGGGCAGGTCGGGGGGATCAGGATAAGGACAAACGCTCTCGCACCCCCGCCGGCAGCACCTCAGCAGGAGGCCACAGGGACCGCTCTCCTGCCTGTCACACTGGGCAGGGCCAGCACAGGCCACGGGGACCGCTCTCCTGCCTGTCACACTGGGCAGGGCCAGCACAGGCCACGGGGGAGTGCTCTCCTGCCTGTCACACTGGGCAGGGCCAGCACAGGCAGCGGGTCTCCGGCCGAGCGGTCTTACCAGGGCTTCTTCTCCGTGAGGTCCTCCTCCTTCAGAAAGCCCTTCTGCAGCATCCACCTGTCGCTCAGGAACTTGGTCCTGCGGGATGGGGGAGTCACCGAGTCCCCGCAGGGCCCCACCGGGCCCCCGCCCCTGCTGAGTGGCACGCACTGCCTGCCCAGCCCCTCTCCTGGACCTCACTGGTGCAGCAGAGACCCCCAAGTGCTGGCTGGAAGCCCCAGGGGGAAGCCTGGGGGCTGGACTTCCCGCCCCCATGGCCAACAAGCGTGTGTGAGCATGCACACAGCCATCGCTCAGGCACTCAGATAAACACGTCCTCTCATGCTCGCTCTCTGCCCCTCACACACTCACACGCACAGGTACACATGGCAGGCTGGCCAAGTATGTGGGGAGATGGTGTTCTTGCACTGACGGGGGTGGGCAGGAGCCCTGCACAGGGCATCTTGACCCTGGGCACCAGATGTGAATCACCCCACACTGGGGAACCCAACTGGGGGCACCCACCAGCCAGGCCTGGCCCTCCAAGGGCAGCTGAGCTCTCGGGAGCTGTGTAGCCGCTGCAGCTTGCAGGCCATGGAGGAAACCCTGCAGGTGCAGGGGACAGGGCATGGGGGTCTGTAGACACCCGCCCTGGTACCGCCTCCGGAGACCAGGTGCAGAGCAGCGCCAGTCTCAGCCTGGCTGCCCGGTGACCAGCGAGGTCTGTGGCGTTACTGTCCGAGGGGCCTCTGGGCAAAACAGTCACAGCAAGTCCTAGGGGGCCACCTGGGCAGCACTCGGTCCCAATCTGGAGTTTGGGGGAAGCAGCAGAGGGAGTCAGGGTGGATAGGAGGTGGCACAGGGCCCGGCCCAAGAGGACGTCAGTCCATGTGGCCAGGGCTACCCGTTGGAGCTCACGGACCCCAGAGCAGTGAGGGGGACAGACACCAGAGAGGAAGGGACAGGAGGGACAGAGAGGGAGCCACCGTCTTTCATGCCCCTCCTGTCAGGGCTGTCACTGCGAGTGTGCATTGATTTTCACAGCATTAAGAGGCTGGGAAGCCCCACAGCGTGAGGGCACGTGGGCAGGAGAGTGGAGGCGGTGCTCACAGGGCCCCGCTGGCCTCCTCCCCTCCCAGTTCTGGCTGCCGGTTCTCAGGTGAGGCGTGAGAGGCATCCAGGGAAGGGTGGCAGGATGGAGAGGAGCAGGGACCTGGGAGGGAAGCCGTGTCTTACATGTAGTTCCGCACTGAGTCGGGCAGAATGACCACGCAGCGCTGGCCCTCCTGCAGCTCCTGCGCGGCCTTCACGGCCACCGCCACCGTGCTGCCAGCACTGCCACCTGCAGAGAGGGCCACGAGTCAGACGCGCCAGGGTGAGCGTGCGTGGGTGCACACGTATGCATGAATTGTGCACGTGCACGCATGGGAGCATGTCAGACACACTCCGAAGGATCCGTCAAGAGGGGTTGCCTCGGGGAGAGGGGCTGGGAGGACCCCACTTCTCCGTGAGCATCGGCTTCTTCCTTGTGCACCATGGAGTTTCTGTGTCCACTCGGGGCTTCATAATGAGCTGGGGTGGGCACTGGTGCCAGGGAAATGCCTGCAGTGGGGCTGCGGCCCCTGGCAAACCTCCTGGCCCTGAGCCTAGAGCCAGCGATGCTACGAGGACGGAGCCCCCAGCACCACGCCTGCAGGCTGCCTGACTGCACACTGGGCTCTGCTTTATAAACAAGAGACCAAGGCTCACAGTGACACCAGCTGTCCCTAGGAGCCCTGAAGTCAGAGTCAGAGGCGTCTTCTCTGGGCTTAGTTTGAGGGTGCACACAGCAGTCGGGAAGGTCTAAGTCTGCAGTAGGAGCCCCCACAGGAAGAGAGGCACCCTCCTCTGTAACGGGGCCCATGGACCTGCTTTCCAGCCCCAAAGGCAGGGGCTTGTTTCTCCACCAACATGGGGAGCAGGGAGACTGAGACAGGGAGAGCCCAACGATTATGGGCACCAAGTCACCTTTCGTGACAGATTCATCTGGAAAATGCTTTTCTTTTCTTTTTTTTTTTTTTGAGATGGAGTTTTTGCTCTTATCACCCAGGCTGGAGTGCAATGGCGTGATCTCGGCTCACTGCAACCTCCACCTCCCAGGTTCAAGCAATTCTCTTGCCTCAGCCTCCCGAGTAGCTGGGATTACAGGCATGCACCATTACATCGGCTACTTTTTTTTTTTTTTTTGGTATTTTTAGTAGAGACGGGGTTTCTCCCTGTTGGCCAGGCTGGTCTTGAACTCCTGACCTCAGGTGATCCACCCGCCTCGACCTCCCAAAGTGCTGGGATTATAGGCATGAGCCAACGCGCCTGGCTGGGAAATGGTTTTTCAATCAAGACTTTCTTCCAATCTCTAGTTTGGGGCTCAGCTAACGGGGGACTTGGCCATGCTGAGGGCTGGTTTCCTTCCACTTTCCCTGTCACCACCCCCAAAGTGACATGACACACGGAATGCACATGTAGAAACCTCACATGTCCCTGCCTGCGTTTTAGAAGCTGGTGTGTGCTCTCCGAGTCCCCAGAGGTCTAGATCAACTGTGGTCCCTACAGGGCCTCTGCTGCCTGTGTGGCTAGTCAGTGGCATTGCCAGCGGCCACCTGGTCTGTCCACCCCCAAGCAGGTGGGCAGAGGGGCACGGGGTAGGAGGAAGGTGAGCGGGGTCGAGCTGGACAGCCTCAGGCTCCAGTCCCCTCCCCAGCTGCTCCAGGGTGCTCGCAGCACCCAGTCCCGGCCATGGGCCCCGTCAATGCAGAGCCACCGCCCCAGGGGCCCTGGTGGACTTGATTAGAAACAATAAGTGCCATGAGAGCTTCAGCCTTGTTCTAGAAACACATTCTGGAAGGCAGCTCGAAGCCCCGCCCCATGGCCTCCTGCCCTCACCTGAGCAGGTGACCACACTGGGCAGGCAGACAACACCTGAGGCTCGTGGCCGCCGCAGTGACACTCCTCAGAACTGCTGTCTTACACATGCAGGTCGGTGGCTGACTGAGGGTGCGCCCCCAGCCATCCCCAGTGCCCCCTAGCCATCTCTGCCTTCCCCATACCCCCGTGCCCGCCACCCACTCACCGCACAGCAGCCCCTCTTGCGCGATCAGCATGCGGGCAAAGGTGAACGCCTCCTCATCGTTGCTCTTGAACCACTTGTCCACCACCTGAGCAGGACCCCACCACAGCCCGTCAGCGTGGGAGCCGCTCCCACGTGACCAAGAGGGTGAACAGCCTCATGGTGGACCCCGTGTCTAGGCGGTAGGACCCCAGAGGTCTCACCCCAGCCTCTCCCCCTGGGATCGGCACGTCTGCAGACTTTCCAGTTCCAACACGTTTTGCAGACAGCAAAACTGCCCGCCAGCCCCACTGAGCATCCGTGTGACCCACACCGGCCCTTCGGTCTCTGCTCTCCCTCAGGCCAAAGTCAGCTTTTTGGCTCTTAACAGACTTTTCCGGGGCCTTAATTTTCACACGTTTTCCCTGCTCCCTGCCTGTGCCACCTGGGCTACATCCCTTGGTGAGGTCAGGCCACGTGTGCGGACATCGTCCCCCAGTCTACTTTGTCTCGACCTTCGAGACCAGCTTCTCACCATGCGTGCGGGGCTTGCCCTTCTGTTTCAGTGGAGAAGCTGGTTGGGGCCCAGGGTCAGCCAGGCTCCCCAGTGTGAGGGTGAGTTACAGGCTGCACCGGCACTGTGGCCGGGCTCTGGACTCGACCTACCGTCCTGTCCAGCACCGTGGGGATGAAGTCGTAGCCGATCCCTTCCACCTCGTAGGTTGTCTGCTCCGTCTGGTTCAGCTCCTCCGGCTCTGCGAGGATGGACCCTTCGGGATCCACCCCAATGATCTGCAGAGGGCGCGGCTTCAGGGCTCAAGGCCAGCAAAAGCCCCGCCTGGACATGCCTCGATATTCTATTATGGGAGTGGCCAATACCGCCGTTAACAACTGCCTGTTAATGATCTGCCTGTGGGTGGTGGCCTGTTCCCAGCCTCAGAGGCAGGATGAGAAACCCAAGAACCCAGGCTCCAAGTATTAAAGCGGTAATGACCTAAATGTTCAGTGCAGGGCGCTCAGAAGTAAAGGCAGGTGCCTGGGAGGAACTGACCTCCCCGGGGTGCTTCTCGGAGCGGGGCCCCCAGGACAGTCCAGACAGACCACCCTGCGGCGGAGCAGCAGAGCCTTTGGGGACAAAGGGCATTGCTGGGCAGTGACGTCTTTTTCAAGGGCAAGCAACAGGGAGAGAACGCCCTTGTCTCATCAGCGGGACCTTTCTAGGCACCCGTCCTCAGACCTGCTCTTAACCCCGAGTCCAGGAACCCTCTCCCAACTCCCACAAGCCCCAGTTGAGGGGCAGACTCAGGACCAGAGGACTTAGAGCTCCTGGCTGATCCTCAGAGGCCCCCAGTTGGAACTCCGACCCCCCACTCAGCGCAGGAAGGTTCTCCAAGACACTGGCCGGTGAGCGAGCACCCAGCCCCAGCTCCTTCGGGTCACGAGCTGCTGGTCCCTTATGTGTCAAGCACCCTTGTCTTCCCAAACACCTCCCAGGCAGCGCAGAAATACCGCGGGAGACAGCGTGCTGAGCAGACCGTGAGGAATGACAGCTTTCAGCTCAGAAGCCGGGGCCACTCCGCACTGCCCCTCTCCGGCCCGGCCACACCACTCACCCTGCATCCAGGACACTTCTCCTTCAGCTTCCTGGCAATGCCCGTGATGGTGCCGCCCGTGCCCACTGAAGCCACCAGCATGTCCAGCTTCCCTGGTGGACGGATAACATTCTTGGGTCCCTGCCTGGCCAGCCCATCACTCATAGTAATAATCATTGAAAACACACTCAGCCCAAACCACGGTGGGTAACCAAAAAGTTCAAAAGAAAAACTTCTTCTCCAGTTGGAGCAGCCCTCGTTGCTGCCCTTGGTCTGTGAAAGCCTCAGAAACAGGCAGCCTGGGGCACCCCAGCCCAGTCTTTGCTCAGTGACACTCGACCCCTAAAACCCCCATTTGGCTGGATGCAGAAAGACAGGACCCTGTCCGGGGGGTGCAGGCGCTGAGGGCGGGCAGAGGGAGGCTGTGAATTAACCACCTCCGTGGGCTGTTGGATGTTTGCGTGGTGTGAGTGAGTTAACTGAATTTACACAGGAAATGGAATCAGTCTTTTAGGCTTCAGCGCAGAAACTCGCTGGGCGCTCACACTGCTGGCCGCCAGCGCGGGCATCTGGTGGAGAAGTCACAGCAGGGAAAGACTCAGCGAGACGGAGCAGCTTGGGCACCCATGCTGAGACAGGACTGTTTTTGCCAAATGAGAGAGTTCTCACACATAAAGCCCAAACAACCAAATGCCTGGACCTTACAGCCCGGCTCCTGGGCACGGACTGAGGGTGTACTCCAGCCCATGCCAACACCGGATTCCCAATAGGAAGCCAGGGCGCCAACCTCTTGGCAACTTATCTCTAAAGGGATCTCTTGGGAAAACCTCAGTACCAACCCCCACAGGCCTTGGCACCGAGTCCCTGGAAAAGGGCCCAAGGAGCCGGCCTCATGCTTGTAACAGAGAGTGAGCTCATCGCAGATGTCACCAGCTCTGTTCTGCAGATGAATTTGATGCCGAGTCAGGGCATGATCCCAAATGAAGTCCAAGCTGTGAGCCCAGCACCAGCCTGGGCCCTGAACAGACTCGCTGTCTGCATTATCTGCAGGAGGAGCCCCTGCAGACCTGCAGAGATTGCTGGGTAAACAAATACAGCCATGCCCTGTGTTTGCTATTACAGGTAAACCACAGGCGGAGGCCAAGAGGGCACAACGGAGGGAGGAAATTGTTCTAGAGAAATGCTCTAGAAAAGCATTTCACAGAGGGAACATTTGAGCTGGGTTCTGAAGGGTGAATAGGAGTTCACCAAGGAGAGGGCAAGAGATGTGTACACTCCCAGGCAGCCAGGGATAAATGCAATCAAGATGGACAGAGGGACGCACCATCACACTGCTGCAGGATCTCATCAGCGGTGGTGTCGTAGTGAGCCAGGGGGTTGCTGGCGTTGCGGTACTGCATAGAAAGAGAGCAGAGCCCGTGAGCTGACCCCTGACACCTCAGTCACCCCCACATCCCTGACCGAGACCCTCCTAGGGAATGCCTGTCTCCAGGCCCCAGGTGCCTCACCTGGTCTAGGATGTGAGAATTGGGGATTTCGTTCTTCAGCCGCCAGGCCACCCCCACGTGTGACTCCGGGGAGTCGAACCTGGCATTGGTGGGCGTCCTCACAATCTCAGCCCCCAGTGCCCGCAGCACGTCCACCTGCAGGAGGGAAAGCGGTGGCCTGCACCTTCCGCCTGGCCCAGGCACCCTCATCCCCTGCCCTATGACCCCGCCCCTGGCCACGCCCACCCACCTTCTCGGAGCTCATCTTCTCTGGCATCACGATGATGCAGCGATAGCCCCTCACTGCCGCAGCCAGGGCCAGCCCGATCCCTGAGGGCACACAGAGGGTGAGAGGGGCCCAGTGACCCCCCAAGCCCTGCCCCGCCCCTGCCTGGGACACAGGGGCACACCCCGATGCCGGTTCCCTTAGGGCCCAGGGAAGAGGGTTCTGTGGGATTCCAAAATTGCCCAACATGGCTGCTTCTGCCTTCAAGTGCAGGGGGAGAGAGGCTGCCAGAGGCAGAAATAAAAGGTACACGTCAAGGAGGAGGAGGCAGCGGCGCAGGACAGGAGATCTGGTTCCTCCAGGCCCAGCCGGGTACACAGGCACAGGAAGAGCAGACTCCGGGTGCTCGTCTTGTGTGCCAGGCACTGCCAGGTGCCATCGCCCCGAGAGCATCGGCACTGGCCCCGAATGCTGGTCAAAGGAAGCTAGGTTGGGACACAGGCCGGCAGCGGGTGCAAGATGCCAGGGAGCAGGCGGCCAGGCGGGCCAGCACATGCGGCTGCAGCTCAGCCATCCCCCCCGGGTCCCGGCAGGCTCGGCATGGGTAGGGGACAGCCAGCCCTGGCCACCCCCTCTGGGCCTGGCACCCACCGGTGTTCCCGGATGTCGGCTCGATAATCGTGTCCCCGGGCTTCAGCGTCCCGTCGCGCTCAGCATCCTCAATCATCCGCAGGCTGATGCGGTCCTTCACGCTCCCGCCCGCGTTGAAGAACTCACACTTGGCCACTGGGAGGCAGAGATGAATCACAGAGGGGACCCCCTGACCACCCCCCCATTGATTCCTGCTCACCCCCCCATTACCTGATACACCCCAGGGTGGGGGACGGGCTTGGGGGTCTGTGGGTTCTGAAAAATTGCCACCTCTCCACTCACCTCCCCTACACCTGCACCTGGGCACTAGCCTATCAGAGCTTCTCCCCCTGCAGCCCATCCTACCGGTCCTGCAGGGCGCTGAGCAACTCTGTGGGAACCAGAGAGGCATAAGCAGCCCTCACTGGGGGGCGCCGCAGAAAACCCCGTCCCCCCACCCACGAGCTGGGCTTGTGGCGGGCAGGCGCCTGGATTTGGGTCCCCTACGCCCCTATGCCCAGCCATACCCAGCGGCCCCTGCCAAAGCAGCTTGATGTCCTGAAGCCACAGCACTGGCTTCCCCATCGGATGGGGACTCGCATACTCTCCCTACAGCCTCCCATTGTCCTCCTCCCCCTGTGGGGCGTCACCTGCCCGGGGAAGGGCTCCCTGCGCGGTTCCCGCACAAGGCCAAGGCCTTCACTTGCACTTCCTTCCTTACTGCAAGTCCTCTCTCCCTCTCCAGCTCTTAAAAATATTTAGTTTTTAAGAGCGAGAGACTGGGCTGCATGAAATGTGATTTGAGGGACCTGGGACCAGCCTGCAGCACCTCAAAATTTCTGAAAGCAACCACCAGACAGGTGTTGCCCCTAGAACCAGGACGAGGCGCTGTGTGTGGTGGGGAGGACTCTCGGGGTCTGGCCCTCTACAGGCCTGCATTCTCGGACCCCTCTGGGTCCCATACTGTGAAACCCTCAGTTAGATCATTCTCACTAGCGCCTGGGGGCCAGCTCCGAAGCAGAAATCAGAGCTGGTGGCCTCCGGCAAGCCACGTGACCAACCTGACCCTCGGTGTGTCTGTCTGTAAAACGGGCATTCCAAAACCTACTTCAAGGGCAACCACCAAGTTTAGACGTCATCCTGTACGGAGCACAGTGAGCCAGCCACGCGTGCTGCGTACGAGTTAAGGGTCCCTATTGTCTGACAAATGAGCACAGAGCCGGCCCTGCTGCCTTGGGGGTCTCTGTGAAGGGGGCTGCTCTGCTGCAGCTCCGAGATCTCCTTCCCTAGAGGGGGGCAGAGGAGGGCCAGGCTCCCACGAGGCCCCTCCTGTGAATCGGCGATCGGTTCCCAACGCACCGACCCCTGACTTCCTTCCCCCAGCGCCTGCCCCAGCTCTCACAGGTCCCCCGGCTGGGACATTAGAGCATCTCAGGATGAAAAAGTCCCAAGCCATGTTACTGGTTCCCTCTCCTTCCCACTCGAACTCCACCCCCTCCATCTGGCCCTGTCGCGGGGTTCTCCGCGGCACCCTTCCTGCCTCCCTCCGAACTCACTTGGCCTTGGTCATCTGAAATACGAAATTCCGTCCCCGCCTTGTCCCCAAGGCCTCTGCACCCACAGCTTTCTCTGTGACGATGCTGAGGTCTACCAGGGCTCTGCGCTCTTGGTGAAGAGCGACCCTTAGGAATTCCCTCCACGTTCTTGAGCCTGGAAACTGCGTCCTGCAAAGAAATGCCCTTCCCCGGAGGCCTCAGACCACACCTCAGGTGACCCCCTGCGCACCCAGGACGAGGCCAGCCACAGACCCTCCAAATTCCCATTCTCTGTCTCATAAATGATGAGCTGAACTATCTGTCCCCACGAAGCTGGCAAGACAGAGGTAACCGCTCCCTGGACAGCGGGTGGCTCACAGCACGTGCTAGGACCCGTCCACTGCTCCTTAGCAGGCATGACGCTAACCCTCCCCACCTGCTTGCTTCTGCCTTTGACCCTCACCCGGCCCTTCACACCCTCGCTGCTTCCACTCCGGCCTCAGTTCAAAGGTCACCTGTTCGTTCCCTGGTCCATCTGCTGGGGAGTCACTTTGGTCACCCTCTGACACAATGCCCTGTTGTGTGTTTTTCCCAAACTTAAGCTGATATGTTCTTGGCCACTCATTAACCAGCGAGTTTTCTGATCCCAGGGCCTTGCCTAAGGGATCCATCCCAGGACCCCCCAGGACCCCCCAGGCCCACGGAGCCCAGTGTAGATGGAGGAAGCCCCTCTCCAAAGCCAGGGCACTCACAGAGCTCACACTTCAGGCCGAACTTCTTCCCAATCTTGTTGATTCTGACCATAGGGGTGTCCCCGATTTTCTTCAGAATATCTGGCAAGATTTTTGGAGATTTTGCCCTGAAACAGAGGAGTCCACAATTATTCAGGAAAAAAAAAAAAAATAGTACCAGCCCTGGCAGACATTGTCTTACACAAATCAACACTCGAAGAACTGGAAAAAAAAAAAAAAAAAAAAAAAAAGAACTGGCTTTATCTGGGTGGTGGTTACACAAATCTGTACACAGATACACCTAACACACATCCCACACACACGCCTGAAACACACATACACACACATGCTTAGACATACAAATCTATAAAAAGCAAATCATGCCTGTGGTTTATTTGCACCAATGCCAGCTTCCCAGGTTTGAAAATGAACCTACAGTCGTGGCAGATGTTGTTAGTGGGAAGCTGGGAGAAGGGTACAAAGGATCTATTATTTTTGCCACTTATTGTGAGTAGTAAATTATTTCCAAATAAAAAAGTTAAAATAAGCAAATACTGACTCCAAAACAAAGGTTTAGGTCCACCTTTTCAGAAAGGCTTTACTGGAGATGACATTTCCTTTCATCTCTCAGCATGTGACCATAGGAAGCAAAAAAGTGTCAGGGCAGAGACTCCTTAGACCAGGGACAATGGCTGCAAAGCGCAGGCGGGATGTCTAGCCCTGCACAGAAAATGTCAGGCACGTGGCAGACTCAGAGCCCCGGCAGAGGCGCTGTCGGCCAGGCTCGTGATGCCCTGCCCTGCAGCATCTGGCTGTGTAAACCCTCAAACCCTGGTCCAGGTGGTTTCCTAAATGGCCCTCATGCCCCTGCCATCCTCCCCCAGGGAGATGCTGATGACACCCCCTATCTATCTGCACCAAGCTCACCACATACTCATCTGGGAACACGCATGGCTTACAGCGGTCTCCAGACCCGCAACCCCTCCCTGGGCCTTGCAGCTCCGATGACACCCCGTGGCTAACCCTGGGCCCCCTCTTCAGCACAGTCACCTGCTGAACAGCCAGGGTCCTTGGGTCCTGCCCCCCAGGAGGCGACCCTTAGACCTGGGGTGAACCCAGCTCCCAGAGGTCCTGTGCCATGGAGGGAGTGCCACATTTGCAGGGAGAGCTACCCTGAAGGCCAAAACAGGCGCCAACAAGAGCAGCTGGAATCCAATCGCACCCTTCCCGGGGAGCAGAAGGCAGTCCTGCCAGGTCCCCAAACTGTACAGGGGCCAGGGAGGTTCCCTCAGAAGCAGTTCTCGGCAGAAGGGAACCAGGCTTGGCAGGTGTAGAGAGCCAGGGCCAGGTGGAAAGCCAAGCCCCAGGGTGACAGCGCCGGGGATTAGTTCATTAATTCAGTTCGGGCATCTGGCCAGCCAGGCGGGAAGAGTCCCGCCTCCCTGCAGCAGGTGTGCTGACTCAGCACTGGGCCTCGGTGGCTGTGAAGTTACCTGAGAAGTTTGCAGAGGTGATCAGGGCCAGGCCCAGAGCGCTTAGCAAGAAAAAGGATGTGACTTGCAGGGATAGCCCTGGAGCCCCTTATCTCAAGGACTCCCACTTCCACAGCCCAAGAGGCTCCTGGGAGGACACGCCACTGTCCTAGAATGAACCTCCAACTCCTGACCCACCTCTGCAGCACCTCCCCGCAACGCCACTATTCTCAGGGGCCCTCCGACTGGAGACAAGCGGCGTCGGCTCTGCGTCTCAGGATGGGGGTGTCTTCGGAGGATGAATGAGGCCAGTATGTGAGGTGCAGGTGCAACGCCATTTACAACCTGGAGGGCATCGTCTCCTTCTCATGCCCTAGAGTTAGGAGCTCACGGAGCCCTCAGGAATCGGGCCTGTCTTCCCTGCCCACTCCACCCTCCAGCAGCCACTCCCGACCTCACCGGGCCTCTCACCCACTGCTCTCTTGGGTTTGTCTTGGCAGCAAGAGCCCATCCTCCTGGCTGCCCACACATCTGCTTGGCCTCCTGAGCTCCCAGCACTGAGTATGTTTGACACTCAGACCTTCTGGGTTTGTCCACTGTCACTTCTTTCTTTCTATTGCTGCACTGAGAGTACACCCAGCCACCCCCACCCATTCTGAACTGTAAATCAACAACCATAAACGCTGGTAGTGGTGGACACAAAATAGGAATCATAATCCCAGCACTTTGGGAGGCCGAGGCGAGTGGATCAACTGAGGTCAGGAGTTCAAGACCAGCCTGGACAACATGGTGAAACCCCATCTCTATTAAAAGCATAAAAATCCACCGGGCGTGCTGGCACATGCCTGTAATCCCAGCTACTAGGGAGGCTGAGGTAGGAGAATCGCTTCCCGGGAGGCAGAAGTTGCAGTGAGCTGAGATCGCGCCACTGCACTCCAGCCTGGGTGACAGCGAGACTCTGTCTCAAAAAAAAAAAAAAAAAAAAAGGAATCAAACATCTAAGAAGCACATTCTTTGATCTATTTGTTCTCCTCCAAGATTACACTAAGGAAATAAAGATAATCCTAAGGCTTAGTGAGCTTGATTTCAGTTTCATGCTGGGGTAGGGATTTTTGTTGATTTGTCTTTTCCACTGATAGATCTTCTGCGCCTTGAGCAGGGCACGAAATGCACATGGCGCTGAGGAAAGACTTGTTGGCTAAATGAATGTGTCGTATCTTCTATTGCAGTTATGTAAAATGAGGTAACTGCAAACATCTATCTACCCCGTAGAGGGCTTACAAAATGATGGCTTCTTCACCGAACAGTCTGTGCCACCAGAAAAACAGCCCTTATGGAAAAATATGTAATGCCTACGGGAAGTCTTCATGACCTAGAGTTAACGGAAAAGTGCAGGCTGGGCCGGGCGCGGTGGCTCACACCTGTAATCCCAACACTTGTGGGAGGCCAAGGCAGGCGGATCACTTGAACCTAGGCATTCAAGACCAGCCTGGGTGAAACCCCATCTCCTAAAAATACAAAAATCAGCTGGGTGTGATGGTGGGCACCCATAGTCCCAGCTACTTGGGAGGCTGAGGTGGGAGGATCCCTTAACTGGGGGAGATTGAGGCTGCAGTAAGCCATGATTGCACCACTGCACTCCAGCTCGTGTCTCAAAAAAATAAAAAATAAATAAATAAGAGAGCGCAGGCAGGATCCTGGTCCCTCACCTCCAGTGAATGTGCACACGCAGCCACAGACCGGGCAAAGCATGTGACCTGGGCACATTTATTTATTTATTCTGGAACTACTTGCTGAGCATCCACTGTCTTGCCAGGCACTGGCCTAGGCGCTGGGCTGCAGCGTAAGGAGGCCTTGGCCTCTCAGAGCCTCATCTACACGGCATGGCCCCACCCCCAGCTCCTCAATCCAGAGTGACTACAGGGGGTTACACCTCATGTCCTCCTGGCTGTGTGGTGTCCAGGTAACAAACTCCTGCCCTCCAGGTTATGGATCAGCCCTCTTGTGATCAAAAGCAGGACTTACGGGGCAGTGTGGTGATGTGGGGACTCGGAGGCAGGCCGGCCCAGCTGCCAGGTGCACCTGCTCGGAGCATCGGGCCGGATCCACAGGGGCTCCTTGGCTTCCTTATCCTCTGGGGACCCCTTCTCCAGGCTCCCCTTCGCCGAGTGTGGCCCTGAGCGGTGGGGGCAGCCTGTGGGCCCCACTTCTGCCTGGGGGGTCTCAGAAGGCATGCTGGGACCTGGCAAAGCAAGGAGAGAGGCGTCGGTTCAGGCTCGGATGCTGTGGGGTTCCAGCGAACCCTGCTGACCCGGCCCCCTCTGGGAGGCGTGCTCTGCTCCCTCAGAGAAGCCCAGGAAGAACTGCACAAAAACACAGGCACCAGCCCTGTGGGCAGCCGCTTGGCCATTTCTCTCCTATAGGCATATACCAAAAAAAATGGAAGCAGACAGTTGCTTGGGCCGGGTGCGGTGGCTCACGCCTCTCATCCCAGCACTTCGGGAGGCTGAGGCAGGAGGACCACTTGAGTCCACGAGGTCAAGACCAGCCTGGGCTCCAGCCCCATCTCTATTTAAAAAATAAAACAACAACAACAAAACAGATGCTTGCACACCCATGCTCACTGCTGCACTATTCACAAGTCAAAACGTGGAGGCAGCCCACGTATCCGCAGACGGATGAACACACACAGTAGGCTCATACACACACTAGAATATTACTCAGCCCTAAGAGAAATGAATTCTGGCACACGCTACAACACGGACGAACCTTCAGGACATTATGCCAAGCGAAATGAGCCAGACACAAAAGGACAAATACTGTGTGATTCCACTTCCACGATGAGGCACCTGGGACTCTCGAACGCCCCTCTATGTCTGGCAAATTCATAGAGATAGAAAGTAGAATAGAAGCGGCCAGCGGCTGAGGTGAGTGGGGAAGGGAGGGTGATTGTTTAATGGGTGCAGAGGTTGTGCTGGGGATGATGAAAACGTTCTGGGTGGAGATAGTCACGGTGGTTGCCTCACACTTAGAAATGGTTACAGTGATCAGTGTTACGTGTATTTTACCCAGGATTAAAAACACACACACGCACCTGAAATAGATGAGACAGAAAAAAAAAAGAAGAAAGCAAAAAGAAAGCCAGGCGAGGTCCCATCTGCTGCCCCTCCTCTGGGGGGACAAGGAACCCACGACCACCTCCCACCTTGCCTTCTTCAGAGGGCCCAGGACTGGGCTCAGCCCCGCTTCACCCTCCTTTGATTCCCCACATTCAACAGGAAGACTAAGTCCACAGCCGTCACTCACCGGACAGATGGTGCTGACAGTTCAGCACCGCTCAAACTCTGTAAGGAGACGTGACAACAGAATCTGTCATGGGATCCTGGAATAGAAAAGGGCAGTGAGGAGAAAACTCTGCAAATCTGACTCAAGCGCGGACTTTGGTTAATGTCAACAATGGTTATGTGATCGTGGAATTGGCTCATTAATTGTAACAAATAGGCCGGGCGCGGTGGCTCACGCCTGTAATCCCAGCACTTTGGGAGGCCGAGGCGGGCGGATCATGAGGTCAAGAGATCGAGACCATCCTGGCCAACATGGTGAAACCCCGTTTCTACTAAAACTACAAAAATTAGCCAAGCATGGTGGCGCACACCTGTAGTCCCAGCTACTCGGGAAGCTGAGGCAGGAGAATCGCTTGAACCCGGGAGGGGGAGGTCAGTGAGCCGAGATCGCGCCACTGCACTCCAGCCTGGCAACAGAGCGAGACTCCGTCTCAAAAAATAAAAATAAAAATAAAAATAAAAGAAAATAAATAAAGTAACAAATATACGACATCAGTTTAAGATCTTAATAACAGGGGAAACTGGGGGAACTCTATCTATTTTTTCAATTTTTCTAAATCTAAAACTGCTCTTTTTTAAATTTTCGAGACGGAGTCTCCCTCTTGTTGCCCAGGCTGGAGCAGTGGTGCGATCTCGGCTCACTGCAACCTCCACCTCCCGGGTTCAAGCAGTTCTCCTGTCTCAGCCTCCTGAGTAGGATTACAGACGCCCGCCACCACATCCGGCTAATTTTTGTATTTTTAGTAGAGACGAAGTTTCACCATGTTGGCCAGGCTGGTCTCGAACTCCTGACCTCAGGTGATTCGCCCGCCTAGCCTCTCAAAGTGCTGGGATTATAGGAGTGAGCCACCCCGCCCGGCCTAAAACTGCTTTTTTTTTAAAAAGCCTATTAAAAAAGAAAAAGTTGCGGAAGCCGGCTGCCTTTGGAAGCCCTTGGAGTATGCTGTTCAGGTGGTCTCTGCGCACAGGCCCTACCCAGGCCTCAGCTTGGCCTCCTGGACTTCCCAGCCTCCCCTCCACCTTTGCAATTCACCAGACTGGGGGCCAAAGCGGCTTCAAACGACCCTGGAGGGTGGTGCTTTCAAGGTCTTGGGACCACGGACTTGTCTGAAAATCCGAAGGCGTTGGATCTTCTCTTCCCCAGAAAAATGCACCCGCTTTCAGAGGTTCGTGTCCCACGCTTTTCTTTCTATCCCAACCTTGTAAGAAGCCGCCGCCGTGAGCGGAGCAGCACCTTCCTCCGCGGGTCGCGGGAGTCACCTACGGGAAGGGACTCTCCGTCTGGCACAGGCCCTGTCTGGCCTGGGGCGCGCATGCTCCGCCGCCGAATCTTCCAGAAAGCCGTGGACCCGAGGCCCCGGCAGACGCAGGCGGCCCAGCGCCTTGCTTTTGGCCCCTCGCCTCGCCCTGGAGCCCTCTCTCGCAAGGTAAGGGACTGCCGGGAACGCAGATCGCAAGCCGTCGGGGCTCTGTAGAACTCAGAGGCGCTCGGCGGAAAGCTCGCCAGGCGACCCAGACCCGAACCCGCGGGCTCCCCAAGACAACAGCGCCGGGCGGCCGGATGCACGTGCGTCCCGGGAAGGCGGGTTCAGCTGGCATCGCCTGGCCGGTTCCGTTCGCTCCTTAAACCACAAGACCCCCTTGGGGTCACGACGTTCCCGGGGCACCCCTGCACTCGCGCGCCAGCACTCCCGGAGGGGCCTGGGGAAGGCCACGCGCACGGAGAGCGGGAAACTCCTCTAGGTTTCCAGGTGGGAGATCCAGACCCTACTGAGACCCGGAAACCGCCGGCCACTCCGCCTCCGGAAGCGACACTTTGGGACAAAGCTGGGGACAAGTAAGCCCAGAAGATCCTCGGGAAGCCGAGAATTTCGCGCTCCGCTCTCCCACCCACGCTCCGCCTCCCG
Source organism: Homo sapiens (assembly GCF_000001405.40). Classification (NCBI taxonomy): domain Eukaryota; kingdom Metazoa; phylum Chordata; class Mammalia; order Primates; family Hominidae; genus Homo; species Homo sapiens. The sequence goes on from NC_000021.9 coordinate 43,075,211, forward strand.
CTTGCATCCTACAGCTCAGCTGCGGTCTCGCCTGGGGCTCAGGGAAGTGAGGTCCCAGGAAAACCTCCATCCCCCGAACGCAACCTGGGCAGAGCCCCGCGTCCCTCCCCCAGCGGGCACCCACCTCGCGTGCCGCCCGCGCAACGACAGCGTTTACCGCCACCCCACACGGTCCGCCAAAAAGGGCGATTTGCAAACAGCCATTTCCCATCCACAATGCAGCGAACTCAATGCTGGGCACCGAAACGTGCATCTCCCCCGGATTCCCACCCCGCGTCCCTGCTCCACGCTCCAGGACTCGCCGCCAGTGGGGTCCACTCCGCCGGCGCGGGGGCTGGGGTGGGAGCCCGGGGCCACGTGCACGGCCAGCCCCCATCTTCTGGGCGGTCAAGACCGCAGGCGTGGGCGCCGGTGGGGCGGGGGTCTTGGGAGACCCTGTCTCGCCGCCTTTCGGTGCAGATGATGCAACTCTGGGCGGAGGCGCGGAGAGGGAAACCGGGACCCAGTTGAGATCCTCTGTCCAGAGAGGGGAGCGAGTCTCGGTGGGGCCGGATCTCACCTGGACGGATACATGGAAAAGAGGGGCGAGCGGCTGCCCCGACTGCGGCGAGGCGGAGACGGCGACCCCGGGGTGGCGGCCTCGCGGGGACCCACGGCGAGGGGAGCAGGCGGGCGGTGATTGGCGGAGAGGCGGGGGCGGAGGCCGGCGCCGGCCAATGTCTCGTGGCAGAGCACCCGCCCCCCCAGCCCCTCCTCCACCCCACCCAGCCCGGGCCCCTCCCCCCCACCCCTTCCCCACCCCGCCGCAGCCTGGGACCCTCCGGCCTGCCCGACCCCCGCCCTCCCCGGGACCCCGGCATGCCCCCACCCCAGTCCGCCCGCCCCATTCCCACGCCCTGTTGATTCAACCGCAGACCCGGGTCGCCGCCCCCTCCCCCGCCTTCCTCTTCGCCTGAGCCCGCCCGCCCCGGGTTCCAGCCACCCCCACCCGCGGACCCCGGTGGTGTCTTCTACCTGGTGTTCCGATGCTGTTTTACTTGGTTAACTTCTTGCCCTTCGGGAATTTAAGGAACCTTTACTGATGAGCTTGAAACGTGCGTCCTGGTGGGTGGGGGGCCCTGCGCGTCCTCGAGGACCGACCCCGAGGGCGTGTGTCGCGGGCCCGGGAGGGGGCGCCGCGCCGGGGCGGGACTCGATGGCCGCGCTCTGTGGCCGCCGGACGCCGTGCGCAGCGCCCCGCGTGACCGCGCCCAGAGCCGGGTCCGAACCCCGAGCCGAGGCGCAGAACAGTCGCCTTGCGCGGCTCCGGTGCGGCCCACGGCCAGGGGCTGCCGGGCGCTCTCGGGGACGGGGCCGACTCCGCGCAGGGTGGTAGCAGGGGCGCCCCGCGGGGCTCCTTCGCCAGGTCCCGGAGGCCGCGGGCGGGGCCGTTTCCCAAACATCGTGCTCTGGACTTTCAGAGGCTGAACCTGATCCCCCCGCCCTATGGCTAAATGGGGGATCCCAGGCCCCCGAGTCTCCCCCCGGACCTGCAGCGAAAGACACGGACGGTGCCCATCAGCTCTGGGCAGAGGAACGTGCTGCGCCTCCGCAGCGTCCCCGGCTCAGGTCAGAGCGATGCTCCGCAGCCTCCTCCGGCCCGCGCAGCTCCGCCGCGGTCTCTGCCACGTGGGGCTCACAGTAGGGGAGGGAGTGAGACGTGAATTAGAATTAAATGTCCACTGGCAGGAACTGACACGAAGAACAATAAAGCCGGCGATGTGGGGAGGGGACAGGGATGGAGTTACATCATGAAGGCTCTGGAAGGTGGCATTGGAGGCCGGGATCGCGCCACTGTCCTCCAGCCTGTGCGACTGAGCGAGACTGTCTCCAGAAAAAAAAAAAAAAAAAAAAAAAAAAAAAAAAATCCTGTCCAGTCTTTATAAGAAGAGAGACGTGGACACAGACACGCGGAGAGAAAAAGGCCATGTGGAGATGGCGGCAGAGATGAGATGTGCTGCCACCAGACGAGAAATGGCAGGGATGGCTGGCGGCCTCCACAGGGCTGGGAAAGGTGGCCAGGGCCTCCCTCAGAGCCTTCAGCCAGCCTGCGGGAGAGAAAGATGATAAACGGTGTTGTTTTTGTTGTTGTTGTTTGAGACAGAGTCTGTGTCACACAGGCTGGAGTGCAATGGTGAGATCTTGGCTCACTGCAGCCTCAGCCTCCCGGGTTCAAGCGATTCTCCTGCCTCAGCCACCCGAGTAGCTGGGATTACAGGCACGCACCACCATGCCAGGCTAATTTTTGTATTTTTAGTAGAGACGGGGTTTCATCATGTTGACCAAGCTGGTCTCGAACCCCTAACATCAGGTGATCCATCCGCCTCGGCCTCCCAAAAGTGCTAGGCTCACAGGAGTGAGCCACCGCGCCCAGCCCAATGTGTGTTGTTTTAAACCACTCAAGTTTGCAGTAATTTGTTACACAGCCCAAATACTTTTTAATTTTTTAGAAATTTTAACGTAATTTTAGATTAGAAAAGTGGCAAGAACCATACAGAATGTCATATTCCCTCATCCAGATTTTCCAAATATTAATTTTTTTTGCTTCTATTATCAGAAACTCATTGTTATTTCAAATGTTAAGTTTTTACTACATTTGCTCCCTCTCTGTCTCTCCACACACACACACACACACACACACACACACACACGTGTGCAGGTGTGTATGAATCTGTCACTCAGTCTATCTGGTTTCTCTAACTTGTTATTTTGTTTTGTTTTGTTTCTTTTTGAGACAGAATCTTTCTCTGTCACCCACGCTGGAGTGCAGTGGTGTGATTTCAGCTCACTGCAACCTCCCCCCCACGCTGGAGTGCAGTGGTGTGATTTCGGCTCACTGCAACCTCCCTCTCCCGGGTTCAAGCGATTCTTCTGCCTCAGCCTCCCAAGTAGCTGGGATTACGGGTGCCTGCCACCACACCTGGCTATTTTTTGTATTTTTTTTTAAGTAGAGACGGGGTTTCACCATGTTGGACAGGCTGGTCTCGAACTCGTGGCCTCAGGTGATCCACCTGCCTCGGCCTCCCAAAGTGCTGGGATTACAGGGGTAAGCCACTGCAGCCAGCCCACTCTCTAGTTTTAACACTTACTGATGATTTTGTCTGAATTGATTTTTATTAAAATGGTTGCTGAGCTGTGGCTCACACCTGTAATCCCAGCACTTTGGGAGGCTGAGGCGGGCGCATCACGAGGTCAAGAGATTGAGACCATCCTGGCCAACATGGTGAAACCTCGCCTCTACTAAAAATACAAAAATTAGCTGGGCATGGTGGTGCGTGCCTGTAATCCCAGCTACTCGGGAGACTGAGGCAGGAGAATCACTTGAACCAAGGACTCGGAGGTTGCAGTGAGCTGAGATTGTGTCATTGCACTCCAGCCTGGCGACAGAGCAAGACTCCGTCTCAAAAAAAAAAAAAAGTAAATAAATAAGTAAAATAAAATAAAATAAAATGGTTGCTGAATAGTGGTTTTTCTAAGCCCATCACTCCTCCATGTACCATTTGGCATTCCATTATTAGAGTTTTCCTTCTCCCTCATTTATTTATTCACTTAGTTATATCAATGTGAGCCGTAGGTCCTATTTTAAAATGAAAAAGCTACACCTGACCACTGAAAGTGCACGAATGGCCAAGTGGGGTGGCTCACACCTGTAATCCCAGCACTTTGGGAGGCCAAGGTGGGAGGATCACCTGAGGTCCGGAGTTTGAGATCAGCCTGGTCAACATAGCAAAACCCCGTCTCTAGTCTCTACTAAAAATACAAAAACTGGCCAGCGCAATGGCTCACGCCTGTAATCCCAGCACTTTGGGAGGCCAAGGCGGGTGGATCGCCTGAGGTCAGGAGTTCGAGACCACCCTAGCCAACATGGTGAAACCCCGTCTCTACTAAAAATACAAAAAAAAAAGAAAGAAAGAAAGAAAGAAAGAAAAAATACAGCTGGTTGTGGTGGCAGGCACCTGTAATCCCAGCTACTCGGGAGGCTGGAGCAGGAGAATCGCCTGAACTTGGGAGGTGGAGGTTGCAGTGAGCTGAGATCGCGCCACTACACTCCAGCCTGGGCAACAAGAGCGAAACTCCATCTCAAAAAAAAAAAAAAAGAAAAAAAGAAAAAAGAAAAACACATCTCCCCGGCCCTCATCATTTTCTAGCCTCTGCCTCATTTCTGTGTCTGCCTACATGAGAGGAGGCACTGCAGGAGCAGAGCCCCCAGGAGGGCCTGGCCCACCACATTGTACTGGGAAGGAGCTCAGAGCCAGAGATGCAGGAATGCTGGCGTCCTGTGGACAAGGTGGAAGAGCTTCCTTCTAATCACCTCTGTTTCTTCAAAGGAATAGGCCTGACAGCTGGTCAGCAGCAAGTGGACAGCGAGGCCGAGCTGATGGAGGGTTTTGTTGTTGTTACTTTTGTTCAGAGTATAACACGTATGCAGAAAGTGCACATGTCATGAGTGGACAGAGGATAAACCGCTACCCCACTGGGGGGCGAGCAGAGGGGAGAGGCCTGGGCCTGCACCATCCCCTGGTGGCCGGAAGGCTGGGCCCTCAGAACTGGAGGAGATTGGAGGAGGAGGAGGAGGAAGAGGAAGGGAAGGAGGAGGAAGAGGAAGGGAAGGAGGAGGAAGAGGAAGGGAAGGAGGAGAGGTGGGCAGCACTGAGGGCTCCTGCGAATTTCCATTCACAAGTTTCCCAGGCCCCTGGCAGCACGGCTGTGCTTTTCTCTGGCTGCGGTGAGTGGCCCGCGTGGCAGGGCAGGGGAAGAGCGCTGGAGATGGTCGTGTGTGTTTACGAGATTCTCTCTCCCTGCCCAAGTCACGGCAGTGGCGGAAACTTACCCACCCTTTGGATTTGGGCTGAGCCGTGGTTTGCTTCACCCCTTGGGACACACAGCAGAAGGGAGTGTGCCTGTTTGCAGCTGAGACCTCAGGGACAGCGGCCCTGACCTCAACCTGCAGCCCGGGGCCCAGCCCTGCAGAGCCCGGCAGGGGAAGAACAAAATGCCCTTTGCTGGGAGCCACCGGGACTGGGGCTGTTTGCAGGCTGGGTTACGTGTGAGAGTGAAGTTTTGTCTGAGTGTGTTGGTGGGAGACGGCACAGACGGGAGGCTGAGCTGCGTTTGTTTGCAGGGATCTGCGCTGGGTGGGGCGGGAAGGATGGGCAGCAGGCGGCAGGGACAGTGAAAAGCTGGTGGGTCCATGGACAGGCAGCGTCACTGGAGAGAAAGAACTGCCGATGGAGAGTTCTAGAATAAGGAGCTGGAGCATCCGAGGGGCTGAAGGGCTGGCACTATAGCAACAATGCCCTTTGGGTATGAGAGGAGGGGAGGATTTGTGTAGGTCGGTGGCCAAGATCGTTCTGAGGGGAGGGTTCCTGAGCCCAGGCGTCCAGGAGGAGCTTGGATCTTTAATTTCTTTCAGTGGTGTTTTGGGATTTGGGGTATGTAAGTCTCACACTTCTTTGGTTACATTTATTCCTTTTGACTTGAGGGGCGAGTCTGCTGGCCCAGGAATGCAGGCGGTCCGTGTCTCAGGTTGGCTGCACGTCTTCCAGCAACGCTGTGTCATTTTCCGAGAGTAACGTGTGCACTCACTCACTTTCACGCCATCTCTCCACTCTGCATTTGGGCAAGCAGAGTTCCTGCTCCCCGTTCTGCGTGTCTGCCCCACCCCCACACCCCCACATCCCACCTTCAGTTACTAATACTGTATCTTTTCTTTTTCTTTTTCTTTCTTTTTTTTTTTTTTTTGAGATGGAGTCTCACCCTATCACCCAGGCCAGAGTGCTGTGGTGTGATATTGGCTCACTGCAACCTCCGCCTCCCGGGTTCAAGCGATTCTCCTGCTTCAGCCTCCCGAGTAGTTGGGATTACAAGCATGCGCCACCACGCCCAGCTAATTTTGTATTTTTTAATGGAGACAGGGTTTCTCCATGTTGGTCAGGCTTGTCTCGAATTCCCAACCTCAGGTGATCCACCCGCCTCAGCCTCCCAAAGTGCTGGGATTATAGGCGTGAGCCACCGCACCCAGCCTGTATCTTTCATTTTTCTAGAGACAGGGTCTCGCTCTGTCTCCCAGGCTGGAGTGCAGTGGTGCATTCATGGCGCCCTGCAGGCTTGACCTCCTGGGCTCAAGTGATTCTCCTGCCTCAGCCTCCCAAGTAGCTGGGAGCACAGGTGTGAGCCACCACACCCGGCTACAGTTACTAATGCTATTGCTACCGACAACGGCAACAACTGACTGCCATGCACTGATTGCGGATGTGCCAGGCCCTGCTCTGGGAGCTTCACCTGTGTTACCTGACAGGATCTTCCTAACACTGAAGGAGGGGCACGACCTGACCATCCCTTTACAGAAGAGAAAGACGAGTGTGCAGGAACAGGGAGCAGAGCTGGGTGAGACCAGGCGGCGGGACTCCTGGGCCCACTCTTACCCATGGGACTTTGTGGTCCTCCCACGACGCCAATCAGCCCCAGTTTGAACCACGTGAAATTGCTGAAATGTGACCTTTTGACCCACAAAAAAATGGCAATTTCCTATGATTCAACTTTTTTTTTTTTTTTTTGAGACGGAGTCTCACTCTGTCGCCCAGGCTGGAGTGCAGTGGTGCAATCTTGGCTCACTGCAACCTCCGTCTCCCGGGTTCAAGCTATTCTCCTGCCTCAGCCTCCTAAGTAGCTGGGATTACAGGTGCGTTCCACCGTGCCTGGCTAATTTTTGTATTTTTAGTAGAGATGGGGTTTCACCATGTTGGCCAGGCTGGTCTTTTTTTTTTTGGAGATGGAGTCTTGCTCTGTTACTCAGGCTGGAGTGCAGGGGCGTGATCTCAGCTCACTGCAAGCTCCGCCTCCCGGGTTCACGCCATTCTCCTGCCTCAGCCTCCTGAGTAGCTGGGACTACAGGCGCCTGCCACCACGCCCGGCTAATTTTTTGTATTTTTAGTAGAGACGGGGTTTCACCGTGTTAGCCAGGCTGGTCTTGAACTCCTGACCTCAGGTGATCCACCCACCTCGGCCTCCCAAAGTGCTAGGATTATAGGTGTGAGCCATCGCACCCGGCTGATTCAACTTATTTTTATTTATTTATTTTTTGAGACGGAATCTCGCTCTGTCACCCAGGCTGGAGTGCAGTGGTGCAATCTCGGCTCACTGCAACCTTCATCCCCCAGGTTCAAGCGATTCTCCTGCCTCAGCCTCCCTGGGATTACAGGCACCCACCACACCTGGCTAATTGTTGTGTTTTTCGTAGAGACAGCGTTTTGCCATGTTGGCCAGGCTGGTGACAAACTCCTGACCTCAGGTGATCTGCCCACCTCAGCCTCCCAAAGTGCTGGGATTACAGGCGTGAGCCACCGTGCCCCTGGCTGATTCAACTTATTTTTAAAAAAAGACCTGGGATTTGAGGAGGTGCCTGAATAGTTGGAGGTAGGCGTTTTCCAAATCGAGTTTGGCTGCGTGGGGTGGAATGTAGGCTCCAAGGATGCCCCGCTGTGTGAACAGGCCAGCTGCTCCTGGAATGCTGCTGAGAGGGAGGTGCCCTGTTGAGGGGGAGTCCCAGGGGGGTGAGGGGCTGGCTTCCTTGCTGAGAGCCACACCATGCCATCTAACAAGTCAGCTGGAACCCCTGGCAAGATGGCCGAGGCTGGGTGGTGACCTCACTTGCTGGGTTGCTGGGCCCAGGCCCGGCTCTCTCCTGAAAGCTCCACAGACCTGCAGACTCAGTTTCCAGGCCTGTCCTGCTGCCCCCGGAGCACGGGCATGGGAAGACAGCCATCTGGGCGGTCTCGGGACTGTTTGGTTGAGAAGGTTCTGTCACATATGACGTGCTAGAAAGAAAAGACCTTGGACTTTAATTTCTTTGGGCGTTAGAGAGGAGAAGGCGATTTCAGCTTTAGACCATGTTTTCTCTTAGGAGCCTGGCGGTGGGAGGGGAGCCCGGCCATGGGAGGGGAGTCATATTTTCCAGACTGTGCGGCTTCAGGCCACCATGGGTCTCAGCTGATCTCTTACAAAGCGCTTGGGAGCTCCCGAGACCGGGGAGGCGGCGCGGCGTGTCAGCCTTGGCTGCCGGGTGGCGCTTGAGTTAACCTGATTATTGCATGGATCTCACTGGTTCAAAACCTTCCTGGGGAAGAAGCCAACTGTCCGTGGAACCAGGAGGAGCCTGAGGGGTGGCAGTGGGCACTAAGGAAGTGGCCTCGGGGTGCGGGAGGACAGCCTTGGCATGGTTGATGCCTTGCCCAGCCCACTCTGGGTGAGGGAACACGGGAACAGTGTCATGTTTCCATGAGGGGCCACTCCTGGCTTCTCTCCTCACCCCCCCACCCCCCATCCTTCCCTGGAGAGGAGTGTGACCTGTCTGACCGCGTCATGCCGAGGCTTCGGCACTGACTTGTGCAGATGCCTGCACTGCAGGGCGCTGATCTGTTTAAATGGCGCGAGCCCTGGGGACTCACTCCCTCCCTACCCCCAAGCAGGCACAGGGCCAGCGTCCCTGCATGCTGTGTGGGCCCAAGCTGACCCGCAGGTGGGCAGTCCCGGGTCAGACCATGGACAGGGATGGCCTTACAAGTTCTCTGGGCCTTAAAATCTAGATTCATGTTCTCCAATCTGCTTTGTCAGAAATAAAGTTGATAAGGCAAAAAAAGTCTACTCAGGTGAAAACCCTCAGAGGCATCCTTGAATTCTCTCTCACAGCCCACACTGGACGCAACAGCAAATCCCATAGGCTCTTTTTTTCTTGAGTCAGGTCTTGCTCCGTTGCCCAGGCTGGAGTGCAGTGGTGCAGTCCTGGCTCACTGCAGCCTCAACCTTCTGGGCTCAAGTGACCCTCCCACCTCGGGCTCCCGAGCAGCTAGGACCACAGGCATGTGCCACTGTACCTGGCTGGTTTTTAAATACTTTTTGTAGAGATAGGGTTTCACCATGTTGCCCAGGCTGCTCTTGAACTCCTGGGCTGATCCACTTCCCTAGGCCTCCCAAAGTGCTGGGATTGCAGGCATGAGCCACTGTGCCCGGCCCCTGTAGACTCCTGTTCATTCAAAATATACCCCAGGCACAAGGACGTGCAAAAGACCCACGAGCAGAAGGGAATCCAAGAACAGACCCATCTGCACACGGTGACGGGACTACCACAGAGGGAGCCGCGTCCTGCAGGGAAAGGTGGTGGTTGTTTTTACAATAAATGCTGCTGGAGCAATTGGATATCCATGTAGGAAAGCGCTGATTTCACACCGACACGGAACATGGCTGCATGCGTGGCTCACGCCTGTAATCCCAGCACTCTGGGAGGCCAAGGCCGGTGGATCACTTGAAGCCAGGAGTTTGAGACCAGCCTGGCAACATGTGAAACCCTGTTTATATTAAAAAAAAAAAAAATTAGATGGGCATGGTGGCTTGCACCTATATTCTCAGCTACATGGGAGGCTGAGGTGGGAGAATCACTTGAGCCCAGGAGTTTGAGGCTATAGTGAGCTATAATTATGCCACTGCACTCCAGCCTGGGTGACAAAGTGAGACCCTGTCTCAACAATGACAACAACAAAAGGAAGACAAATCCTAGAGCTAAATGTGAAAGTGAACATATTAAAGCTTATGACGGGGGCTGGGCACAGTGGCTTACACCTGTAATCCCAGCACTTTGGGAGGCCAACGTGGGAGGGTGGCTTGAGCCCAAGAGTTTGAGACAAGCCTGAGCAATATGGTGAATCCCTGTTTCTACAAAAAAAAAAAAAAAAAAAAAATCAAAAAATTAGCCAGTCGTGGTGGTGCACACCTGTAGTTCCAGCTACTTGGAAGGCTGAGGTGGGCGGATCGCTTGAGTCCAGGAGATGGAGCCTGCAGTGAGCTGAGATCACACCCACTGCACTCCAGCCTGGGCGACACAGCCAGACCTTGTCTCAAAAACAAGCTAACAGGCTGGGCGCAGTGGCTCATGCCTGTAATCTCAGCACTTTGGTGGGCTGAGGCAGACAGATCACTTGAGGTCAGGAGTTCGAGCAACTCAGGAGGCTGAGGCAGGAGAATCGCTTGAACTCAGGAGGCAGAGGTTGCAGTGAGCTGAGATCACACCACTGTACTCCAGCCTGGGCGACAGAGTGATAATCCTTCTCAAAAAAAAACAAAACACGCACACGCACACACACACACACACAAGCGGCCAGGCACCATAGCTCATACCTGTAATCCCAGCACTCTGGGAGGCCAAGGCGGGTGGATCACCTGAGGTCAGGAGTTCAAGACCAGCCTGGCCAATATGGTGAAACTCTGTCTCTACTAAAAATACAAAAATTAGCCAGACGTGGTGGTATGTGCCTGTAATCTCAGATACTTGGGAGGCTGAGACAGGAGAATTGCTTGAACCTGGGAGGCGGAGGTTGCAGTGAGCCAAGATCGCACCATTGCACTCCAGCCTGGGCAACAAGAATGAAACTCCATCTCAAAAACAGAACAAAACAAAACAAAACAAAAAGCAAACAGGCTGGGGATGGGGGCTCACGCCTATAATCCCAGCACTTTGGGAGGTTGAGGCAGGTGGATCGCTTGAGGTCAGCAGTTTGAGACCAGCCTGGCCAACATGGTGAAACCCCATCTCTACTAAAAATACAAAAATTACCCGGGTGTGGTGGCGGGCGCCTGTGGTACTTGGGAGGCTGAGGCAGGGGAATTGCCTGAACCCAGGAGGTGGAGGTTGTAGTGAGCTGAGATTGTGCCACTGCACTCCAGCCTGGGCGACAGAGTGAGTCTTCATCTCAAAAAAAACCAACCAAACAAACAAACACACACACACAATATATATATATATAAGGCTTACAACAAAGACAGAGAATATCAGCAGGAACTTAGGGAGGCGAGAAGTATCTTACATGGAACACAAAAAGCACCGTGTACAGACGAAAGATGGGTAAATCAACTTAGTTGAATTCTAAGAACAGGCTTTCATCAAGACACCATTTAGAGAGAGAAAAGGCAAACCACAGACTGGGAGAAAATATTTGCAACGCACGTCAACAAAAGATTCATCTCCACCGTATATAAAAAACATCTAGAAATAAATAAGAAAATGACAAACTACTCAATTTTTTTATTTTTATTTTTTTTTGAGACAGAGTTTCACTTTTGTCACCCAGGCTGGAGTGCAATGGGCGTGATCTCGGCTCACTGCAACCTCTGCCTCCCAGGTTCAAGTGATTCTCCTGTTTCAGCCTCCTGAGTAGCTGGGATTACAGGTGCCTGACAACCAGGCCCGGTTAATTTTTGTATTTTTAGTAAAGACGGGGTTTCACCACGTTGGTCAGGCTGGTCTCGAACTCCTGACCTCAGGTGATCCACCCACCTCGGCCTCCCAAAGTGCTGGGATTACAGGCGTGAGCCACTGTGCCCAGCCTCGATATTTTAAAATAGGCAAAAGACTTAAACCCGGCTTCACAGAGAGACATGCAAATGTTAACAGCAGGAAAAAGTGCCGGCCTCATTAGTCATCAGAAATACGAAAATGAAAACCACAGTCACCCATCACTGCACCCCACCAGAACGGCTTACAAACCAAGCGGAGAGGACCACCCCAAGCCCATCACAGTCCAAGCCGCCCTCTGCTCTTGCCTGGACAGTCCTGTCTGTGTGCTTCTCCTCTGCACTCCTGCCCGGCCTGCAGTCTGTCCCCCACACTGCAGTGAGAAACTGCTTTAAGCATATAAATTAGAGCTCTTTATGCTCCTGTTCAAACCCTTCCCACGACTCAGCTTAGGGATTCCAGGGACAAGCCACGTGTGGTCACTCAGACCTGTACTCCCAGCACTTTGGGAGGCCGAGGCGGGAGGATGGCTTCAGCCCAGGAGTTTGAAGCCAGCTTGGGCAACATGATGAGACCCTGTTTCTAGGGAAAAAAAATATTCCAGGTCCTTCCCATGGCCCATGAGGCCCTGTGAGAGCTCTCCCTGGCGTCCTCCCCAACCTTTTCCTGATCTCTTCCCAGCACACGTCTTCAACACCTGGGGAAGGATGCCCAGGGTCCCTCCCTCTGGGGCCCCCCAGTACTCAGTCCTGAGTGACTGTGGGCCTGGTTTCACCCAGTGGCATGTGCAGCTTGCAGGTCATTCTGGTCAGGGGCCAGAGCGCCAGCAAGAAGTCTCTCTCTCTCTCATCACCCCTCTCTCTCCCTCCCTCCCTGTAAGCTGGCAGCATTTTGGGTGGGGGCTGCCCTGTCAGCCTGGCCCCCGTGAAGACAGCTCTGAGCTGCAGGACCGATGGCAGGCATGTAGGTGAGCGGGACATGAGTCCTGGGATTTCAGGGCTGTTGTGACCTGGTGCTAGTCCTTCCTGACAACCCCAGTGTGTTCCTGGTTCCTGCCGCAGGAAATCTGCCCTCACTGCTCCACGCGCCAGGACGTGCACTCCTCCTCCTCTTTCCGCACCTGTCTCCCGGCTGCGGCTGCTCACTTGTACCTGCACCATTACTTACTGCTGTATTCTTTGCTTTTTCCAGACTGATGCACCCACCAGCTGCAAATCTTAGGCCAGCTACACCCAACACAGTTGAATATTGTGGACAAGCTGTGCCAGACAAAATCATACATGATTTCACTTCTAAAAGCAGGCAAAACTGTCATGTTTAGTGAACCATATGTAGTTTGTAAAATAGTAAAAGCAAAACAAAATGATTATTGCAAATGTCAAGATAGTTGTTTCTTTTAGGGGGAGGAAGAATTTTATGGCCGGGGAGGGCTGGCCTGGATGCTGGCTTTGTGTTGCTTCTTGACCACGATGATCACCTTGCAATTGTCTTTTAAACCAGGTTTAGCTTTGAGGTACTTTGCTGTATGTATCATACATCTAATTAAAAATATAACAGACATGGGAGCCAGCTAAGAGATGCAACATAAGCGTAACTGGGGGAACCATAAGAAACAATGTTGGCTGGGCACAGCGGCTCACGCCTGCAATCCTAGCACTTTGGGAGGCTGAGGTGGGTGGGTCACCTGAGGTCAGGAGTTCGAGACCAGCCTGGCCAACATGGCGAAAAATACAAAAATGAGTCGGGTGTGGTGGTGTGTACTCGTGGTCCCAGCTATTCAGGAGGCTGAGGCGCAAGAATCACTTGAACTGGAGAGGCAGAGGTTATAGTGAGCTGAGATCGTGCCACTGCACTCCAGCCTGGGTGACAAAGTGAGACTCTGTCTCAAAAAATAAAAGAAACAACGTAAGAAAACTTAGAACAGATGAAGTATTTGATAGCATTCATCCTTGACTTCCTGGATTGAATCACACCCACTACTGGCAGATTTACCTTAACACGCTGCTGGACTGTTTGCTAATATTGGATGTGGGGGTTTTGCATCCATATTCAGAACTGGGAGGCCCCTGTAGTTCTGTGGGCCATTTTGATCAGTATCACACTCAGTTCATAGAATTTGGAAGCTGACCTTTTTTTCAGGTTGGAAAAATAAGTGATGCCAACTTGGGCCTATGAGATCGAGATGCTGGGTGTCTGTCATGGCCTGCATCGGCCATCTCGCTATTCGCCTAATGTTATGTGGAACCCACATGGCACAGACCAGAGCTCAGCAGGGCAAGGCCACTGGACCTAATTACAGAAGCCAACACCTTTTTTTTTTTTTTTTTGAGACGGAGTCTCACTTTATCAGCCAGGCTGGAGTGCAGTGGCACAATCTTGGCTCACTGTAACCTCTGCCTCCTGGGTTCAAGCGATTCTCCTGCCTCAGCCTCCCGAGTAGCTGAGACTACAGGCATGTGCCACCACACTCGGCTAATTTTTTTTTGTATTTTTAGTAGAGACAGTGTTTCATCATGTTGGCCAGGATGGTCTCAATCTCCTGACCTCGTGATCCGCCCGCCTTGGCCTCCCAAAATGCTGCAATTACAGGCGTGAGCCACCACGCCCGGCCCAACACATCTTCTCGTTGTTGGAGCTAGTTTGTTAGATTGTCTGTCACCTGCAGCGAACAGCACACTGGGACAGCCTGGTCCACTTAGGGTCTCTGAAGCGGTTCCCTCTTCTGCAGAGCGAGACGCTCCTATTTCTCAAGAGCTTGTGTGGGTCAACTGGGATAAAGAGCTAAAGAGGTCCCTTTTCTTCCTGCTTTGTCCCATGTCAACCACAACTCCCCTTGCTGGTGTCTGGATTTTCAGGGCAGGTAAAATTTACCTTCCATGCCCCCACAACCTGGTTCAGCTTTGCTATTTCCAAAGCCCTTGAGATTCTAACCCCGCCATCCCCCTGGACCTCTCACTTCTCAGGCTGCTCATCTGGACCGAAGGGAGCTCTGGGAACAGAGCGGTGGTTCCTAGGAAGTGCTGCTTCGATTTGAGCCCCGCTTCTCCAGGGCAGAGGCACAGCATTCGCCAGGCAGGCACTGTGTCTTGCTCACCCCGTGGTGTGCATGCATGTCCCAGCGTCCTGGCGGTGCTGGCCACTGGGTGGCTGCGAACCCCTGGAGCCTGGGAAACATGAAATAACAAGCCACTGCAGGGAGCGTCATAACACGGAACACGCTCGACGGCTGTCCTCTCCTGGGTCCCCTGCGTTAGGCATGCAAACTTGGGTGCGCAGGGTAAAGCATGTGGGCTTTATTACTGCATTCCCTACTGTCATGTATGTTTAGATATTTCCAAAATAGAACTTTTATTTCATGAAATGATGGTGAAACTTGAAAGCAAGCTAAAAAGTCCCACTTGGCAAATTAAAAGTTAGAAATCTTATGTTGATCCCGTCTTTGGTAAAATTTAGGTGGAATGTGAAATTCACGGTCTGGGAATAAAGTGCTTTTTAGGGCCATCCATAGCCACGTCCCGCATGGCTTGTTAGTGTTCTGAGACTCAAAGTCTTACCTTCCATCGCACAGGATCGAGAATCAGATTTTATAATTCTATTCTTCCTCTGTGCTTTGAATTGAGACTTTTTCCAGAAATCATTCTTAGGTTTATTCCCTTTTGGTAAATTCTAGTTCAATCCTGAACTAGAAAAGAGGCAGTGACCACCATCACCCCTTTAGACACTGCCGTGGGCACACCACCAATACCTTCCCCATACTCAGTTCATTTGAAGGCAACAGATTTTCTCCAATTAGCAGGGCAATGACCCCATTAATCATGGTTTCAGAAATATTTAAAATGATCCTTATCTACTTACAAGCACATGCATATGGTAAGCTTGTTAGTCCTCCTGACTCAACAGCAAGCAAAAGAATGCTGCAGGGAGGCCAGGCATGGTGGCTCACACCTGTAATCCCCGAACTTTGGGAGGCCGAGGCAGGTGGATTGCCTGAGCTCAGCAGTTCGAGACCAGCCTGGGCAACGTGGTGAAATCCCACCTCTACTAAAATACAAAAAATTAGCCGGGCCTGGCGGCGTGTGCCTGTAATCCCAGCTACTCAGGAGGTTGAGGCATATAATCGCTTGAACCTGGGAGGCGGAAGTTGCAGTGAGCCGAGATTGTGCCACTGCACTCCAGCCTAGGCGACAGAGCAAGACTCCGTCTCTTAAAAAAAAATTGCTGCAGGGAGCACACAGTAACTTAGATAATTCAACACCACTGTTGAATCAGATGTGCTGATACCGTATTTAAAGTTTATTCTGGCAGCTGTTTGCCATTTGGTTTTATATCTCAGCAAACGTCATATAATATTCACGTAAGAAACAATTTACAGTGGTATTTGGACCTGAATTCATTATAAATCAAAATTATTTCAAGTGGCTTTTATATTCTTCCTTTTTAAAAACAATCTGCCTGGCCCTAGCACCTGTATAAAAGCTTAACTCTATCTGCCACTGGTGGACCGCCTGGACTCATTTCACTGGGCTGCTCTTTCTCAACCATGATCCACGCACACCAGAGGGGCAGCAGTGCCTCATGGGCACTCAGGGTCATGCTCACCTTCCCACCTCAACCGCATCATAGACCCACACTGGGGTGGGGGAGTGGGGAGCAGGGTGACAGGCTTCCTGTGTGACTGTGAGCTCCTCTTACTACAATGTCTGAAGACACTTTTTATGGCATTTTGATTCACATTTTATCATTTACTGGTTTTTTTTTTGGGACAGGGTCTCACTCTGTTGCCCAGGCTGGAGTACAGTGGCAATCACACCTCACTGCAGCCTCGGCTTACCAGGCTTGGGTGGGTCCTCCCATCTCAGCCTCCCGAGTAGCTGAGACCACAGGCATGTGCCACCACACCCAGCTAATTTTTTTATTTTTTGTTGAGATGGGGGTCTATGTTTGCTGCTCAGGCAGGTCTTGAACTCCTAGACTCAAGTGATCCTCCTGCCTCAGCCTCTCAAAGTCATGTATATTTTAAATAAGCTTTCTGATTCTTAGCGGTTAAGAAATATAAAGTACAACTTTTGCCATCTTCCCTCCTTCAGACTGAGTGGAAATTAATAAATGGCCATCACTGACCAAAGTTAAGGTAAAAGAAAAAAAAAGTTTGTACTTTTTTTGGAAACATGTCGAGTATAAGGACATAAACGAAACGGCCCACATCGCCAAACACTGCCACTAACCCATCTAAAATTACCATTTGCCCACCACCCACATCACCAAACACTGCCACTAACCCATCTAAAATTACCATTTGCCCACCACCCACATCACCAAACACTGCCACTAACCCATCTAAAATTTCTGCCCACCACCCACATCGCCAAACACTGCCACCAACCCATCTAAAATTATCTGCCCACTACTATAGTATACAAACCTATTTTTTTCTAAGAGACAAGGTCTCACTGTGTTGCCCAGGCTGGAGTGCAGTGGCATGATCATAGCTCACTTCAGCCTCCCAGGTGAATCGACACCATCACCTTCTTGAACTTCATCACATACAAATGGGCTTTCATGAGATGGTCAAGTAGTATGTCCTGCCAATCTTCACTGGGTGTGTAGTTAGGGCCCAGCCACTCCCCTACTCCACCAGCAGGATCTGTCACTGAGCCCCCACAAGGAGCAGAGCAGGGCAGGAGAGCCTGGGTGACTCCCACCTAGAGCCAGGAGGTTTTTGAGGATGAGGTATGTGGACACGTGGGCATGGTTTGGGATGGCCTCACTTGGAACGTTTTGGTCTTAGGAATGAAATGCTCAGCCCCCAGCACTGACTTGTGGCAGGTGCCCCAGACCGGTCAGCTGGCTGTCACCATAGTCACACCACCAGCACGCGCCACCCGAGTAGCTTGGGGAAAGTAATACCAGAGTGTCTAAAGGCGGATCTGCACCGCAGGCTTCTGTGTCTCCCACAGCCATTGGCATAAGGAAACACGGACACGGACTACTGGCCCTCAGTGTGCCGTGTGAGCATCCACGCTCCCTCCCACGAACACATGGGGTTCTTGACACAAACTCGCAGGAACGAGAAGGTAACATGGGTCGGGCCCACCCACTGTGTCTCACCACAGATCAGCCTTCTTCCCAACATCAGTGCAGTCTACAGCGTGTCTACTGATTATAGCTAAGCACTTCTTCACTAACCAGTTAGAAAAGAAACCCCAAAAGGCTTTCCATGACAGCCTCGAGAAATTCCGGATTATTTAGCATGTAGATCTCACCTGGTATGTGTTTTATTTCATGCCCTAAGATAAAAAATATTATTTCATTTATACTCAAAGTGGTGGATGGATATTAATCTTTACCTCCAAGATGACTAGCAGATTTATAAAGAAAAAGAAATTTAAAGAACTTCCACAAGAAATAAGTTACACCAAGAATACTGTTATCACTACAAATTTTATTCAGAAACCCATCTTTGTATGTTTTTTTTTTTGTTGTTTTTTAAAAAAAATTCCCCTTATGAACTGGTTTGGTCAATCAACTACAACACTTTCTAGCAGACATAAGGTAAAAATGGCATGGCTCAGAATCGCCCAGATCTTTCACGATCTCTCGACCGCCTCCTGTCACGCTCCCGTCCGCCGCCACCTCCACCACCGCCACCGCCACCGCCACGACCACGGTCTCTAGACCGAGAACGACGCTCCCGGGATCGGGATCTTGATCTATGCCTGCAACCAAGGAAAATAAAGAAAACCGTGCCATCCAAACCACGGCACGCAGCACAGAACCACACCCACTCTCTCAACACGCGCAGCTCCTCAAGCCAACGGCACTGATAAGGAAAAACACTGCTGAAGAGACTGCACGCCGTGACTGAGACACACCCTGATTTCAGGTGTGAAAAGTTTCAGGAGAAAAAAATGTGCAACTTAGAAGTGAACAGGTGTAATACCTTGCATCTTCTGTCTTCTTCTAGAACCAACTCAAATGGTCACAGGAAATCATAATCAAAATGAGCTGGACACATACCATCTTCAACCCTCACTGACCCCACGCTTCAGGCGCTCATAGCTACTGTGTCCATCAGGTTTTTGGGCTGGGGAGAGCAGGCCTGTTTTTCTCTTATGCTTCTTGAATGCTGACAATAAAACAATCGCCACCCATCTATTTACTAGTCCATGTTTAACAGAAGAGGGATGAGAACCTCTCCAGACTCAGAACTCAATCGGTTCGATTCTGACGTCTTGATTTTCTCTGCTCTGTGACCTGTCGTACATTTAAATGTAGGATCAGAGAGATGTGACCGCTGGGCCTGATTCTGCCAGTGTCCCGAAGGGAGGATGCCAGCGATCCCAAGACATAATGAAATGCCCTAAAACCAACAAGCAAAACCAAAAGAAACCCCAGTGGACATGTGAAATATGTAAAGCAAAAGCTTGTCCAACCTGCAGCCCAACACAAATTCATCAACTTGCTTAAAACATTATGAGATTTTTTTTGCAATTAAAAAAAAAGTTATCAGCTATCATTAGTGTATTTTATTTGTGACCCAAGACAATTCTTCTTCCAATGTGTCCCAGGGAAGCCATCCCTGATCTAAAGGAGGTTACAACATCTATTCTTCTTCTTCGTAATATCTGGGAGAATAAACTGCATGCCCACTTTCACCACGAGCCTCATGTCCGCGGCTGCCCAGCTAACCGCCCTCTTGCTTGATTACTAAGATCTGATCTCTACTTGAGAAGTTGGATAATGAAGTTACCTGTGTGCAGGTGAATATTCTTCTCCAAAGAGGACATTTGGATATTTAAAAATATGTACTATGTTCTAAGCACTGCCTTTTAAAAAACAGAAACGACACCTATGCCAAAATTTTTTTTTTGGAAGGGGGAGGGTTGTGAGGGGAGAAAGAAGCCACTGAGCTTAACAACGGGCACAGGAATACTCACTTCTTGCGACGGCGGCCATACAGCTCCCGCCGCAGCTCTCTGGAAATGGGCTTCAAATGCATGAAGTTGCAGAAGCCGCCTCGTGTGCATTCTCTGTGGGTGGGTTGGAAGGAGACATTTACTACCTCGTGTGCACACGGCCCCGAACTGTGCTCAGTCACGTCACTGGCCACTCCTCACTCACCCCATCTCATACTGACGGCAGCAGGCTTCTCTGAAGTCCGTCACGGGTGACAGCTCGGCGTGGATCGGCTGTCCATTAAACCAACGGTTATTCAAGTCAATCACAGCCTTTTCCGCATCTTCCTCACGGCGAAACTGAAAAGACAAAAACAGAAGTGCTTGCCATCCACGCTTTAATAAGACTTTCTCAATTACCAATCCAAGTATATCAGAGAGAGATATACACACTCAGGTATAGTAAGGTGGAATAGTATTACAGGATAATTGAAAAATCCTTTATTTTCAATGAGATTAACTTCAAGATAGTCCAAGATTTTGCCAAATGTTGCCTTCATTTTTCAAATTCAACTGGTTAAAGGAGCAAATATGGCTGTGTAGGCAAATAAAGTTTTATTCACTAAAAAAGAAAAAAGAAACCAAACATGTGAGTAAACCTAACTTTTCCTTAGTCCACACAGCTTCTAAACCAACAGGTACTAAATATTCTACACTGAAATAACGATGGCTGTGGTGTACGGTCCGTCCTTCAGTTCTGCTGGCTGGGCGCACGTGTGGGCTGGCCACCGCCACATATGACGCAGCTGGTAGGCGCCGAGCCAGTGCACCTGAGCCCTGCTGTGCGCCTGAGCATCCAGGATCTCAAGGTGCATGGCGACAGGCACCCCATCCTCTGTCGGCCTTGGCCCCGGCACACTAAGCGGCTGCACCACTGTCTCGCTTTCGCCTGTTGGCCTTGGCCCTGGCACACTAAGCGGCCACGCCGCCGTCTCGCCCTGGCTCCTACCTTGACGTACACGTTCCCCACCAGGTGGTCTCCCAGGTTGTCACAGACGTTCATCTCCTCTACTTCCCCATACTTCTCCTCCATTTCTGTAAAAACCTCCTGAAGGGAGACCACAGTGGTTTAAGACTCGTTATACATTACAAAGTGTCATTAGATATAACTCATGTATGTTTATTAGCAGAGAAACATTTTAAATCCTTCCAAACAGATACAGAAGATCAACAGGTCTATCAGTCACAGAGTTCAGTTCTCTCACCTCAAAAAACTCATCATAGTGTTCCTGCATCTCCACATCGCTCACGGCACCTGCAAACAACAGAAATCTTGCTGGTTAGAACATGTTAACCGAGTGAACTCTTGTGTTTAAACTCAAACTGCTACAGTAACACACACGAGATTATCTAGAGAAAAGCCTGGCAGAGCTGCACTCTGCAGGAGCACTCAGGAGACTGAGCCACATGGCTACTTGTGAATGGTGTCAAGTGTGGTGAGATTTTAAATGTCCCCATGACAGTCTCGATTCTGGCTACTAAGGTGTTAAAATCACAACCAGCTTTAATCAGCATCAAAAGGGCCACATTTTCAGAAACTGTGAGGAAAAAGTTGACTCTCAAACTACAAATTTTTTTTTTACACCCACAAGATGCAGTCTGGCTCTGTCGCCCAGGCTGGAGTGCAGTGGCACCATCTCAGCTCACTGCAACCTCCACCTCTGGGGTTCAAGCGATTCTCCTGTCTCAGCCTCTGGAGTTGCTGGGACTACAGGCGACTGCCACCACGCCCGGCTAATTTTTTTTTTTTTTTTTAATTTTTAGTACAGACAGGGTTTCACCACGTTGGCAGGCTGGTCTTGAACTCCTGACCTCAAGTGATCCGCCTGCCTTGGCCTCCCAAAGTGCTGTGATTACAGGCGTGAGACACCGCACCTGGGCTCAAACTAAGAAATATTAAAATTTTCTTCCTTTTAAGATTTAGAGTAAAGGCCAAATAAGCACACTGATGTCTTCCCCTCTTCTATAAGTTTAAAATGAAACCTGAAAGCAGGGTCGATGATTAAAAGCTGATGTTCCTAACTAGTCTTTTATGGACTGCCAGCCATGGTATGCTCTCAAATTCTTCTGATGTGATTAAAATCCAAGCAACCATGAAGATTCAGTAGGACAGTTCACGCAACCTTACGGTATTGTGGACGCCCTCAAGTAAAGGGAATGTTACAATGTTTTGCTGATGAAAGCATTCTTTTTTTTTTCTTTTTTTTGAGACGGAGTCTCACTCTGTCGCCCAGGCTGGAGTGCGGTGGCGCAATCTCGGCTCACTGCAACCTCCGCTTCCTGGGCTCATGCGATTCTCTGCCTCAGCCTCCTGAGTAGCTGGGATTACAGGCGCCCACAACCACGCCCGGCTAATTTTTGTATTTTTAATAGAGATGGGGTTTCACCATCTTGGCCAGGCTAGTCTTGAACTCCTGACCTCGTGATCCACCTGCCTCGGCCTCCCAAAGTGCTGGGATTACAGGTGTGAGCCGCCGTGCCCGGCGCAAGTATTCTTAAGTTTTATATTCCCAAACTATTTTCATCAGTTTATTCTTCATAATTCACATGTATTAGGTAAAATCATGTCTGTTGCGTGGGTAAATTTGGCAAATTTACACTCTATCCCCATCATCATTCTATCAAATTTAATTAATTTTTTTTTCTTTTGAGATGGAGTCTCTGTCCACTCCAGGCTGGAGTGCAGTGGCGTGATCTTGGCTCACTGCAACCTCCACTTCCTAGGTTCAAGCAATTCTCCTTCCTCAGCCTCCCAAGTAGGTGGGACTACAGGCGCGCACCACCATGCCTGGCTAATTTTTGTATTTTTAGTAGAGACGGGGTTTCACCATGTTGGCCAGGCTGGTCTCAACCTCCTGACCTCACGTGATCTGCTTACCTCAGCCTCCCAAAGTGCTGAGATTACAGGCATGAGCCACTGCCCCCGGCCCACTCTATCAAATTCTAGAGTTCTCTAAACCTGAGAAATCACAGAGCTGGTGTATCAACAAACATGTTCCAATCAGCTAGATTAGGGGCTGGCAAAAGCCTGACTGGTTTCCAGATTGGGCCGGCTGCCTTAGCCTGTGCACCCAACGTGGGCATCTGACTGCTGGCACACGGGTCTTTGAGCTTGCTCAAAACTCTTTTTATCTTTTTTTTTTTTTTTTTTGAGACGGCGTCTCACTGTCTCCAGGCTGGAGTGCAATGGCGTGATCTTGGCTAATTTTTGTAGTTTTAGTAGAGACGGGGTTCCACCATGTTGGCCAGGATGGTCTCAATCTCTCGACCTCGTGATCCACTTGCCTCGGCTTTCCAAAGTGCTGGGATTACAGGCGTGAGCCACCGTGCCCGGCCCCCTTTTTATCTTTGAAGATAAAAAATAACTTCTTATTTTCTAATTCTGAGAATGATTTAAGTTCACTTTCTAACCTATCCGGGGCTGTTTTAGTTATTTTTGAACTTCCAGGAATCTGCTTTCGAACCCAAATTTTATTAAGTGTAACTACTCGGACAGCCTGCCAATCATATCACAGGATATCCCAATTGGAAAGCTATTGGGAATGTACCTTCCTCCCCGAGTAGAAATCAAGTTATAAACGGCCAAAGTAGCCTATTCCAAAGGGCAGATTTTAATATTTCAAATTCACTTCCTTCCCACATAAGAAGAATGTGAAGAGGAGAAAATTATTCACATGCTCAAAGTTTTAGCAGGTTTGAGAAATGGTTTTGGGGTGATTATTTTAAATTATTGGCTATATTTGTTCTGCTTAAAATGTTTCAATCAAAGTGACTTGAAAGGCAGAGACAACTGCATTAAGATACAATTAAAAACTTATTTGTGACTCAGCCTATGTTAAATACTACAACTTGGAAAATAAAGCAGTTTTCTTACAGAAATATCATTCTTAAACTGGGATTGATAGTTAACTTTAACCCACGCATTTGAAGCTTATTTTTTTACATACTAAAGGGTATGTTGAAAAGAGCCAGTAATTTTAGGTAATTGATTTCTTCCTAAAATGACGAATTAGAATTTCATCTAATTTGTACAATCTGGACTCCAGAATTGGAATATAACGTAATTGCTAAACTTTTAGTTTGTAGCATATGCAAAACAAAAGTGCTGTGAACTGCAAATAAAGACACAATGAAAACTAATACAACATTCTATTGTCAGTCAAGAAAGCATATACAGTCCCCAAATAAACGATCAGGGCAAAGAATTAATTACTGTTACTCAGTCATGTACTTCCATTCACTTTTATCCCAGGGCAGGGTTGTTAACAAA
The DNA here is from genome assembly GCF_000001405.40 of Homo sapiens. Classification (NCBI taxonomy): domain Eukaryota; kingdom Metazoa; phylum Chordata; class Mammalia; order Primates; family Hominidae; genus Homo; species Homo sapiens. The sequence goes on from NC_000021.9 coordinate 43,098,759, forward strand.
AATTATTTAATAAGTGCATATAGAAACAATTTCCCTCCGCCTATTGATCTTATTTCCTTAAAAAACAAAAGAAAACAAACAAACAAAAAAACAGGTATTTTAAACCAAGGGTTACCAAGTAAATCCTGCTACCATCCGACTCAGGGAAAGAAATCTCTACTATCAGGTCAGTATTAGCACTGAAAAGCATTTAGTGTCTTGGCAGGAAAAGTTGACAAGAAAATCTCATCCACACATAGAAATGTGCACCACTGTGCAAGGAAGCACAATCCCCAGGCCACCCAGTGCAGGGCCAGCTCGAGAGGGGAATGCCCCCTGGGATCAGCTACCCCATGTCGGTCACCCCATTAACTGAGGGGCTCTGGTTCAAGGGTGTACTCAATTTAGGCTTGTGGATATCCAAGGGCACCTCAATTTTTACTGCTTTAAAACAGAATGGTGAATGGGAAGTGCCTATCTTTGGTTTGGACTTTCTGATTTTAACAAGAGTCCAGGTGTTCATTTTAATTTATCCATAAATGACTAAATTCTAATGATTCTATAGTTGGATGGCTGTAAAAATCAAATTTTAGTTTTCTGAACTTCCCAATCATACTCATCTATGATATCTCCTTCTCTAAAAATTATCATTAGGTAAATATTCACAATCTAAATTTAGTATTTCCCAGTACAGGAAGATATTGGTACCATCTACTGAATGCCCAGTTTTGATCTATTTCTAAATGGAGCAAACCAATTCCATCTCCTAGAGCTGGAGACTGTATCCAGGCAGTGTGTGGACAGAACGGACAATCTTTTCTGCCAAGGGCCTATTTGAGTGGAGCACCCCCACACGGGTTAGACGGGTCGGCACGGGGCTGGTGGGTGAGGAACTCAGGGGTCAGTGCAAGCTGCAGACCCTCATTTGGGGAACGCTCTCAGCACAATGCTCTTACAACTACAGGGTGCACTCCAAAATGGAGTTCAAGGAAAAAAGGCTAATGAGAAATAAAATCTGAAAAAATAACTTAAAAAGTTTGCTTTTTAAAAATTCCAGAAAGTGAGAGAAACATTCAAATTTTGTTGCTCTAAGAGGGAAGAATATGACTCGACGTTTAATTCCAGTACATTCCCTCTAGGATGACGGCCAAAGTAAAGGAAGAAGGGGCAGCAGCAGCTCCAGACTGTTTTTTTTTTTTTTTTTGGAGACGGAGTCTCACTCTGTCGCCCAGGCTGGAGTGCAGCGGCACGATCTCAGTTCACTGCAACCTCCGCCTCCCGGGTTCAAGCGATTCTCTGCCTCAGCCTCCCTAGAAGCTGGGATTGCAGGCATCTGCCACCACGCCCAGCTAATTTTTGTATCTTTAGTAGAGATGGGGTTTCACCATGTTGGCCAGATTGGTCTTGAACTCCTGACCTCATGATCCACCCGCCTCGGCCTCCCAAAGTGCTGGGATTACAGGCGTGAGCCACCGCGCCCGGCCCAGCTCTAGACTGTTTTAAAGGGCACCCTTTCCAGTTACTTTTTCCCTTTTAACACACGGTGGGAGTTCAAATCTCCAAAAGAGGTTTCCATGGGGTCAGTGGGACGAAAGCTCCTTGCCACCTCTAGTGAAACGCGGTCCTTGACACTAGCACGGCAGACCAGATGGAGTGGACACTGAGCTCTGACACGCAAGCCCAGGGAACCGGGGAAGGAACTTGTATGAACTTACAGCGCAAACCGTCAGCAGACTGGGAAGAGTTTTGAGGGTTACGGTAAATGTTCAAGAGGGCAATGGTCTGAAATACAAAACGCAACAACTTTATATTATGGAAAATTAAAGGTAAACACTTAACCGGCTGCCTCTGGCAAGTGCTTCAGTTGAGATTCAGTGCTGAAAAGAGAGCAAGTTATTTTCTGGAGAAGCAGAGGCGTTTTCTCAGTTGGCGGCTGCCTTGAATCCCTAACACTGCGGTGTAACGGAGGTCTCATGATATGCCCATCTTGTACTTCTGCTTACAGAACGTGAAAACTCTCCTTTTCAAAATTCCAATTCAGGTAAAAGCACAAATAGTTTGCCAGGCTAGCACCAAAATGTTCTTAGATGTGGCAGAAAATTTTTAATGAACTCGGAAAGAATAATGCTTACATAAACTGATGGAAAAAATTACTGTATTAGAGAAATACAATTGTTACATATCATGAAATCTCCACTTCCTGGAGGAAAAATTATAATGGTGAAATAAAACCCACACTTACTGGGCAACTTACCTTATTGATTCCTTAATATTCCTAAGAGTTTTAATTTTACACAAAGAACTTAATAAAGGCCAGGGGTTCAGTCACTGTAAAGACCAATGAATGGCTCAAAATGTTGAAATCCGTTTCACATGGACGGACCTGCTCTCATGACAAATGTCAATCAATGGAGGTGGCCGGGCCAGTGACCCTCCCTAGAAGGGATAAGCCTCCTGAACGTGGCCAAGTATCAAGTTCTTGCTGTGTGCGCCAAGGAGTTCCAGCACCTTGTCCTGTTTGCAACAGCTCTATGTCAGCAGCTCAGAAGCCAACATTATTTGTCTCAATTAAGAGTGGGCTCTTTAACACCATTGTTTTAAAAAAATTTCTCCAACTGTGGGACTTACAGTGTGAGCCGTCAGCCGTCTGTGCACTGTTTTGGGGATTACGATAGATGTTTTGAATCAAGATGGTCTGCGGGGAAAAAAAAATAAAAAGGGGAATTCTACTGGCTGCTGTGCATATATTAGACAATTGCAAAGAGACAATTTGTTTGCAAATGGCTAAACGTTTGTTTTTTTCCCGCAAGTCAGACATTTGTCTTCTGAAGAGTACACCAAAACCATCATATTATGAAAACAGAGTTTGAGCAGTGACTTGGGTCAAGTCAGCCAGCAACCAAGAAGAAACTGTATTGTTTTGATTAGTCCCACGTTTTCAATGTTAAAGTGTTTTAATGCAAGATAAATAGTAGAATACTAATATTTTCTTGTACTTCAAGCTAGCAGACACCAAGATGTGGAAAAATTCACGTTATAATCATATTCCTCACACAAGATAATTTTTCAAAACCAAATGCGTAACTCAGCTGTCTGCAGTACATCAAGTTCTCTGGTCTCCTAGCAAAACAGGCACACCAAACAGGTCTGTCAACTGTCATGGACACCCGGCTCTGATTTACACTTTCTTGGTGGGATCTCTGTTTACATAATACAATAGCTTAAAACATTTGCTCTTTTCCGATCCTTCTTTTAAGGAAAAAAAATCCTTTTAGCCCTTGTGCTTTAAACTGGATCAGGCAGACTTGAAACCTTACACTGTACCGTTCTTCTTAAAATCAAGTTGTCTGAAAAAACAAACCATGTTTAAGTTAGTAGGCTAATATATTACATGAATCTTAACGTCCATATCACTGTAAGCAGCTTATAAAGAAACCCACCCTGAATTATGCTAGAGATTTACAAGCTAAAGCAATCACTCGCATGATTTAGAAAAATAAATGTTTAGTCTCAACAATATCCACGTGAAGCAGTTTTGTAAGTGGTGGTTTTATAAAACCAGCCAGCTCCATTTCTAGCTCTGTTTAAAGGGGAGTGGTTGTATGAAGAGTTCCTCAGTCAAAGGTGTGCAGCTGGGAAGCCCACCCCACCTAAGAGGGAGGTCTGACAAACTGTCCACACTGAACCACTCAGACCTGCATCAGGGCCCCGTTTCTTCCATAAGCCGCCAAGTACAGCCCTGAGTCAACTGAACTCAGGCCTGGGAGGCTTCCCAAAGCTGACTTGACTCAGCTTTGAACTGAAATGACCGTACCATGACAACCCTGATGAAAAGCTAAACTGAGCCCAATTATTCAACAGTAAAATTCAGTTGGTCTCACTCAGGTATTCTGGCAGTGGCTATTTAATGAAGGAAGCTTAACGTAAAGAGGCAATGCAGTCTAATGGGAAAGCCAAGGGTGGCTAGGATTGCCTAAAACCAACCAAAACAAACCCACGCATCAAACTAGGATGCTTAAGCTGACACATACTACTGACCCCATCGAGCTCCAATGGGCTCTCCCCAGCACTGACCTGGAATGCCTAAATTAACTTCACATTTCACATTCTCAGGTAATCTATGATCCAGAAAAACATAAAGAAAGTGCCTCCAGCCAGATTAAAGAAAACTTTTAGAATAGGGAACAGTTGATTTCTCTCAGCCCAACACTTGGGACACCCCCCAAAATCAAAGAACTGGGTGGTCACTTAAGATGCTTGGTTATACCACAATCCATGGCCACTGGTTTAGTTAGGGGAGATTCGGTTCATAAATCAAAACATTAAAGAAAAAACAATTGCAATACACAGAAAATGTAAAGCTAGTTCTCCAAGATTTTGAAATTTGTAAAAAGAAACTCATGTTCAGAGCTATCAAAAGACAGACTGCTATTATACTAACCACTTGGTAATTAGCATAATGGAGGGAAAAGCCATCATCCTCTTCCCTTCTAAAAACACTGTGTGCTGTGGGGTCGTCCATGGGCTTCAACCGGAAAAAACCCATGTTTCCTTCTCCCAGCTCACTTACACAAAGTGGTAGATTTTCTTAAATGCTTACAGGAAAACGTATACAGACAGATGTGAGCTCAAAGGCAGAGCCTGGCAGCTCCCAGGGACCACGCATAATAGCTACTCAACAGCTCAGAGGCTGCACATTTAGACTTCAAGGGTGGGTTGGAAGGAGTTCCCCAGCCCTCCATCTGGAAAGACTTGGGCATCGATTTTCAAATTTCAAATGTTCTCATCAACGTGGGCACAAGTTTTCTGCTCCGATTAGAGGTGCCTTCTCCCTTTAATCCGTAAGTGATCCTTTATAGTGTACCAACCTTTGCCTTTTCTTCAACTAACCAAAAATAAAACTATCAAAACTCACAACTTTTGATTGAACTGAACTCAGAGCGGATCTAAGCCCAAGATAACAGGCACTCCTCAATTAACCAAACAGACCCGCTAAGAGCAATTTACGGCCCATTTTCTACCTTTCAGCTTAATTTTTCATGTTTCCATGACGTGATGCGACTCGCTGTTTCCTCAGCTAGGGATGTGAAAGTGAGGACGCAGCCAGAGAAGCTCGAGCAGCATGATGGGCCTGGTGACAATCACGCTAACTTGGAAGGTGGCTCCATCACCTCTACTGTCTGGAGACAGCAAAGAGCAGAAAGCCCACTCCGTGTCCACTGGTGCCTGGAGGAGGCTAACCCAAGGCTGGCACGGCCACCCCCTCTGGACCCATGTCTATCAGAGGGGGTAGGGAAGATGGCAGGGCAGCAAATATCAGGCACAGCCAACACACAAACATCAAAAACTGATTTTTAAAGTTTCTCTAATGATAAAAACAAGGAGTGGTGGTCTCAGACCTTCCACTGGAAGTCGATCACCTGCCTCACTATTATTTAAATAAAAGAACACACTTATGAACACAAATGGAAAATACAACTACGAGAGAAAAAATGACTTGCTTAATATGTAGAAATTAACTGTCTTTGAAAAGAACATGAAGTTTTTATAATTTACATGAAAAAAAGGCAAACAAACCTGGCTAAACGTCGGTTTATTGTGCAACCGAGAGCACCTGTCTCCATGACGACATGCTCCAATTTTGAAATAAAATGAACAGTTGACTCTGTAAGGGAAAATGAGAGCTGATTATTTTGCTGGGAAGATATCAAACACATGGAATATGTCAGCAGCATGACATACACTATCAAATTACTTTTAACCTCACAGAAACATGACACAGACTTTTTTCCGTGGTATTAAGCACCTCCTCTTCCTTGCTGTATTTTAGGACAACGTAACTTCAACTTCCCTTTCTGCAAACACACTACTTGTTCAGCAAAGACGGTTCTAACTCTAACCCGCCTCCTCCTCATTCAAATCCCCTCCACTTTCCTAACTGCACAGCTGTTCTGTTTGTTTCTTAAATGGAGTATTAAATTAGTCTAAAACTAAATGTAACTTAGGCAGTATCTGTTCTCCAGTTCTCCACGACCAAGTTCTCTCTTGAAAACACCGGTGTGGTGAGGGTTAAGATCCCAACTCTGCTACCAGCTGCTTGGGCTTGGGCAAGTCACCCTAGCTCTCAGATGTCATCTGTAAATGATGACAATGCCAATGTGGCACTGTTCTGAGAGTCAGACAGAACGTATGTGTGCTTCACATATGGTGCTCATGAAGTGCTATCATTATCTAAGGAAAACAGAAAACGAAGTTCAGAGTCTCTCTAAACGCATGACACCAGACCAACAGGGAGTTTCAAAAAATAGGTCTGAAGTAAATCAATTCTCCTGGTCTCAATACACTGAAAACAAACTATTAGGGGACTGACCGAACCCACCTTAGGAACCACCTTACGTCACCTTCTGTCTCTACTGCAAAACCCTCCCTTAATACTGTTCAAATACGCTGACAATCCAGATCCATATCCAATGGAACCAGCAATCATGCCTGTGTGCCAGCAATGTCAGGGAGGGAAGCCGATCTCTGATGAATTAGGACATCTTACCAGACAGACTTTGTTCAAAATTCAATTTTTTTTTAACCAAGTGCCATTATGTTTTAAACAGTCAATCCAGAGTTAAGATTGAAGGGCCTCAACCTCAGTGAAATCTAATGGACCATGAAGACTGACTAGCCACTGATTTATTATCAGGTAGCAATAAAGATGGGAAAGTCCAAATTTATCAGGAGAGGAAAGTGATTATATATATTTGCAAACTTACAGGTCTTGAGATTATTTAACTTGATTAGACAATAGCATATCTTTAGGAAGTCATCTAAAAATAAAGAAAGCTTATTTAAAAACTACCTCAGAATGGGCAAGCCCTGGGCCTCAACAATTAATATCCAATTATTCCACACAATTAAACTACAGACAAGCTATTAGGATATCCCTGAATCTAGAAAACATCTATAACTTCAAACATATAATAAGCTAAACATTTTTTAATTGGTAGAGATCTATATTTTATTCTTAGCTTAAATAATAATTAAAGTTAATATGAACCATCAGCTTCATTTTTCAGGAGTTGATCCTGTTCCCTGGAAGCTAAAACCCCACGTCTCCCTGAAAAGAAAACACAAGTAACCTAGATTAAATAATCAACTTTTCTGAATTAAAACCATGACCTTTATAGTATAGCCCAATAGATTGAAATGTGGTTGCTTATAGCAGAAATATAGGGAGATAGACTTTTACAAGACAGAAGTCATGCCACATGCAAATATGAAAAGGAGAAATTAATGATGCCCCGATCCTACATGTGTTAGTTCTTCACCCTAAACTCAGAAGAGTCTCTTGTTCCGATAGAGCTGGTCTATTCATTCGCCAAGATCATACCGTGAGTTCCTTAAGGATAATATCCAAATTTTACCCATGTTTAAGTCTCCAGAAACTGACCTATAGTTGACCCCCACTAAATGTTTCTGGAGTGACTATAACTGGTAGATTTTGGCTTAAAATTTTGCTAGAAATATAGCCTCCTCATCCAAACAACACAGGAGATTCTACCATGTGTGAAGAGGACATTTTACAAGATAGACTCCATCCTGGAAAAGAGAAACATTTTAAATAGCGTTTGAAAAAAGTGGCATTAAAAACATCTATGACAAACTTAGGGGTTTATCATTGAAAACATAAAGTCATGTTAACTTTGTATGGCACTGAAGAATGCCAAGATAACTAAAGAGTAGATTAAGCCAGATGCTGAGTCTTTAGGTTTTCAAAGTAAGAATTATCCTTCAAACGTCTGAAAACATTCCATTTAGTCTAAACTACAGCCAACTCACTGGAAATTAGTACGTGCCAAGGTGGCAATTAAAGCTGAAATTAAATGTTTTGCTTTTAACCTAACGATTGATTAGGGAAGGCATGCAACCTTAAGGAAAAAATCAAAACATCTTTTTCCTTATATCAGAATTGTGTCTTCAAGAACAGTCACCGACTTACAAATTTTCAACTTAGATGATGGGTTTATCGGGGTATTAAAGGCATTTTCGATTCATGATGGGTTTATCGGAACGCAATCCCATGGTAAATCCAGGAGCACCTGTATGTTAAGAGCGGATCACGTCTCTTGTGGTTAGATAGTTAATCCAGTAGTCTCCACCATACTTTTTCTCGTCATATCTCCTTACTGCCGGCCCAGCGGTCGCTTAAACAGGCAAGAGGCTGGCTAAGTGGATAAAACACCAACGCTTAGGACCCTAAGTTAGATAAGCGACTGAATACTGGCGAGGCTGGTACCAGAGCTTGCTCGACAGGACATTCACAGCCGAAAGTTGGAACAAACGTGTCCACGTCCAAAAGGCCCGGATGCTCCAGGCAACTTTCAGCGCGGCTCGAGGCGGCTTCCGGGAGTCGGCGACTCGGAGGCCCGGACGTCGGGCGATCAGCCAGTCCGGACCCCAAGGCCGGAGAAAGCTCGGCCGCGGCGCCCCGAAAAGAGACCCCATTCATTCTGCCCGCTCCAGTTTTCCGCCGCGCGGCCCACGAGGCGGCGGCTCCGGAGGGCGCGCAAGGGGCCGGAAGGGCCACCGCTCCTTCCCGCCGCGCGCCCCTCCCCCGCCACCGCCGCGCCGGCCCGCCTGGGCCTCCCCGGTCGCCCTCCCACCGCCTCAACCACCCTGCGCCCCGATCGCGCCCAACCCCCGGCGGGGGGCTCCCACTCACTTGTCTTTCTCGGTGCCGAAGATGGAGGCCAGATACTCCGCCATTTCCCACCCGCCGCCGCCGCTGCCGTCGACACTGCTGCCGACGCCGCCGACCCTGCCGACGCCCTCGGGAGACGTCACCCGGACGCGACGACGCTCTTCCCCGCCCCGACGTGGCAGCGCTACCCAGTCAGGCGAGGTGCTGCCTGCGCGTGGGCGGGACGCATGCGCGTAGGGAGCACGTAGTGCGCGTGGGAGGCTCCGCCTTTTCGGTCCTGGGAACCCGCGCCCCCTGCCGGTGCCCTCCCCGCCCGGCCCTAGCTCTCTCGCCTTCTCGCCCGCCCGGCGCTGGCCCTGCTGGATCCTGCGCGCCGGGGACTGGGGGCTGGCAGTGCAGACCGAACCCGGGGCCGAGGGGCTTCTCCACAGAGCCGCCTGGGGCTCGGTGGGGGGCGCTCAGCTCGACCCCAGCTAAGGGAGCACTAGGAAGTGCGGGCGTCCCCTTCCCTGCACCCTTGCGGGGCGGGAACCGTCGACCTAGAAGAAAAAAAAAGCTGAGGCAAACTTGATATAAGTAGAGAGGTTATTTGGGCCAAGTTTGAAGATTGCAACCCGGGAGCATAGCTTCAAGTTGCCCTGAACATAGGATTTGCAACAGTGACAAGTGGGTTTATAAAGCTTAAGAGGGGGGCAGTTCTTAAATAGCTCACCAAGAATTTACATGAAAATAACAAGCTATTAATTGGCTGTACGTTGTTCTTTATATCATAATTCCAGGAAAGGAAGTTCATGGGTGAAGGCAGCGGGTCCGGAGCAATAGTGCCTTTAAACAATTGCCAGGCATGGGTGGGGACCGCTGAAGCCGCATAGACCTGTCTCTCCGGGCCGGATTAACCTCGCACGCCTCACATAGCTCGGACGCTCTGTGTTGTTTTTCTCTTCTCACACCCCTCTCCGCTTTACCCTCCCTCAGCGCTTGCCAGGTGCGACCTCCCCGGGGCCCTGCACTCTTGCAGTTGCCTGGCCAAGGCCACCCACAGGTGGAGCTGGAAGGCCAGTGACCTGCCTCTGGGATACCCTTTCAGTCTCCTCATGTCACAAGGCTGGAACCATTCCGTTGGAAGGGTTCTATTCCTCTCCTGCGTTTTAACCCCATCAAGCAGCCATTTTCATCTGGTTTCCCACATTCATCAACTCACCTGCGATTTACCTAATTTCCAACGCAACTATCAACTCTGATTAGGTAGAAGTCAGAGAGACAGGGCCTATTTTACTTACCTCCTCCACAAGATGAGCCCCAGACTGTGGGGCAGGACCATGGGATCCTCTTAGCTCGGCTAGAGCTGAATGCTGAGCTCTAGTGTTTGGGCGGATTTGCGTGTTAGAATTGCATTTCTCTTGGCAACAGAGCATCTTCCTACCTGGGAAAGATGAGCAAACTGGAAACCTGTATTAGAAACAGTAGGGCCTCAGAGGTTTAAACCAAAAAGTATCTTGAGACAGGGCTCAATCAATTTAGAAGTTTATTTTGCCAAGGTTAAGGACAATGCCTGGGAGGAAAAAAAACACGGTATCACAGAAACAGTCTGTGGTCTGTGCCTTTCTCCAAAGATGACTTTGAGGGCTTCAGTATTTAAAGGGGAAAAGTGGGCTGGAGGGGAAAGCGGAACAGTGTGGTAATCCACACGTTGCAAGAGAAAAGAAGCAGGTTGGGAACAGTCGACTGTGTACAGCTCACTCCTCAGCAAATCAGCACTTTACATAAGAGAAGCGGATGTTGAACCTTCTATCTGTAGCCGTCTGCTTAGGAACGAAAGGAAAGGCAGCTGCTTACATGACTCAGCTTTCAGCTCATTCTTTTCCTTTTGACAGAGTGAACTGGGGTCCTGACTTTTGTGTTCCTTTCGCAGAGGTGAGGCCAGAGAAGTGACAAGACAGATGCCAGTCCAGCAGGTGGGCATGTCCAGAAAGTGCAGCCTCAGGACACGGTCTGGGAACAAAGACTGCTGGAGAGTTGGAAGCTGGCAAGAGGCTCTCAGCTGTGAAGTACCTGGGGTGGGGGAGAAGTGGTCGGAGAAAGCAGAGGTAAGGTCTGTGCGTGGGAACTGAACTGAAATCCACAGCTCTATTACAAGGAATTAATCTGGTTACTAGAACCAGGGTAGATGATCAGACCAGGCAGGGCCACCAGTACCATCCACCCATTTTTCCTGAGAAAAGAAAAATAGGGTAGTCTGAGCTCTGTGAGGTGTGCAGAATGATCAGGCCCAGAGAGGCAGGAGTGTGGGACTTCATTCAGCGCCTCTTCCACCATAGAAGCAACTGTCCAGGGCAATTGTTTGATGGAATTTTTGCTCCTGACAGGCTGCCTCACCCATTATCTTCTTGTTCACATGGAATTAGTGATGCTAAGAACGATGCATAGCCAATCAGCACCTTCTGTTATTTTAATGCAAATTCTTGCTAACAACTTAGGGACTGCCTCTTCCTTTTCCTTAAAACCCCACTGTGACTGCTGCTAATGGGAACATATGTTCAGGGCAACCTAGGGGCATGTGCCCAGGGAGCCATCCTCAAGCTTTGGGCTCAAATAAACTCTATACTTAATCATATTTCCTGAATTTCATTATTTGAGGTTGACATTTTGGCAACCCAGATAGGACCTGAAGCAGGCCTTCAGGGATTGCCACTAAGTAGTGGCATCAATAGTTGGAGCCTTGGTACCAGCACAAACGACTGTTGTTTACTCGACCTCACTGGGGCTGGCAGGGGTCTCTGGTAAGGCCAGTCTTGGGATCTGAATCCTCCCAGCTTAGTTGAAGATTGAGACTTACACACTAATAATTTGATAGGGTTAGAACTGAAGCTCCACTGAAAGGTAGGAGTTTCCATTTTTATTCTCTAGAGATTCTGTTGACTGCAGATTTGTGATTTTCACTTCTGTCTGAGGTTTTGCTTGTCTTTTTACAGTTTGCAGCCTTTTCTCTCATTCGAAATTTGGTCAAGGAGAAAGTGTCATCTTTAAAACTGGCCATATTCTGAAACTTGGTTCAACTGACAAATCTAAACATTCTTCTTCTTCTTCTTTTTTTTTTTTTTTTTTTTTTTTTTGAGACAGAGTCTCGCTCTGTCGCCCAGGCTGGAGTGCAGTGGCATGATCTCGGCTCACTGCAACCTCTGCCTCCTCAGTTCAGGCAGTTCTCTGCCTCAGCCTTCTAAGTAGCTGGGATTAGAGGCGCCTGCCACCATGCCCTGCTAATTTTTTGTATTTTTAGTAGAGTTGGGGTTTCACCATCTTGGCCAAGCTGATCTTGAACTCCTGACCTCGTGATCCCCCTGCCTCGGCCTTCCAAAGTGCTGGGATTACAGGCGTGAGTCACCGCGCTTGGCCATTTTCTTCTTTAGTGACCAAAATTCCTCCCCTTAGGCATTTTTGGTCATTCAGAAGGAAAATCTAAATTATGGACACTTGTGCTTCTAGAGCAGACATGCATCTGCAGAGACGGCAGCTGGATTCGTGGACAATGCTTATGGTGCCACCTTCTGTCAGTATCTAGAAACATGGTCTCACTTAACCCGTGAAGACCCCAGACTATAATAGCTAAAATGGGGCGCCTTTAAAGTAACTAGTTTATGCACTCAATAGGAAAAATCTGCATCTAAAATTTAAAAACTGAGAGAGCTATTTTTCAATGATACTTAGAAGCTTCTAAAAGAAGTTCTGATGAAGTCATTTCTTTGCAAGAAGAAAACAGAAGATTATCTGAAACTATTTCTTTTGTTTGTTTGTTTTGAGACAGAGTCTTGCTCTGTTACCCAGGCTGGAGTGCATTGGCGTGATCTTGGCTCACTGCAACCTCTGCCTCCCAGGTTCAAACGATTCTTCTGAGCTGGGATTACAGGCATCCCCCACCTTGCCTCGCAATTTTTTTTTTTTTTTTTTTGAGACAGAGTTTCATTCTTGTTGCCCAGGCTAGAGTGCAGTGGCACGATCTCAGCTTGTTGCAACCTCCCCCTCCCGGGTTCAAGCGATTCTTCTGCCTCAGCCTCCCAGTAGCTGGGATTACAGACACCCACCACCATGCCTGGCTAATGTTTTGTGTTTTTAGTAGAGACAGGGTTTCACCATGTAGGCCAGGCTGGTCTCGAACTTCTGATCTCAGGTGATCCACCAGCCTTGGCCTCCCAAAGTGCTGGGATTACAGGTGTGAGCCACCACGCCCAGCCATCCACAGTTCTTTTTAAAATTTAGAAGTAGTTTCAGGCTGGGTGAGGTGGCTCACACCTGTAATCCCAGCACTTTGGGAGGCCAAGGTGGGTGGATCACGAGGTCAGGAGTTCAAGACCAGCCTGGCCAAGATGGTGAAACCTCATCTCTATTAAAAATACAAAAATTAGCCGGGCATGGTGGCGGGCGCCTGTAATCCCAGCTACTTGGGAGGCTGAGGCAGAGAATCACATGAAACCCAGGAAGCGGAGGTTGCAGTGAGCCAAGATGGCGCCACTGTACTCCAGCCTGGGTGACAGAGTGAGACTCTGTCTCAAAACAAAAACAAAAACAAACAAACAAAAAGACCATGGAGGCTTTCTCCTGTTTGTTTCCAGCTGCTGCTTCTCCTTCTGCCTCTGGGATGATCTAAACTCATCTCTTTCTGCCTGTTCCCTCAGCTCCCATACATCTCTTAAGCAGTGTTTTTGGAATTCCACAATGCACACATTTCCTTCTCTCAAAAAGGGGAAAGTATATTTAAATTTGGAACAGACTGGGTGCGGTGGCTCACACCTGTAATCCCAGCACTTTGGGAGGCCAAATTGGGCAGATCACCTGAGGTCAGGAGTTCGAGACCAGCCTGGCCAACAGGGTGAAAACCCGTCTCTACTAAAAATAAAAAAAGATTAGCGGGGAGTGGCTGCGGGCTCCTGTAATCCCAGCTACTTGGGAGACTGAGGCAGGAGAATCACTTGAATCCGGGAGGCAGAGGTCGCAGTGAGCCGAGACGGCGCTATCGCACTCCAGCCTGGGCGACAAGAAGGAAACTGCGTCTCAAAAAAACCCAAAACAACAACAACAACAAAAATAAAAAATAAAAAATAAAAGAAATAGGCCAGAAAAGAAATGTTAGCTCAAGCCTGTAATCCCAACACTTTGGGAGGCCAAGGCTGGTGGATCACATGAGGTCAGGAGTTCAAGACCAGTCTGGCCAACATGGTGAAACCCCATCTCTACTAAAAACACATGTGGTGGCATGTACCTGTATTCCCAGCTACTCGGGAGGCTGAGGCAGGAGAATCGCTTGAACCCAGTAGGTGGAGGTTGCAGTAAGCTGAGATGGTGCCACTGCACTCCAGCCTGGGCGACAGAGCGAGATGCTGCCAAAAAGAAAAAGAAAAAGAGAAAGGAAGGGAGGGAAGGAGGGAGGGAAATTAAAAAAATAAAATGCTAACATCCAGGGAATTAGTTCAGCTGAGATCAGATCTGAAACAAGTCAAAACCCTTTAAATGCTCAAACTGCCTGCTCTGGAGCCCCTGCAGGGTTTGTCAGTGCTCCAGCCTGTGGGCCAGAGGCTATGAGTCTCTACAAACATGAGGCTATGTTTGCAGCCTGGGTTCAATTTCCAGTCCTGTTTTTTTTTTTTTTTTTTGAGACGGAGTCTTGCTGTGTTGCCCATGCTGGAGTGCAGTGGCATGATCTCGGCTCAGTGCAGCCTCCGCCTTCCAGGTTCCAGCAGTTCTCCTGCCTCAGCCTCCCGAGTAGCTGGGATTATAGGTGCCCACCACCACGCCCAGCTAATTTTTTGTATTTTTAGTACAGACAGGGTTTCACCATGTTGGCCAGGCTGGTCTTGAACTCCTGACCTCAGGTGATCTGCCTGCCTCGGCCTCCCAAAGTGCTGGGATTACAGGTGTGAGCCACCGCGCCTGGCCTTCTTTTTTTTTTTTTTTTTTTTTTGAGATGGAGTTTCGCTCTCGTCACCCAGGCTGGAGTGCAATGGCATGGTCTAAGCTCACTGCAACCTCCACCTCTCAGGTTCAGTCAATTCTTCTGCCTCAGCCTCCCAAGTAGGTGGGATTACAGGTGCTCACCACCACGCCTGGCTAATTTTTGTGTTTTTAGTAGAGATGGGGTTTCACCATGTTGGCCAGGCTGGTCTCGAACTCCTGACGTCAAGTGATCCACCCACCTCAGCTTCCCAAAGTGCTGGGATTACAGGTGTGAGCAGCAAGATTTCTTTTTCTGAGCTGTCTTTAGAGTGGTTCTGACGCTTAGGAAGACTGCTTTGCATTTCTTTGGAGATGCTTGGTTCAGCCTTGGTTAAGTCATGACCTTCGTTATGCCATTACCTTGGTTAAATCTTTGTTTTTGAGATGGAGTCTCGCTGTGTCACCCAAGCTGGAGTGCAGTGGTGCGATCTTGGCTCACTGCAACCTCTGTCTCCTGGGTTGAAGCAATTCTCCTGCCTTAGCCTCCCGAGTAGCTGGGATGACAGGTGCATGCCACCACACCTGGCTAATTTACCTTGGTTAAGTCTCACTGGTTTTGTGAGTAACTTGAAAATGTCCATTTCGTTTTTTTTTTTTGAGATGGAGTTTCGCTCTCATTGCCCAGGCTGGAGTGTAATGGCCTGATCTCGGCTCACTGCAACTTCGGCCTGCCAGGTTCAAGCGGTCCTCCTGCCTCAGCCTCCCAAGTAGCTGGGATTACATGCATGCACCACCACACCTGGCTAATTTTGTATTTTTAGTAGAGACAAAGTTTCACCATGTTGGCCAGGCTGGTCTTGAACTCCTGATCTCAGGTGATCCACCCACCTTGGCCTCCCAAAGTGCTGGGATTACAGACATGAGCCACCGCACCCGGCCAAGTTTTTTCTTTTTTTATATGTAATAAGTTGGATAAAGTGTTTATAAAAAGTTAAAAGTAGGCCCTCAAGCAGGTAAAGTAGGCTTGCTTCTTTTCAGAGCTATCCATGCTGATTCCAGGCATAGAGAATGCCTCCTTTGCCCTATTCATTAAAGGGCTTCACCCTGAAGTCAGTAATCTAATAGAGAAACAAGCTAAGTTGAAAAGACCCTGTGATGGTTAATATTAGCTGTCAACCTGATTGGATTGAAGGATGGTAAAGTATTGTTCTTGGGTGTGTTGTGAGGGTGTTGCCAGAGGAAATTGACATTGGAGTCAGTGGACTGAGAGAGGAAGACCCACCCTCAGTGTGGGTGGGCACCATCCGATTGGCTGACAGTGTGGCTGGAACAAAGCAGGTGGAGGAGGGTGGGAGAAGCTGGCTTGCTGAGTCTTCTGGCTTTTGTAGCCACCCAGTGAGTTCACCTAGCCGGCTGCCTAGATGGAGCGGATTTATCAGGACAGGGGAATTGCAATGCAGAACGAGTAATTTACACAGAGCTACCTGTGCGGGCGACTGGAGTTTTATTATTACTCAAATTAGACATCCCAAGAATTTGCAGATCAGAGTTTTTAAAGATAATTTGGCGGCTCAGGAAGTAGGAGTGCTGATTGATCTGGCTGGAGATGGAATCACAGGGAGGTCAAAGTGAGGTTTCCTTGCTGTCTTCTGTTCCTGGGTACAATGGCAGAACTGGCTGAGCCAGATAGCCGGTCTGTGTGGTATCAGCTGATCCATAGAGTACAGGGTCTTGCAGAATAAATACCTCAAGCACTGATCTTCGGATTACAATGGTGATGTTATCCCCAGGAGCAATTTCGGGAGGTTTGGACAGCCAGAGGCTGGATGACCTTTAAATCAAAATTTCTTTTTTTTTTTTTCAAAGAAGCCCCATTTTATTACAGAGAGCATACAAAGCCGTTTCCTCATAAGGAAAAGTACAGCTTCCCTTCTCCAGGGTGACAGATGAGCCTTTTCTGAAGTTCTCAGCTTTCTCTTCTATCGATATTTCCCATGTCAGTTAAAGTGTTTGTAGAGACAGCTGATGCGTTTATTGAGGTTGTGCAGCTCATCAGCAAACATTCTGTTTCCAACCATTTTCTTCTTTAGCATACAGCGTTGCAATTCATTCCCCTTCCAATCTCGAAGCCATATGGGGTCCCTGATCAGCTTTTGGGGTGCTTTTCAAAGTTTCCCAGGATCCTGATGTTGTCATACACTCTGAACATGGCCATCCTTTCGTTCCAAGGATCAACTACTTTGGGGGGTAGGAGCCTTATACCAATCAATCTAGGAATACCAAGAAAGAAGCTTCTGCATGCCACACCTAGTCCCACAGGCGCCTACCTGCCCTACATAAGAGGCTCCCTGCCATTTCTCTAGTCTGCCCCTTCAACAGCACACCAAATAAGCCCAAGAATGAGGACCAGATGTGGCCTTCAAGAAGACAACAGGAACCGTCCCTGTCGACTTCACACGGGTACTAACGTGAAGGCAGCCACCTTGGGCCTTAAAATTTCTAATCTTGTAGCTAATTTGTTACTCCTACAAAGGCAGACTGGTTCCTAGGCAAGAAGGGGATCTTTCTGGGAAATGGCTATTATCAATTTTGTTTCAGAGTCAAACTATAAGCTAAATTCCTTCCCAAGGTTAGTTGGCCTGTGCCCAGGCATGAACAAAGACAGCCTAAAGGTTAGAAGCAAGATGGAGTCAGGTAGGTCTGATCTCTTTCACTGTCATCATTTCCTCAGTTGTAATTTTTGCAGAGGCAGTTTCACTTTCATCTTTCTCCTGTGCTGGATGCCTCCTCCGTTCCCCCTGCCCTTGGACATCAGACTCCAGGTTCTTTGGCCTTTGGACTCTTGGACTTAAGCCAGTGGTTTGCTTGGGACTCTCGGGCCTTCAGCCACAGATTGAAGCCTGCACTGTTGGCTTCCCTACTTTTGAGGCTTTTGGACTCCGACTGAGCCACTCCTGGCTTCCTTCTTCTGCAGCTTGCAGACGGTGTATCATGGGACTTCACCCTGTGATGGTGTGAACTAGTTCTCCCTAATATACTCCCTTTCATATATATGTCTATTCTGTTAGTTCTGCCCCTCTGGAGAACCCTAACTAATGCAGACCCTTGTGTAACTTTGATATCCAAAATATGGCTTTCTAGCATTTAGCTGGCTATTTTGAAACTCTTTGTAAAAAAAATTTATATATATGAAGGAAATCTCCATTTGTAAGGGTGTCTCCCTCCCTGCACCCAAACTGCTAGAAACTGAAGATGGGGAAGACATTGGCTGAAGACACTGTCTTACAGTTTACATCACAGACCTTGCCTTCGGTGGAAATACTTTTCCTGGCAACCTCGTCTTCACTAGGTGTAGGGACCAGCCCCACAGGATCGGTGGGTTTTTCTCCCCATGTGCAGAGACGAGAGATTGTAGAAATAAAGACACAAGACAAAGAGATAAAAGGAAAGACAGGTGGGCCTGGGGGACCACTAACACCAAGATGCGGAGACCGGTAATGGCCCCGAATGTCTGGCTGCGTTGTTATTTATTGGATACAAAGCAAAAGGGGCAGGGTAAAGAGTGTGAATCATCTCCAGTGATAGGTAGGGTCACGTGGGTCACGTATCCACTGGACAGGGGGCCCTTCCCTGCCTGGCAGCCGAGGCAGAGAGGGGGAGAGAGAGAGACAGCTTGCGCCATTATTTCTGCATATCAGAGACTTTTAGTACTTTCACTAATTTGCTACTGCTATCTAGAAGGCAGAGCCAGGTGTACAGGATGGAACATCAAGGCGGACTAGGAGTGTGACCACTGAAGCACAGCGTCACAGGGAGATGGTATGCCTTCGGATAACTGAAGGTGGGCCTGAGGCCCTCCACAAGAGATGGAGGAGTAGAGTCTTCTCTGAACTCCCATGGGGAAAGGGAGACTCCCTTTCCCGGTCTGCTAAGTAGCCGGTGTTTTTCCTTGACACTGACGCTACTGCTAGACCATGGTCCGCTTGACAACAGGCGTCTTCCCAGACGCTGGCGTTACTGCTAGACCAAGGAGCCCTCTGGTGGCCCTGTCCGGGCATAACAGAAGGCTCGCATGCTTGTCTTCTGGTCACTTCTCACTATGTCCCCTCAGCTCCTGTGTCTGTATGGCCTGGTTTTTCCTAGGTTATGATTGTAGAGCGAGGATTATTGTAATATTGGAATAAAGAGTAATTGCTACAAACTAATGATTAATGATTTTCATATATAATCATGTCTATGATCTAGATCTAGTATAACTCTTGTTGTTTTATATATTTTATTATACTGGAAAAGCTCGTGCCCTCGGTCTCTTGCCTCGGCACGTAGGTGGTTTGCCGCCCACAACTAGGCTTTTACCTACACCCTTCTTCCTTGGTTTGAATTCAGCTCTGTGCTTTTGAGATGTGAATTTTTTCTACTTTGTTTCACCTCAGTCATCCCTTTAGAAGTGCCAATTTAGTGTTGCCTAGCTAACAGTTGCTTAGGGATCATGTAAAAGGGGGAAATAAAAACTATTTGAGAGCATAATCAGGTTAAGTATTAATGCTAAAACTTACTTTACAAGTTAGTTGGTCTTGCTAAGATTTCTCTTTGGTAGAAATGGGGAATTGGAGAGAAGATTCTTTATAAAAACTATAAGATCTGCTTCTGTCTGTATGTCTATATGTTTATATGTGTCATGTGTATGTGATATTTCACTACCAAAATATATGAAAAAGCTATAATTAATTGGCTTAAAGAAGGGACTGCTTGGCTGGGTGCAGTGGCTCACACCTGTAATCCCAGCACTTTGGGAGGCGAAGGTGGGTGGATCATGAGGTCAGGAGATCGAGATCATCCTGGCTAACATGGCGAAACCCCATCTCTACTAAAAATACAAAGAAAAATTAGCCAGGCGTGGTGGCAGGCGCCTGTAGTCCCAGCTACTCAGGAGACTGAGGCAGGAGAATGGCGTGAACCTGGGAGGCGGAGCTTGCAGTGAGCCAAGATCGCGCTACTGCACTCCAGCCTGGGTGACAGAGGGAGACTGAGTCTAAAAAAAAAAGCACAGTGATGCTAGGCCAGAGTCTGGGCCCCTGTGTCTGAACAGTAGGTTTTCTTGGAGTATTGGTGTGCTCTTTAATAGAAAATTGTAAGAGTTGGGCCGGGCATGGTTGTTCATCCTTGTAATTCTAGCACTTTGAGGCCATGAGATTGAGACCAGCCTGGGTAGGATAGTGAGACCCTATCACTGTTATTTTAAAAATTAGGAAAAAGAAAATTGTAAGAGTTTATAAAAGGTTTTTGGGAATCTTACTTTGTATGGTCAAAGCTGCCTGAGAATGGACGATTGATAATACACTAATATAAAAGTTAAATCTTGTTTTCTCTGTTGAATAAGAATTTCATGTTGTGTTAAGAAGAGATAGTAAGCTGGGTGTGGTGGCTTATGCCTGTAATCCCAGCACACTGGGAGGCCAAGGTGGGTGGATCACTTGAGGTCAGCAGTTCAAGACCAGCATGACCAACATGGTGAAACCCTGTCTCTACTAAAAATACAAAAATTAGCCAGGTGTGGTGGTATATGCCTGTAATCTCAGCTACTTGGGAGGCTGAGGCAGGAAAATCGCTTGAACTCGGGAGGTGGAGGTTGCAGTGAGCTGAAATTGTGCCACTGCACTCCAATCTGGGCAACAGAGCGAGACTCTATCTAAAAAAAAAAAAGTAAAAGATTTGTTTACCTTTTGAATAAACTGCAAAAAAAGGGGGCTGGGAGAATTTGCCTCATGCTATCTTTATTATGTCTCTTGATTGGGAACTGAGTCTCTGCTCTATTTTAGAGTAAAAGAGTTGCTCTTTGAAATCTTTATTTATTTTTTTTATTATACTTTAAGTTCTAGGGTACATGTGCACAATGTGCAGATTTGTTACATATGTATACATGTGCCATGTTGGTGTGCTGCACCCATTAACTCGTCATTTACATTAGGTATATCTCCTAATGCTATCCCTCCCCACTCCCCTCACCCCACAACAGGCCCCGGTGTGTGATGTTCCCCTTCCTGTGTCCAAGTGTTCTCATTGTTCAATTCCCCCCATGAGTGAGAACATGCGGTGTTTGGTTTTTTGTCCTTGCGATAGTTTGCTGAGAATGATGGTTTCCAGCTTCATCCATGTCCCTACAAAGGACATGAACTCATCCTTTTTTATGGCTGCATAGTATTCCATGGTATATATGTGCCACATTTTCTTAATCCAGTCTATCATTGATTGACATTTAGACACAAGTCTTTGCTATTGTGAATAGTGCCGCAATAAACATGCGTGTGCATGTGTCTTTATAGCAGCCTGATTTATAATCCTTTGGGTATATACCCAGTAATGAGATGGCTGGGTCAAATGGTATTTCTAGTTCTAGATCCTTGAGGAATCACCACACTGACTTCTACAATGGTTGAACTAGTTTACAGTTCCACCAACAGTGTAAAAGTGTTCCTATTTCTCCACATCCTCTCCAGCACCTGTTGTTTCCTGACTTTTTAATGATCGCCATTCTAACTGGTGTGAGATGGTATCTCATTATGGTTTTGATTTGCATTTCTCTGATGGCCAGTGATGATAAGCATTTTTTCATGTGTCTGTTGGCTGCATAAATGTCTTCTTTTGAGAAGTGTCTGTTCATATCCTTTGCCCACTTTTTGATGGGGTTGTTTGTTTTTTTCTTGTAAGTTTGTTTGAGTTCTTTGTAGATTCTGGATATTAGCCCTTTGTCAGATGAGTAGATTGCAAAAATTTTCTCCCATTCTGTAGGTTGCCTGTTCACTCTGATGGTAGTCTCTTTTGCTGTGCAGAAGCTCTTTAGTTTAATTAGATCCCATTTGTCAATTTTGGCTTTTGTTGCCATTGCTTTTGGTGTTTTAGACATGAAGTCCTTGCCCATGCCTATGTCCTGAATGGTATTGCCTAGGTTTTCTTCTAGGGTTTTTATGGTTTTAGGTCTAACATTTAAGTCTTTAATCCATCTCGAATTAATTTTTGTATAAGGTGTAAGGAAGGGATCCAGTTTCAGCTTTCTACATATGGCTAGCCAGTTTTCCCAGCACCATTTATTAAATAGGGAATCCTTTCCCCATTTCTTGTTTTTGTCAGGTTTGTCGAAGATCAGATGGTTGTAGATGTGTGGTATTGTTTCTGAGGGCTCTGTTCTATTCCATTTGTCTATATCTCTGTTTTGGTACCAGTACCATGCTGTTTTGGTTACTGTAGCCTTGTAGTATAGTTTGAAGTCAGGTAGTGTGATGCCTCCAGCTTTGTTCTTTTGGCTTAGGATTGTCTTGGCAATGTGGGTTCTTTTTTGGTTCCATATAAACTTTAAAGTAGTTTTTTCCAATTCTGTGAAGAAAGTCATTGGTAGCTTGATGGGGATGGCATTGAATCTATAAATTACCTTGGGCAGTATGGCCATTTTCACGATATTGATTCTTCCTATGCATGAGCATGGAATGTTCTTCCATTTGTTTGTGTCCTCTTTTATTTCTTTGAGCAGTGGTTTGTAGTTCTCCTTGAAGAGGTCCTTCACATCTCTTGTAAGTTGGATTCCTAGGTATTTTATTCTCTTTGAAGCAATTGTGAATGGGAGTTCACTCATGATTTGGCTCTCTGTCTGTTATTGGTGTACAAGAATGCTTGTGATTTTTGCACATTGATTTTGTATCCTGAGACTTTGCTGAAGTTGCTTATCAGCTTAAGGAGATTTTGGGCTGAGACAATGGGGTTTTCTAAATATACAATCATGCCATCTGCAAACAGGGACAATTTGACTTCCTCTTTTCCTAATTGAATACCCTTTATTTCCTTCTCCTGCCTAATTGCCTTGGCCAGAACTTCCAACACTACATTGAATAGGAGTGGTGAGAGAGGGCATCCCTGTCTTGTGCCGGTTTTCAAAGGGAATGCTTCCAGTTTTTGCCCATTCAGTATGGTATTGGCTGTGGGTTTGTCATAAATAGCTCTTATTATTTTGAGATATGTCCCATCAATACCTAATTTATTGAGAGTTTTTAGCATGAAGGGCTGTTGAATTTTGTCAAGGCCTTTTCTGCATCTATTGAGATAATCATGTGGTTTTCGTCTTTAGTTCTGTTTATATGCTGATTTAATATATAATGTTAAATCAATAAACATTATATGTTTATTGATTTGCGTATATTGAACCAGCCTTGCATCCCAGGGATGAAGCCCACTTAATCATGGTGGATAAGCTTTTTGATGTGCTGCTGGATTCGGTTTGGCAGTATTTTACTGAGGATTTTTGCATCAGTGTTCATCAGGGATATTAGTCTAAAATTCTCTTTTTTTGTTGTGTCTCTGCCAGCCTTTGGTATCAGGATGATGCTGGCCTCATAAAATGAGTTAGGGAGGACTCCCTCTTTTTCTGTTGATTGGAATAGTTTCAGAAGGAATGGTACCAGCTCCTCCTTGTACCTCTGGTAGCATTCAGCTGGGACTACAGGTGCCCACCACCACATCCGGCTAATTTTTGTATTTTTAGTAGAGACGGGGTTTCACCACGTTGGCCAGGCTGGCCTCAAACTCCTGACCTCAGGTGATCTACCAGCCTCGACCTCCCAAAGTGCTGGGATTACAGGTGTGAGCCACCATGCCAGGCCGTAAACCACTTTTCGAAAAGAATCAAAGTAAAACAGTAATTGTCTACGGATGACAAAAGACTTATAGTAGCCATAGTTAAAGATGCCTGTGACAAGGAAAATTGGTTATTTCTGTGGCATCTAACAATGTAACATCATAATCATAATTATGACTGATAACATATACCAGGACATATCAAAATTTTAGAAATCTCATATGATTTTGGAACAAATATTAATCACACATTTATACTTGTGTGATACACATATAACTCAAAGAAAGTTAAACGCTATTGTTTATTTGACAATGCTTCCTGTATGATTCTAACATACCGAGTAAGCCTACTATTTGGATTTCCAGGAGTTTCTATTTGTTATGTCCAGGTTATGTCCACATTAGTTCAGGTCAAAAAGACTTAATTTTAGAATTTGAAATTTGATTTTTGGCTGGGTACAGTGGCTCACACTGGTAATCCCAGCACATTGGGAAGCCAAGGAAGGCAGATCGCTTGAGCCCAGGAGTTCAAGATCAGCCTGGACAATATGATCAAGCCTCATCTCTAAAAAAAGAATTTAAAAATTAAGCTGAGTGTGGTGGCGTGCATCTGTAGTCTCAGCTGCTCTAGAGGCTGAGGTGGGAGTACTGCTTGAGCCCAGGAGGGAGAGGTTACAGTGAGCCATGACTGTGCCACTCCAGCCTGAGTAAAAGAGTGAGACCCTATCTCAAAAAACAAAAAAAAAATTGATTTTGGGAAGTATGTCAAATATCAAAGGTTTAAAACATTTGATATCAAAATATGGCCAGACACAGTGGCTCACGCCTATAATCACAGCACTTTGGGAGGCCGAGGTGGGTGGATCACCTGAGGTCATGAGTTCAAGACCAGCCTGACCAACGTGGCAAAACCCTATCTCTACTAAAAATACAAAAATTACCCAGGTGTGATGGTGCACACCTGTAATCCCAGCTAGTTGGGTGGCTGAGGTAGGAGAATCATTTGAATCCAGGAGGCGGAGGTTGTAGTGAGCTGAGATCACACCACTACACTCCAGACTGGGTGACAGAGCGAGATTCCATCTAAAAAAAAAAAAAAAGGAAAAAAGAAAACATTTGATATCAAAATAGGATCACAGGTCTGTGTAAAATAAGTCATTCATTTAGCCAGAATGGGAGAGAGCAGTGGTTCTCCCAGCACGGAGTTTGAGATCTGAGAACGGACAGACTGCCTCCTCAAGTGGGTCCCTGACCCCCAAGTAGCCTAACTGGGAGGCACCCTCCAGAAGGGGCAGACTGACACCTCACATGGCCGGGTACCCCTCTGAGACGAAGCTTCCAGAGGAACGATCAGGCAGCAACATTTGCTGTTCAGCAATATTCACTGTTCTGCAGCCTCTGCTGCTGATACCCAGGCAAACAGGGTCTGGAGTGGACCTCCAGCAAACTCCAACAGACTTGCAGCTGAGGGTCCTGACTGTTAGAAGGAAAACTAACAAACAGAAAGGACATCCACACCAAAACCCCATCTGTACATCACCATCATCAAAGACCAAAGGTAGATAAAACCACAAAGATGGGGAAAAAACAGAGCAGAAAAGCTGAAGATTCTAAAAATCAGAGCGCCTCTCCCCCTCCAAAGGAATGCAGCTCCTCACCAGCAATGGAACAAAGCTGGACAGCACTAAATACCCACAAGAGAAAGCAGGAAAGTTCTAAAATTGACACCCTAACATCACAACTAAAAGAACTAGAGAAGCAAGAGCAAACACATTTAAAAGCTAGCAGAAGACAAGAAATAACTAAGATCAGAGCAGAACTGAAGGAGATAGAGACACAAAAAACCCTTCAAAAAATCAATGAATCCAGGAGCTGGTTTTTTGAATAGATCAACAAAATTGATAGACCGCTAGCAAGACTAATAAAGAAGAAAAGAGAGAAGAATCAGATAGACGCAATAAAAGATGATAAAGGGGATATCACCACCAATCCCACAGAAATACAAACTACCATCAGAGAATACTATGAACACCTCTACACAATAAAACTAGAAAATCTAGAAGAAATAGATAAATTCCTGGACACATACACCCTCCCAAGACTACACCAGGAAGAAGTTGAATCCCTGAATAGACCAATAACAGGCTCTGAAATTGAGGCAATAATTAATAGTCTACCAACCAAAAAAAGTCCAGGACCAGATGGATTCACAGCTGTGGTCCCAGCTACTTGGGAGGCTGAGGCAGGAGAATCGCTTGAACCCTGGAGGTGGAGATTGCAGTGAGCTGAGATCACACTGCTGCACTCCAGCCTGGGAAACAGAGGGAGACTCTATCTCAAAAAAAAAAAAAAAAGAAAAGAAAAAAGAAAAGAAAAAAAGTGGTTTACAATCAGCTGCAGTCCAAAGTTTATCTTTTCTTCAAGGAAATTCATGGAAAGGACACTGAGAAGTACTCTTGAATACAGGTTTCTAATAAACTTAGAGATCATACCATTGGACTAGGTAAAAACTTCCACAACACTAATGAAAAACTGATGCATTCATGAAGATTTCTAATCCAGCATCAGGCATTACAATAATTAATTACACCGGACTGAAATTATTTTTATGACTTTTTTGTTGAAACATTGCTAACTCTTTTTGTTTTGTTTTCGAGAGTTAAGAAAACTTTTGTTTTTTTTTTTTTGAGATGGAGTTTCGCTCTTGTTGCCCAGGCTGTAGTGCAGTGGTGCAATCTCGGCTCACTGCAACCTCCGCCTCCCGGGTTCAAGCGATTCTTCTGCCTCAGCCTCCTGAATAGCTGGGATTATAGGTGTGCGCCACCATGCCTTTAGTAGAGACGGGGTTTCACCATGTTGGCCAGGCTGGTCTCGAACTCCTGACATCAAGTGATCCACCCTCCTTGGCCTCCCAAAGTGCTGGGATTACAGGCGTGAGCCACAGTACCTGGCCAAAAACTTTAAAAAAAAAAATCTGTTTAGAGCTTATAGCAATTGGGTAAAATATATTTTTGTGAGCAAAATTGAAGCATTTATCTTTCTACCTGATTTCTCCAGAATTCAGAAACTATGAATGAGTATTCTTATTTTATTGTAATATAATTATTTGCATAATTTTAGTAAAAAATTTTTTTCCTTTGTTAACAGAACACAATTGAAGGCACTGGTTATTCTAGCAAGGCTTTGACTGGAATGGCATATTTTCAGATATGACCAGACTGCTCTGAGGAATTCAGGTTGGCTTTATAGAGTCAATAAAAAGCTACCTGGAAAGAGTGGCCATGTACCTTATCTATACAGTTCCCTTACAAGGTTCCTGATCTTGAGGTAAGTAAATAATGTCCCTTTCTGACAGGCCCAGGAACCTCAAATATTTTGGGGCCTTGAGAAAAGAGGAACTCACCCAGTTCATGCAGGTGTTACAGGCACAATCTGAAGATGAATCTTTGGCTTTTTAAAGCCTCAGATTAAAAAGTCTAATCTGAAATTCTCTATGAAAATTCCTTCAAAGCCAACTTGAAAAGAACCTTTATGATCAGTCATTATTCTTGTTCCACTTTATGCAAATAATGAAGCTGAATATAATGCTAAAACTTATTTTACAAGTAACTTGGTCCCACTAAGATTTATCTTTGGTAGAAATGGGGAATCTGAGAGAGAAAAATTATGTTTCAGAAGAAAACGATTTTATACCTATTGATAGATTCCAGCCCTGATGATTGTTTCTGAGTTTTTGTTATTTTCCTGCAATCCTTAATTATTTCCTGGCTACAACAAGTCTTTAAAGAAGGTCTGGGTTTTAATTTTCTTTATGATGTTTTTAGTTCACTCATAAATTGAATTGTTTTCTTCTGTTCTGGCATACACATTTCTTTCTGATTATAATTCTTATGTGTATTATATTTCTACTATGTATCTCTCTCTCTCTCTTTTTTTTTTTTTTTTTGAGATGGAGTTTCACTCTTGTTGCCCAGGCTGGAGTGCAATGGCTTGATCTTAGCTCACTGCAATCTCTGCCTCCTGGGTTCAAGTGATTCTCCTGCCTCAGCCTCCAGAGTAGCTGGGATTACAGGTGCTTGCCACCATGCCCGGCTAATTTTTTGTATTTTTAGTAGAGACGGGGTTTCACCATGTTGGCCAGGCTGGTCTCAAACTCCTGACCTCAAGTGATCCACCTGCCTCAGCCTCCCAAAGTGCCGGGATTGCAGGCATGAGCCACCACGCCCAGCTGTATCTCTCATTGTTTTACTTCCCCTAAGAAAACCAAATTCATGGTATTCTGAAGACTAGAGATGATTCAACAGGCAACAGCAGTTATATAAATTGATGACTTGGCTGAGGTCTCATTTTTGCCACCCTGTGATGCCATCCCAATTTGGCTTTTGGCTTTCTTCAGATTCCTCACTGAGAGGTATCCTTCCCTGATATAATTTGGATATTTGTCCTCACCCAAATCTGATATTGAAATATAATCCCCAACATTGGAGGTGGGGCCTGGTGGAGGTGGTTGGCTCACGGTGGTGGATTTCTCACGAATGGCTTAGCACCCTCCCTTTGGTGCTGTCCTCGTGATAGTGAGTTCTCATGAGATCTGGTCTTTTAAAAGTGTGTGGCACCTCACCTGCCACTCTCTCCCTCTTTCTCTCTTGTTCCTGCTTTCCCTTTGTGACATGCCCACTCTCCCTTTACCTTTTGCCCTGATTGTCAGCTTCCTAAGGCCTTCCTAGAAGCTGAACAGATGCCAGCACCATACTTCCTGTAAAGCCTGCAGAACCATGTGCCAATTAAACCTCTTTTCTTATATATTACCCAATCTCAGGTATTTCTTATTTTTATTTATTTATTTATTTACTTATTTATTTATTTTCATGCAAGATAGGTTCTTACTCTGTCACCCAGGCTAGAGTACAGTGGCATGATCATGGCTCACGGCAGCCTTCTCCTCCCGAGGCTCAGGTGATTCTCCCACCTCAGCCTCCCGAGTGACTGAGACTACAGGCATGTACCACCATGCCTGGCTAATTTTTTTTGAATTTTTAGTAAAGGTGAGGTTTTGTCATGCTGCCCAGGCTGGTCTCAAACTCCTGGGCTCAAGCCATCTGCCCACCTCGGCCTCCCAAAGTGTTGTGATTACAGGCGCGAGCCAGTGCAGCCAGCTGGTTATTTCTCTATAGCAATGCAAGAATGGCTTAATACATCTCCCCTCCCCTACATGGGACAAGGCCATCTGATAATTAACCTTCCTAGCAACTCAGGACTAAGCTCCTGAACATAAAGGGAGCCAAAACAATTTGCATTTTTCTATGAGGCCTTCTTTGAAAGGTCTTGATGAAAAGGGGAGAAATGGGGAAAAAAATAGCACAGAGCAGTCTGAGCTATGTGAGGTGTGCCAAAGTTATCAGGCCCAGAGAGACAGGAGAGTGGGGCTTTTTGTTTTGTTTTTGTTTGAGACAACATAGTGAGAGCCTGTCTTTATAAAAAATTTTAAAAAATTATCCAAGCATAAGGGCATGTGCCTGTGGTCCCAGCTACTGAGGCAGGCTGAGGAGAGAGGATTGCTTGAATCTGGGAGGTTGAGGCTGCAGTAAGCTGTGATCACACCACTGCACTCCAGACTGGGTGACAGAGTGAGACCCTGTCTCAAAAAAAAAAAAAAAAAAAGAACCCACTGCTGCTAATTGGAGCATCTATTCAGGGGAACTTGAATCTAGGCTCCCAGGTGGCCATCCTTAAGCTTTGGGCTTGAATAAACTTTGTACTTAATCATATTTTCTAAATCTCATTATTTAAAGTCGAGAATTCATTCCTCCCTTCATCTGTTCATTCATATGTCTGTCCTTTCACCCACCAATCCGCTCATCTAGCCATCCACCCATTTGTCTGTTAGTCCGTCCATCCATCCATCCATCCATCCACTCACCCAGACATCCATCCATCCATCCATCTGTCCTTTCACCCACCCATTTATTCATCCATTCATCCATCCATCTATCCATCCCACTGAGTCATTCATCCATCTATCCATCCATCCATCTGTCCGTCCATCCATCTTATATTTTGGGGGGCATGTCTGATGTGTCAGATACTGTGGCAGGTGCACAGACACAAATTCGGAAGACAGATCTCCACTTAGAAGTGTGCCAGGCACCTCAGCTCAACATATCTCCAGCTGACTTCATTTTATCCTTCTCCTCCCATCTCTTGACGTTCTGTTCAAGCATTTAGTAAATGCCAGTCATCTATAGCCTGAGCCCACCTGGGTTGCCCTAAGTTGTCTGATTCACATCCATTCTAATTCCTTGGCTTCTCTCAACCATGTCTGCTCCTTTTCCTCCTCTTGGCCATTCCTGAGTGTACCTGGATCACTACAGCAGTATCTATGCTGTTTCCTCCTTTTCTAGGTGACCATTTGTCCTTCTGCCAGAGGGCTCTGTGGGAAATACAGATTCGATCCTGCTGTTTCTTACTGGGAACCCTCCATGGCTCCCAGTCCCTGGAATGTGCCGGGCAACTTTCAGCTCTTGGTCGTGGGAGCCTCCTGCCTGTGCACAGTGTGTTCTTCCAGGACCCATGCCCACTCCCTCCTTCCCAGCATTCCAGTTTGGCCCTTGAGGCCTCCTTGGAGTCATCCCCCTCCCAGATGTGCAATGCATTTTGGGTTCTCAACAGCTTCCCCTCCTTACCTGCAAAGGTTGAACAGACCTGGATCTGCTATCCTGCTTTGCCACTTCCTGCTGCATGACCTGCATTATGAAGTTCTCTAGACTCAGGGTTTCCATTGGCTAATAGGATCAGCCAACCTGCCTTTGAGGAGTGGACGAAGCTTGGCACTTAGTAGGTGCCCATGAGGCATCAGAAACTGCCCTTGTTGAATGATGCTCTAATGCGGTGTTGACATCTCTGTCCTACTAGACTGGGGTTGCTTTGAGGACTCCAATTCTGTCTTTTCATCCTGATTCCATGATGGAACAGACCCACAGGCCCTTGTCAGCATTCCAAAAAGCAAAAAGCTGTGAAAATGAAAAGGACTTTTTTTTTTTTTCTGTAAACTTGGTGCCAAAATTTGCAAAAGCTGACCTGACCCAAGGTGTTGGCAGCATCCCAACACTCCCTCTGTTACAGGCACCTCTGCTGGTTGCTGACAATGTATATGTTTTAATTTTTAAAATGCATTTGTCTTTTTGTGACCATGGGTTTAATTGCACTGTGAATTCATACAAAAAGGGTAGCATGTACCCAGTGCTCACTGTGGGAAGGACACATGGAAACACTCTCTTTGTCAATAGTGCAGAAAGCATCAGTGATGTTGGGAAGCCATCAAAAGACAAGCAGTTGGGCTGTGCGTGGTGGCTCATGCTTATAATCCTAGCACTTTGGGAGGCTGAGGTGGGAGGATTGCTTGAGGTCAAGAGTTCAAGACCAACCTGGCCAACATAGCAAGATCCCCTCTCTATTAAAAAAAAGACAAACAGTTGAAAATTTATAATAATTGTGATTACCAAGAGCCATTGAAATATGGAAAACACAGGGTCAGTGGGGTGTGGTGTAGGGAGAGAGATCTTGACCAGGAATGGATGGAACGGAATTGGCAATGAAGTAGTCACTGTATGCCAAGGAGTGGTTTGTTGGTTATGAAAGAAGCTGGAATACAGCAGGAAGAACTGAACTTTAAAGGTGAGCATGAATATTCAAGAAGTGTCATGGTGTAAAACAATCTGCATAGCTGTGGTGGAAAGGCTTCTTTCCTGATCAGGAAACAGCTGAAAATTACATTGATGGATTTGTATCCTCTGAAAACCTTAGTCTCAACCAGGCGCGGTGGCTCACGCCTGCGATCCCGGCACTTTGGGAGTCCAAGGCAAGTGGATTGCTTGAGCCCAGGAATTTGAGACCAGTCTGGCCAACGTGGCAAAACCCCATCTCTGCAAAAAATACAGAAATTAGCCAAGCATGGTGGTGCATGCCTGTAGTCCCAGCTACTCTGGAGGCTGAGGTAGGAGGATCACTGAGCCCAGGGAGGTTGAGGCTGCAGTGAGCCAAGATGGTGCCACTGCACTTCAGCCTGGGTGACAGAGAGAGACCCTGTCTGAAAGCCAAAAAACAACAAAACCTAAGTCAGAACAAGTTTGTGTAGCTGATGAGTCAGGCAGCTTCACCTGTGCTCCTTTCTAGACAGGCAGGATGGTTGCGGAGAGTCACAACAGGCGTCCAGGAGGAAAGGCACGAGATGATGCTGGCCAAAGCTAGTTGTGGTTGGAAAAAGCCACTGGTGTGAACGGTGTATGCTAGTATGCAAGGGAACATATACTGGGAACTCGAGCCATGTTTTCTGCATGGTTTAATAATCCTTTGTATCAGTGCCAGGAATTCACTGCAGATAAGCTGGTCTGGAAGAAAAACGAACATTTTGTTATTTCTGCACAGCTGCTCCACACATTCCTTTCCTGAAAGTCTTTTGAAAAGCAATGTTTCTGACATTTACTTTCCACGATTTGTGAAGGGAGTTTTACACTCCAATAAGAGTGAATATAAATGATTTTTTGGGGGGAAGGGGGAATCCTGCCATTAACAGAAAGCAGGGCTTCCTGACTAAGTTCACTCACAAGGCTGCCATTCACACAGTCACAAATGCTCGGACAGGATGGACAGTTCCACTAACGTGCGCTTGGTTGACTGTGTGAACCCCAACCATTTGAGACAGGCCTCAGTTAATTTAGAAAGTTTATTTTGCCAAGGTTGAGGACGTGTACCCGTGACATGGCCTCAGGAGGTCCTGACAACATGTGCCCAAGGTGGTCGGAGCACAGCTTGGTTTTAGACACTTTGGGGAGACCTGAGACATCAGTTAACACATGTAAGATGAACATTGGTTTGGTCCGGAAAGGTGGGACAACTCAAAGCAAAAGCGGAACTCAAAGCCGGAGGGGGCTTCCAGGTCATGGGTAGATAAGAGACAAGTGGTCGCATTCTTTTGAGCTTCTGATGAGCCCCTCCAAAGGAAGCAATCAGATATGCATTTATCTCAGTGAGCAGAGGGGTGACTTGCAGTAGAAAGGGAGGCAGGTTTGCTATAAGCAGCTCCCAGTTTGACTTTTCCCTTTAGCTTCGTGATTTTGGGGGCCCAAGAGATTTTCCTTTCACAACTGCACGAGCACTTTGACCTAAAACAATTCTTGAAACCGAACCTGGAGATAAAGCCCATCTATGGCAGAAGAAGGTGATAGCAAACCGCATTATTGACCCTCAAAGTTTATCAACCAAAAGTGGAGTCAGGAGAAAGTCACAGAGAAGAGATGCTGAACCTAGAAATGGGGCACCTATTGTGCCTGCCTCGCATGATGGAGAAATTGCTGGAATCGACTGAATACCAGTGACAATGGGAGGGGAAATGTCGGGGAGATGTGGACCCTGGGGAGTCCCCACAGACTATCTGGCAATATCTGTGGCCTGCTAACTGCTGGCTTCAAGGACATTTATCAGTGAGCAGGAGGACCCCTGAATTAGAGAGATGCTTAGGTGTGGCACTGGTGTTGTGGGAGGAAGTGCCGAGAAGCCCATTGACACGGTGCTGCCCCAGGACTTCAGAGACTCTTCAATCCATCCTCCATGCTGCCTCCAGCCCCATGACCTCAGCAATGTATCACTGCTGTGCTCCCTTTCCCAAGACCCCCAAGCAGCCAGATGTAGCCTGATTCATTACATGTATGCATACAGGTGTCAATCTAAAATAGTCAAAAGGGCCAGAATCTAGTTTAAGGAGAGTTTATTCAAGTGCAAGGTTTAAGTCCAGCCATCCAGGAAGCACAGATTCCAAAGAATGGAAGTCAGTGTTCTGAAGTATAGAAGTTTGGGACCATGTATATAGATAAAGTTTATGGAAGCTTACCAGAATTTCAACATCTTTAGGCTTTAATGCATAGTTACAATGGTCTGATTAGTCGAGGTGGTCTTTTTCTTTCAAGAAAGGTGTATTTGGCCAGGCATAGTGGCTCATGCCTGTAATCCTAGCACTTTGGGAGGCCAAGGTGGGCAGATCACCTGAGGGCAGGAGTTCAAGACCAGCATGGCTAACATGGTGAAACCCTGTCTCTACTAAAAATGCAAAAATTAGCTGGGCGTGGTGGCAGGCACCTATAACCCCAGCTACTCGGGAGGCTGAGGCAGGAGAATTGCTTGAACCCGGGAGGCGGAGGTTGCAGTGAGCCAAGATCACACCACTGCACTCCAGCCTGGACAACAGAGCCAGACTCTGTCTCAAAAAAAAAAAAAAAGAAGAAGAAGAAGAAGAAAGGTGTATTTAATCTTCCCCACTGAAGATGCAACCGTCATGAGGTCTTTGCGCCATCTGATCTGAGTTGGGTACAGGACAATAAAGGAGGCAGCTAATCTGTAACAGAGATCAGTGATGGGAAGGAGGAGATCTGGTCTCTGGGAGACTGAGGCAGGAGGATTACTTGAGCTCAGGAGTTCTTTTTTTTTGAGACGAGTCTCGCTCTGTCACCCTGGCTGGAGTGCAATGGCGCGATCTTGGCTCAATGCAACCTCCACTTCCCAGGTTCAAGTGATTCTCTTCCCTCAGCCTCCTGAGGAGCTGGGATTACAGGTACTTGCCACCACGCCTGCCTAATTTTTGTATTTTTAGTAGAGACGGGGTTTCACCATGTTGGTCAGGCTGGTCTTGACCTCCTGACCTCAAGTGATCCACCCGCCTCAGCCTCCCAAAGTGCTGGGATTACAGGTGTGAGCCACTGTGCCCAGTCGAGCTCAGGAGTTCCAATCCAGCCTGAACAACACAGCAAGACCCTGTCTCAAAAAGAAAGAAATATGACAATATGACTTTGCAGCGTTTCAGAACATCAATAACTTTGCAGTTCTTCATGTTTCTCCTAGTCATGTCCAGAACAAGGACCCTGGGGAAGAGAGTTAAGCTGTAATCTAAGAAGCAGAATTTGCAAATATGCTACTGACTCAGTCTCCAGGGCTTAACATCCCCTTTGACATAATAAATTTAGAGGGTCCTGAAATTTTATTTGCTTTTAAACGACTTTTTTTCTTTCACAGACATTTGGCTTCACTTGAACCTGTGTTTGAAGCTTTAGTGAACATTGTCTTTGGGAGTAAGAAGTACTAGAAAATTTATGGTATGTGGTTATCTTGCTATTTCATGAACTACTGTATTACTATATAAATCAGCTGGAAGCAAGCTGTAATCCTGTTTATGGGATATTTGTTCCACTTACCATGATGAATTTGGCTGCAGAAATATCAGTATATTTGCCTTTGGAGTCCTGCCTCAGACCCCTGATGAGGGCTATGCAATCTATAGTACTTGCTTTTATTTGTTTATTCTGCTGTAAATGGTTTGTTTGAATTTTTTTTTTTTTTTTTTTTTTTTTTTTGAGACGGAGTCTCGCTCCGTCGCCCAGGCCGGACTGCGGACTGCAGTGGCGCAATCTCGGCTCACTGCAAGCTCCGCTTCCCGGGTTCACGCCATTCTCCTGCCTCAGCCTCCCGAGTAGCTGGGACTACAGGCGCCCGCCACCGCGCCCGGCTAATTTTTTGTATTTTTAGTAGAGACGGGGTTTCACCTTGTTAGCCAGGATGGTCTCGATCTCCTGACCTCATGATCCACCCGCCTCGGCCTTCCTAAGTGCTGGGATTACAGGCGTGAGCCACCGCGCCCGGCCTGTTTGAATGTTTTGTTTGCGAAAATAGCCTTAATTTTCCCTTCACTGTTTCCATGCACCTTAGAAATAGGACTTCGTAGCCGGTTGTGGTCATACACACCTACGGTCCCAGCTACTTGCAAGGCTGAGGTGGGGGTGTGGCAGGCCAGGTCTCACTAACACAGGCCTCCATAACAACTGTTTCAGTACTGACCAAGTGGTAAAGTTAAATATTAAAAGCTGAAAGAGCCAGCGCCCTTATACAAAGGCTGGAATGTAACAAAAGCCCACCAAGAGTTTTGCCCAGGCCTTTCCTGGGCTTTAAAGCATGAAGAGATAACAAAGGAATTCTTAACAGGACCCATTTAGGATTAAACAAATTTTATTGGGGGTCTGAAGAAACTCCCCAGGCCTCCACAAACAGGCTTTACTGGAGACTAAAGGAACTCCCCAAACCTCCATGACTTAGCAGGAGGCCAGATCCGGGTTTTCACCCCAGCACCTGGACCCAGCTAGGTTAATTAAATTCACTGAGGCTCCGGAGGAAGGTCTTCTGGACTCAGATCTTAGTTATGGATTAGAAGTTAATCACTTATGTCTTTAGATGGATGCACACTCACACGTAGACACACAGCTGAGAAGGTATAGAAGCTCTGGAAAACGCTGTCATTTTAAGTTGGTCTGGTGATAATTTCCAGGCCTTCTCTCTGTAACTGGTTACAGAAATAAAAACTCCCTTCTCTCCTAGTTCATCTGCATCTTGTCACTGGGACATGAGCATAGGTGGTCTACCTTCAGTTTGGTCTGTGAACAGGAGGATTACTTGAGCTCAGGAGTTCTAGTCCAGCCTGGGCAACAGAGCAAGACCCTGTCTCAAAAAGAAAGAAAGAAATGAGGATATGAGTTTGCTGCTCTTTAAATCGATGACTTTGCAGCTCTTCATCTGAAGAGGTGGCGTCTGTTTCTCCTGTTTGAGTGTGGCACATCCAGGAGAGTGGCTTTGAGCAGTGGTGTGGCAGACGTGACTGTAGGCCAGCCCTGAGCTGAGGCTGCCAGGGGACTGCACACTTCTTCTCTCAGCTCTGCCAGCTGCTGCACTGTGTCTGGGCCAGCCCGCTGGAGCACAGAGTTCAGTGCATTGGGACAGCTACAGCCCATTGCATCGGGACAGCCCACAGCAACAAGACCCACCTGTCGCCACTGCAGGTGCGTGAGGGTGCCCGGCTGAGAGCAGACAAACCGCCTAGCAGGTGGCTTTTCAAGCGGAATCACAGACTAGCTCCATCGCTGTGGTGAACGTTCTCCCCAGTGCCAGGATTCCACTTGGCCCCTGACTGCTTGAGCAGCCGATGTGACAGCCATCTCTCTGCTGCCGTGCATGTCGGCTGGGCTGGAGCCAGTGCATCAGGAAGTAGACGCAGAAGTGGATCAGGAGCAAAACATTCCTGAGAGCTGGCAGAAGCTGGCGTCTGGAGCCGCTGGGATGCGGGTATGGGCTCTCTCAGTGGCGGAGGAACAGCCTCCTGGCAGAACCAAAGGTTGCTTTGTGCCTTCGATGCTGCTGCTGGCCAGAGTGGTTTTCTGTCTCAGACCCTGTACCACGTGTCTGTTCTTTCTCATTTTTTACTTAAAGGAGAAGAAAATGATTATGTGTACATGCTGGTGGCACACATAACTTAGTATTAAGTATTACAAAGTCTTACAGGCAGGGCACAGTGGCTCACGCCTATAATCCCAGTATTTTGGGAGGCTGAGGTGGGCAGATCACCTGAGGTCAGCAATTTGAGACCAGTCTGGCCAACACAGTGAAACCCCATCTCTACTAAAAATACAAAAATTAGCCAGGTATGGTGGCACACACCTGTAATTCCAGCCACTCAGGAGGCTGAGGCAGGAGAATCATTTGAACCCGGGAGGCTGAGGTTGCAGTGAGCTGAGATCACACCACTGCACTCCAGCCTGAGTGACGGAGTGAGACTCTGTTTCAAAAAAAGAAAAAAAAGTCTGAAAAGTCTTACAGACCCAAGGAAGAATTTGTCTTCCTCTGTGAGAGGGGAGATGTGCTCTGATGATATAGGAGAAAACCCCAAAATCAGTATCAGCCCACCAACCAGGGCAGTGAAGCCGCACCCAGATGCACCACACATGGCAGTCCATGAACAGCCGGGCTTTTGTAAAGGCCGGTGCTTTATGGAATGACGCTCTGCCGGGCCCGGGTTCTGGGGCTTCCAGTCACTCAGTCTTTTGTTTACTCATCCATTGCGTATTTCTTGAGCACCTCCTATGAACCAGATGCTGCTTGAGGAACTGGGGTTACCAGGGCAAATGAGACCAGGCCCCTGCCCTCGGGGGCCCCAGGTTCAGGGGGAGAGAGAAGACAAAAAAAAGGAAAAGAAGTGAGCTAATTTCAGATAGTGCTTAGAGCTGTGGAGAGAATGCGTGGCACTCGGAGGCCCTGAGCAGCCCAGATGGTGAAGCAGCTGTGGTTGTGGTGTTGAGAGTGTGACCCTGAAAAGATGTAGAGTTGAGAGTGAGTGAAGGCCCGGGGTCGGCAGGGGCGGGGTGGCGGCTGGAGCATGAGCTCTATGTGGAGGAGCAGTGAGCAGACCACTGTGCCCGGAACTTGGTGGGGGTCCAGGGCCAGGTGAGGCTGGCAGAGTTTGGGGAGGGGCTCCTGGCCCAAATCAGGTGGGCTGTGGCATGGAGCATGATGTCATCCTAAAACCATCCTAAGGACACTTCAGACGGTCACTTTCTCAATCTGGGCCTTGGTTTGTTGATCTGTGGAATGGGAGTTGCACTAGTTGATTCCTGGGGTCCCTTCTGAAACCCCCAACTTTGTGAGTCCATGACATGAAACATAACCCCCCTGCCATGGTCTGCAGAAAGCTGTAAACTCTCCCTCCCCAGGGAGACAGACGCTCGTCTCCCTGGCTGCCCAAAGCGCAGGGAGTCTCATGTTCTGATGGCTCTTTCTTTCTCTCTTTCTTTCTTTTTCTTTTCTTTTTTTTTTTTTTAAGATGGAGTCTCACTCTGTCATCCAGGCTGGAGTACAATGGCGAGATCTCAGCTCACTGCAACCTCCGCCTCCTGGGTTCAAGCAATTCTCCTGTCTCAACCTCTTGAGTAGCTGGGATTACAGGCATGCACCACCACGCCCAGCTAATTTTTGTGTTTTTAGTAGAGACACGGTTTCACCATATTGGTCAGGCTGGTCTCGAACTCCTGACCTCAGGTGATCCGCCCCCCTCAGCCTCCCAAAGTGCTGGGATTACAGGCGTAGCCACTATGCCCGGCTTGGCTCTCACTTTCGTGTTCTTTCCATGTAATCACACATGAATGGTTGTCACAAGATCTCACAGGGAAATAATTTAGCAAGTGAATCTCAGTTTTAAAAAGGAAGGTGTTTGTGTTTTATCAGCATCTGTAATTGATCAGACCATATAGTTAAACCCCTAAGAAGACTTAAGGTCTTATCTCCCTCAGCTGAGACTTCTGTGACAAATGCCACAGATACACAGATTAAACAACAGAAATTGATTTCTCACAGTTCTGGAGCCTGGAAATTCAAGATCAAGCTGCTGGTCAGTGCTGTTCCTAGTGAGGTCTCTCTTCCTGGTTTGCAGACAGCTGCCTTCTCATTGTATCCTCAGACGGTGAGGAGAGAGAGAGAGTGAGCAAGCTCTCTTCTCTCTTCTTATAAAGGCACTAACCTCATTATAGGGCCCCATCCTCATAACCTTATTACCTCCGAGTCCTCACCTCCTAACACCATAGGAGGTTAGGGTTTCAACATTTTAATTTTGATAAATATTCAGTTCATAACAGGTCTGCACCTGGGGTCCATATAGGTCAGTTTTATTTCCAGCAGAATAATGGTGATCTGTACCACCATTACACCTGCCTGTATGCAGGCAACCCATATTCATGGCTTTCCATAAATGGCTTTATTCTTTCCGAAAATGGCATTTTTATTTCGCTTACTGTGTGTGTGATTAATACCTTCTCATGGTTCAAAATAAAAATAACCAAAAAGTCCCCTGCTGGCTCTGTGCTCAGCCTCCTACAACCTCACCAGGAGCAGCCAGTGTGACCAGTTTCATGCGGGCCCTAGAGATATTTTATGTAGTTACAAGCAATTGCATATGTATTTCCTGTTTTGGCATAAATGTTAGCACACCATACATACGTTGTTCTCCATGTTATTTTTATGTAATAAGTTGGAGATATTTCCATATCTCTAGAAGGAAGGAGATACGAAAACAAAGAATTTCTTTTTGTGTGTGTGCCACAATAGCAAAGAAATTTCTTCATTTTTTAATGGTAAAATACACGTAACATAAAATTCACCATTTTAACCATTTTACTAATAAGTGTACAGTTCAGTGATATTAAGTACATTTGCATTGTTGTGCAACCATCACTACCACCAACCTCCAGAACTCTTTTTTGTCTTGCAAAATCAAAACTCTGTCCCCGTTAAACACTAACTGCCTGTTCTCCTTCCCTCAGCCCCTGACACCTACCATTCTATTGTCCGTCTCTATGCATATGACTCCTCTAAGAAACTCAAACAAGTGCAATCATTTGTTCTTTTGTGACTGTCTTTTTTTTTTTTTTTTGAGACAGAATCTTGTTCTATCGCCTAGGCTGGAGTGCAGTGGTGCGATCTCAGCTCATTGCAACTTGCACTCCTGGGCTCAAGTGATTCTCCTGCCTCAGCCTCCCGAGTAGCTGGGATTACAGGTGTGTGCCACCACTCCCAGCAATTTTTTTTTGTTTGTATTTTTAATAGAAACAGGGTTTCACCATGTTGGTCAGGCTGGTCCCAAACTCGGATTACAGGCGTGAGCCACTGCGCCCGGCCTGTGACTGCTTTGTTTTACTGAGCATATTGTCTTCAAGGTTCATCCATGTGGTAGCATGTGTCAAAACGCCTTCCTTTCTAAAGGTGAATAATATTTCACTGCATGTACAGACCACATTGTGTTTATCTGTTGACCTGTTGGTGGACGCCTGGGTTGTTTCCACCTCTTGGCTGTTGTGAATGACGCTGCTGTGAACATGAATGTGCAGATTTCCTCATTTTTCAACCACTGCAGGCTGTTCCACGCAGCAGAGGCTGGTACACCTACTCTCTACGGTGCACATTTAGGGAGTGTCCGTTTTTCACTAACACCAACAGCTGCAACAGTAATCTTGTGCACAGGTGACTGCACATGTGCGACTCTGTATTTGCAGCATACAGTTCTAGAGGTGGCATGGCTGCATCAAATGGAACGTGCGTTTGTAATTTGGTTACCCCATGTCTCTAAGGCATTTTAGTTTGGCAGCTGTTAGAAGCTGGTTTCGGATCAAATCTTGCAAGTGGCGGGAGGGTTGTGGGTGTCTTTATCAGGCTAGAGTCATGGAAAGAATGTGCCCCTTTCAGACCTTGACCTCCGTTGGGGTTACATCTTTAAAGGCACCGTCTTTCCACTTTGGAAATGGAAGTGTCCCACTTGCTGTGCTGACGGACACTAGAGGGCGGAGTTCCCCATCTTTCAGGCAATGTGAAGGCTCAGTCCACTTCTCCACTTCTGCAACTACAGAGGTGATTATTTGGGACCACTGGATTGGGGGGAGAAAGTCAGTGTCTCCCAAGGGGTACGGCACAGGACAGAGAACCAGTATTGGAGCTCAGACAGGCTCGGGGGACTGGGAGATGGAAGCCATCGCCTTTACCTTGGGCATTTCATCTTAGGTCCCATGGAAACAGGGGCCATGGGTTGGTACTTATCATTTCTTTTAAACAGATAATGGCATACAGTAAGTCCTCAATTTCATCACAGCTTCCTGGAAACTGTGACTTTAAGCAAGACAACATATAATGAAACCAATTTTACCATAGGCTAGTTGATATAAACAAGAGTTAAATTCCTATGTCATAGGCTGGGTGCGGTGGCTCACACCAGTAATCCCAGCACTTTGGAAGGCCAAAGCGGGCAGATCACCTGAGGTTGGGAGTTCAAGACCAGCCTGACCAACATGGAGAAATACTAAAAATACAAAAGTAGCTGGGTGTGGTGGTGCATGCCTGTAATCCCAGCTACTCGGGAGGCTGAGGCAGGAGAATCGCTTGAACCTGGGAGGTGGAGGTTGCAGTGAGCCGAGATCACGCCACCGCACTCCAGCCTGGGCAATAAGTGTGAAACTCTGTCTCAAAAAAAAAAAAGAGGCATATTTCTGCTCTCAAAACATCACCAGAACAGGTGTGGTGGCTCACACCTGTAATCCCAGCACTTCGGGAGGCTGAGGTGGCAGATCTCTTGAGGCAAGGAGTTCAAAACCAGCCTGGGCGACATGATGAAACCCCATCTCTACAAAAAATGCCCCCCAAATTAGCCAGGAAAGGTGGTGTGTGCCTGTGGTCCCAGCTACTTAGGAGGCTGAGGTGGGAGGATTGCTTGAGCCTCAGAGGCTAAGGTTGCGGTGAGCTGTGATCACACCACCACACTCCAGCCTGGGCGACGGAACAAAACCCTATTTCCAAAAAAACCCCACAAAAAAACAAAAAACACCACCAAATTTCTAAAGACCCAAACACTTCTAATATTAAACATTGAAATAAATGTAAACTATCCCTACATGTAGAGGTAGCTACACCTACATAAGGAAGATTAATACAAACAAGTGAGATCATGATCTACCCAATATTTGGGATGTCTGTGAGTGACGGCGGTGGTAGTGGTGGTGGTGAAATCACGGAATCAATGTCTGCAAAGCACACGCTCTTGGGAGCACCTCCTCCCACCGCACAGCTGAAAGACAAGCGACCGTGAGTATGGCGGCTCCTTGAGCACCCTCACACGCGGCGTTTGTTGTCATGCGTTTGTGTGATTACCGTAGGCTTTATAATTTTTATTTGATAATTTATATTCATGTATTCATTCATTTTCCAACTTGCTTTCTCCAGTTCAGAGTGGCAGGTGACCAGGGCCCATCCTGGAGGCTCAGTGCCAAGGTGGGCACCCGCCCTGGATAGGACAGGCCTCCATGGGACACCCACACTCACTCGGACTAGGCCCATGTAGACATGCCGTGAGGCTGAGGTGTATACTTGGGATGTGGGAGGAAACTGGAGGACCTGGAGAAAACCCGCGCGGACCTGGGGAGACCTCCTCAATGCTCCCTAGAATGAAACGATGGGATTTGAGGACCTGCTGTATTTATTTGTCCCAATCCAGCGGCCCTGGCCTTCAGTGCACAGTAGTCCCTGCTGCTGGGCACACATCCCCTCATGCTCAGTCCATTGACCAGGACTGGGCACATGGCCTCACCTAGCTGCGGGCAGTGGCTTCTGCCCTGGGGCAGGCAGCTGCTCCAGGTCTGGAGATGAGCCCCACCTCCAGGTGCAGCTGCTCCAGGTGTGGAAACGGGGCTCTACCTCGTGGGGAGCGTCCGCTGCGGGCCACAACCTTGCTGGGAGGCTGCGGGAGATGGGGGGTAAGAGGGGTGATGTTGAGGCTTTCCCTCCTCGGCAGTGACCGGCGCAGCCCTCCCCAGTGTAGCTCCCCCCTCCCCACCCCTCCCTCCATCTGGAACACAGCACGGGGGCTGCCCTCCAGCCCTCAGTGTGCAGGGCTTGCACACCTTGGCTTGCAGGGCATTTGGGGGATCCCAGTGGGGCAACTGCCAGCTGGAGAGATGCTGGTGCCCAGCCGTGCTGCTCCTGGGGGCAGGCTGGGTAGGGGCTGAGGGGCCGGAGTGAGCGGTCCACAGTCATCCAGGAACAACAGGGCTCTCACCTGGCAGGGCTCCCAGGCACGTTGATGGAGGGAGGGTTTCCTCAGTCCTCTCCCCCAGCCCTTACTGGGCAGTACCCCCACCCACCATACTGTCTCTTGCCTGGGTCTCAGGTGGTTGGCGCTGTCTGGCCCCTGCCTCTCCCTCTGTCCCTTCAGCTGAAGCGGGCTCCACGCCATCCCAGGACTTCCCGCGCGGTCTGAAGCACAGCCACATCCGGTCTGACCGTCCCTCACCCCTCCCTCACCCCTCCCTCGCCCCCCCTCGCCCCTCCCTCGCCCCTCCCTCGCCCCCCCTCGCCACCCCAGGAGGAAATAGAGGCTGAGTGTCCGTGCCCTGCAGCCGAGCAGCCACCCTTGCCTTTGGCCCCACCTTCGCCTGCCTGGCGGCCGTCCTGTCACCTGTCATTCAGCCCTTGCTGTCTGCTGGGCACGTGCCCTGCAGGTGGGGTGCACGGCAGGCCCATGAGTGCCCACCATGCCTCGCCATTCAGGAAGCCACCCAGGTGCTCCGGGCGGTGTCAGGGCAGGGTGCGTCTGTGCGGCGTTTGCATGTGTCCACCGTCCTGACCGGGGGCAGGGCCACGTCCCACACATCTTTCTGCCTAACTTATGATGTGGCAAAGACACATCCCGATACCTCTCCCGGGTGGGCCTGTGAGCTGGGCTCTGTGACGCCAAGGCCCAGGACCTGCTCAGCCCTGGGAAGATGGAACTGGAGGGGACCTTGAGATGGCTGGCCCAGCCCCTTGTCTTATAGACAGGGAGACAGCAGAAAGGGAGATGGAGTCACCGGCCAGGACCCCAGCTATGAGTGGGAGCTGGACCAGGAGTTGAGTGTCCTGAGCCACCTCCTCCCTGTGCTGGGTCCACTCTCAGAAACACTCCAGGTCTGGAGGCAGACCTGGAGGCAGGGCAGGGCAGGGCAGGGAGGGCAGAATGGCTATGATGTGGTGAGGCTGTGTCCCCACCCAAATCTCACCTCGAATTGTAATCCCCAGGTGTTGAAGGAGGGAGGCGATTGGATCATGAGGCGGTTTCCTCCATGCTGTTCTCATGATAGCTAGTGAGTTCTCATGGGATCTGATGGTTTTATAAGGGGCTCTTCCCCCTTCGCTTGCTCTTGCTCTCTCTCTCCTGCCACCATGTGAAGAAGGTGCCTGCTTCCCCTTCAGCCATGACTGTAAGTTTCCTGAGGCCTCCCCAGCCATGCAGAACTCTGAGTCAATGAAAACTCTTTCCTTTAGAAATCACCCAGTCTCAAGTAAGTTTTTTTTTTTTTTTTTCAGACAGAGTCTTGCTCTGTCACCCAGGCTGGAGTGCAGTGGCACCATCTCGGCTCACTGCAACCTGCGCCTCCTGGGTTCAAGCGATTCTCGTGCCTCAGTCTCCCGAGTAGCTGGGATTACAGGTGCCTGCCACCACTGCCAGCTAATTTTTGTATTTTTGGTAGAGATGGGGTTTCACCATGTTGGCCATGATGGTCTCGAACTCCTGACATCAGGTGATCCACCCACCTCGGCCTCCCAAAGTGCTGGGATTACAGGCGTGAGCCACCGCACCCAGCCAGAAGTTCTTTATAGCAGTGGGAAAATGGACGAATCCAGGCTTGCATCAGTGTTCCGGGGCAGCCCAACAAAGTACCACAAAATGAGGGGCTTAAACCATAGACATGTGCTCTGTCGTGGCTCTGGAGGCCAGAAGTCTGAACTCCAGGTGTGGG
This sequence comes from Homo sapiens, assembly GCF_000001405.40. NCBI lineage: Eukaryota > Metazoa > Chordata > Mammalia > Primates > Hominidae > Homo > Homo sapiens. Next base: position 43,143,150 of record NC_000021.9, read on the forward strand.
TGGAGCCGCGCCCCCTCTGAGATTCTAGGAGAGTTCCCTTCCTCGCTTCTGCCAGCTGCTGGTGGGTGCCGGAAGCCTTGGAACTCTGATCTGTGGCAGCCTCACTCCTACCTCTGCCTCCGTGTTTACACGACCTCTCTGTGTGTGTGCGTCCAAATTTCTCTCTTCTTACAGGGTCGCCAGTCATTAGATGAGGGCCCACCTTCTCCAGTGTGACCTCATCTTAGCCTCATTACATCTGCAAAGACCCCACTTCCAAATAAGATCACATCCGTAGGTTTTGAGGTTAGGACTTGAAGACATCGCTTTGGGGGACACAGTTCCACCCAATGCAGGTCCTTGGTGAGCCAGGTAGAATGAGCTGGTGGTGTGGGCAGTGGCTTGAGAGAGCCGCTATGCCAGTAGCTTTGTGGAAGTTTCGGGGCCGTGGTTTCTCTGAGACCGTTTACATAGGTTCTCAGTAGGGGCTGGAAGAGGCTGTGGGCGTTTGTGTCAGGGTGACTGGGTGGAGGTGGCCGGTCTGCATGCCGGTTCATCAAGGGGAGGATGTCCCATGGATCAGGGGCCAGAATGGAGCCAGCTGCCTCCCTCCGGCTCCCAGAGCCACCCCAGGCCATGCACAACTTTGAGCCCTCAGAGGTCCAGTTCCTCGGTCGGTCTTTCCTCAGCTTCCTCCTCTGTAGGCCATGGAGCTGACCATCCTGCCTCTGGCAGCTGTGGTGCTGTTTAGGGGAACGGTCATTGCCTTCATCTCCATTTTATAGTTGGGGAAACTGAGGCTCAGAGGAACGAAAACTCTGGGTAGGAGCACAGAAAGAGCAGAGCATGGGCGGTGGACAAAGAGTCGCCGTCCCTGACAGTCTCGCGGTCGGACCTTGGTCACGTGTGGTCTGGGGCTCTCGCCTCCTCCCAGCTCTGAGGTTCTCTGCATGAACTCCAAGGAAACAGCCTGTTCTGGGATGGCAGGAGCTGGTGGACTTCCAAGTTAGAAACACAAAGATGCCATGAGCTTAGGGTTCTGGAAGGCCCTGGGGTGTCCGCTAGGTGTAAGGTGCTGGTGGCCCTGGTCAAACAACCCCTAAGGGTGGGCAGAGTGGGGGGCAGGTGGGAAAAACAGATTGACACTCCCAGATTGGACTCCAGGTGACGGCCTGCTGGTGCCCACCTGGCTAGAACTTTCTATTCCTTTTTGTCCAGGTCTCATGGAACAAGGAAATCAAAAAAACACCCGCCCGTGCACAAATGGATTTCCTGAACCCTTCTGTGCGCCAGTCCTTGGGGACGCAAATGTGAATGAGGCGGCGCTCTGTTGAATTTCCGTGCCCAAACTCACCAACGTGCACAGATACTGATGTGGGAACACCCGCTATAAGGTGGCCTGGAGCAGTGAAGACCCTGCTCTCTTGTGAACTCCCGCAACCATGGCCAGCCCCCTGGGGCTCCCAGACCTTGGCAATCAGCCCTTGTGGTTTTTAAAAAATTTATTTTTATTTTTATTTTTAGAGGCAGGGTCTCATTATGTCACCCAGTGATATGGTCTGGCTGTGTCCCCACCCAAATCTCATCTTTTATTTTTTTTTTTTTTGAGACGGAGTTTCGCTCTTGTTGCCCAGGCTGGAGTGCAGTGGTGCAATCTCGGCTCACCGCAACCTCCACTTCCAGGGTTCAAGCGATTCCCCTGCTTCAGCCTCCCGAGTAGCTGGGATTAAGGGCGCAGACCACCATGTCTGGATAATTTTTTTTGTATTTTTAATAGAGATGGGGTTTCATCATGTTGGCCAGGCTGGTCTTGAACTCCTGACCTCAGGTGATCCACCCACTTCGGCCTCCCAAAGTGCTGGGATTATAGGTGTGAGCCACCGTGCCCAGCCCCAAATCTCATCTTGAATTGTACTCCCATAATTCCCACATGTTGTGGGAGGGACCCAGTGGGAGATAATTGAATCATAGGGGTGGTTTCCCCTGTACTGTTCTTGTGGTAGTGAATAAGTCTCATGAGATCTGATGGTTTTAGAAGAGCTTTCCGCATTCTCTCTTGCAGCTGCCGTGTGAGATGTGCCTTCTGTCATGATTGTGAGGCCTCCCCAGTGAGCCCATTAAACCTCTTTTTCTTCCCAGTCTTGAGTATGTCTTTATCTGAAGCATGAAAACGGACTAATATACCCAGGTTGGAGTGCAGTGGCGCCATCTTGACTTACTGCAGCCTTGACCTCCAGCTTTCAAACGATCCTCCTCCCTTGGCCTCCCAAAGTGTTGGGGTCACAGGTGTGAACCACCATGTCCAGCCAGCCCTTGGGTTTTGAGATGCTCAAGTTACAGGTGAGAAGTGCTTTGTTTGTTCCGGAATCTGTGTCCTGAGAGGGTTAAAGACAAGGGCTGGCCAGCCCCTAGAACCTGGCCGTGTCACCAGGGGAGCTGTGGAAGCAGGAGGGAAGCAGGAGGGAGGCAGCAGTTCTGTGCCGTGGGGCACCTTGGGCTTTTCTTTTTTCTTTCTAATAGAGAAGCAACATTTTGAATAAATCCACAAAAGCGTAGAAGATCATCTCATCGGTTTCTGTGTGTGAAGTTTCATGCTTATCTAACTGCATTTAGGAAAATTCACGTGTACATTTTTCCCAAGGGGAGCGAGAGGATGTGAGCGTTCTACTTGTTCATTTCATATCTGCTTTTACAAATTCATAGGGAGGGTGAGGAAGGAGCTGTGGTTCTCATTGCGACTGATGTTTGATTATTTGATTCAGGAATTTCACTTCTGGGAACTTGACTTAGGGAAATGCTCTCAGAGACGCGTGCGATGTTGTTTGTAACAAGCACATGTGGAGATGTCCCGGGCCCCTCATGAGGCGGCTGCTTGTGTCCGTTTGTACCTCTTGCCAGCTGTGCAGTGTCGCTCAGCTCCCAGAAGGAGGGAGGCAGGTCCAGGCATTGATGGTTAGTTTTGTTTTTTTTTTTGAGAAGGAGTCTCCCTCTGTCACCCAGGCTGGAGAGCAGTGGCACGATCTCAGCTCAACTGCAACCTCCACCTCTCAGGTTCAAGCGATTCTCCTGCCTCAGCCTCTTGAGTAGCTGGGATTACAGGCATGCACCACCATGCCTGGCTAATTTTTGTATTTTTAGTAGAGACAGGGTTTCGCTGTGTTGGCCAGGCTGGTCTCGAACTCCTGACCTCAAGTGATCCACCCGCCTTGGCCTCCCAAAGTGCTGGGATTACAGGCATGAGCCACCGCGCCCAGCTGATGATTAGTTTTATCCATGTTCTTCCTGCTGCAGCTCACCCAGAGGCCCTGGTGGGGCAAGAACTTGGCTGGCCAGGGTTGGAGCAAAAACACCAGCCTTGGCTGTGGGTGAGGCAGGAGTGTGGCCGTGCAGGTGTGGCTTCCTCGCCGCATCTCCAGGGCGCTTTCCCTGTCCTGTGAGCTCCTTGAGGGCCGAACCTGGGCCTGTCAGTTCTGGGCTACCTCCACTTCCCAGCAGGCCCTCAAGAAGGGTTCCCTAGATGTGGTCTATTCCCACGGGAGACTATCATTCAGCCGTCGAAAGGAAGGGAATTCTGATGCAGGCTAGACAGGAATGAGGACATTAGGCTGAGTCAAAGAGGCCAGTCACAGACGCACAAGTACGGTGACCTCCCCTTTGATGAGGCCCTGGAGGAGTCAGATTCACAGAGACAGAAAGCAGAATGGTGGCACCGGGGCTGGGGGATGGGGAACGGGGGCGGAGTGTTGAACGGGGACAGAGTTTGCTTTGCACGATGAAGAGTTCTGTGGCTGGATGTCAGGGATGGTTGCACAAGACTGGAATGTACTTGATGCCACTGAACTGTGCACTTAAAAATGGTCATGATGGTAAATTTTACGTTATACATGTTTCACCATAGTTCGAAAAATACTTTAAAAAAAGCACCATGTCCCTTGGATTTAGTGATACCGACCCCTCTTTGTCCCTCTGCTTCCCAGTGGTTTCTTCTTGCCCCTGGGATTTGTAGGGATGGGTTGCCCCTCCACACCTGTGGGTGTTTCTCGTAAGGTGGGACGAGAGATTTGGAAAAGAAAAAGACACAGAGACAAAGTATAGAGAAAGAAATAAGGGGACCCGGGGAACCAGCGTTCAGCATATGGAGGATCCCGCCAGCCTCTGAGTTCCCTTAGTATTTATTCATCATTTGTGGGTGTTTCTCGAAGAGGGGGATGTGTCAGGGTCACAAGACAATTGTGGGGAGAGGGTCAGCAGACAAACACGTGAACAAAGGTCTTTGCATCATAGACAAGGTAAAGGATTAAGTGCTGTGCTTTTAGATATGCATACACATAAACATCTCAATGCTTTACAAAGCAGTATTGCTGCCCGCAGGTCCCACCTCCAGCCCTAAGGCGGTTTTTCCCTATCTCAGTAGATGGAGCATACAATCGGGTTTTATACCGAGACATTCCATTGCCCAGGGACGGGCAGGAGACAGATGCCTTCCTCTTGTCTCAACTGCAAGAGGCGTTCCTTCCTCTTTTACTAATCCTCCTCAGCACAGACCCTTTATGGGTGTCGGGCTGGGGGACGGTCAGGTCTTTCCCTTCCCACGAGGCCATATCTCAGACTATCACATGGGGAGAAACCTTGGACAATACCTGGCTTTCCTAGGCAGAGGTCCCTGCGGCCTTCCGCAGTTTTTGTGTCCCTGGGTACTTGAGATTAGGGAGTGGTGATGACTCTTAAGGAGCATGCTGCCTTCAAGCATCTGTTTAACAAAGCACATCTGGCACCGCCCTTAATCCATTCAACTCTGAGTTGACACAGCACATGTTTCAGAGAGCACGGGGTTGGGGGTAAGGTCACAGAATCTCAAGGCAGAAGAATTTTTCTTAGTACATAACAAAATGGAGTCTCCTATGTCTACTTCTTTCTACACAGACACAGTAACAATCTGATCTTTCTTGCTTTTCCCCACAGGATTTAACAACAAATCCTAATGCACGTGGGGGCCAGCGGCAGTGACTGTAGTCCCCTTGGCAGGCGAAGGCCTGTGAGTAGCCAGTGCTATGTCTGGCATTCTAGGCAGCTCCTGGCTCCCGGGCGGATCCTCCTGTTGCCTGCTGGGCCAGCCTCAGGTCGGCCCTTCCAGCTCTGTAAAACTCAGAAGGCCTTTAGGGCAGGCACTGTGCCACTGACCCCCTCTCTGTGTCCCAGGGCCCGGTACAATGAGATGATCATGGAATTAAACAGAACAGAACCATGAGGTGTCCACCAGGCCATGCCAGGATGCACTGGCTTCACCTGTGATTTTGGCACCAGTTTAAACAGTGTCACTTCATTCTGTGCTTCTCCTGATTAGTCTGCCTTCTGGCCGATATATCCCTGGGAGGCAGGTGCAGACCCCTCTTGACTATGTACTGTGTGCAGTTTTGGGGACAGAGCTCTTTATGTGGCCAAGGTCTGGCTGGGCAAGGTGTCTCATACCTGTAATCCCAGCACTTTGGGAGGCTGAGGCCAGAGGACTGCTTGAGGCCAGGAGTTTGAGAACAGCCTGGGCAACATAGCAAGACCCCATCTCTACAAAAAATAAATAAAAATTAGCCAAGTGCGCCTGTGGTCTAGCTACTCCAGAGGCTGAAATGGGAGGATCACTTGGGCCCAGGAGGTTAAGGCTGCAGTGAACTGTGATAGCACCACTGCACTCCAGCCTGGGCAACAGAGTGAGACCCTGTCGCAAAAAAAAAAAAAAAAAAAAAAAAAAAAGGTCCTTTCCCAGGACGTCAGGACGAATGTATGGAGCAGCAGCAGGGGTCTCAACGAGTGCCGCGCCGTTTCCAGCCGTGCGCACGTCCCTGTGGCTGCCGCAAGGAACAGAACGACTTGGTCATCTTGCAGTGGAAGTCAGAAGCCTGAAGTGGGTCCCGCTGGGCGATAATCAAAGTGCCAGCTGGCCTGCGTTGCTTCTGAAGCCTCTAGGAGAGAATCCACCTCCTTGCCTCTTCCAGCTTTTAGAGGCCGCCCTGTTCTGTCATAACTCAAGGCCCTGCATATGGCACAGGTGTGACTGTTCGCGCCCGCAGCTCCTTCACCAACCCTCCTGCCACCCTCCTTCCCTGCTTTCCTGTAAGGACCCCTGTGGTGACGTCAGGGCCACCTGGGTATCCAGAAGCATCTCCCCAGCTCGTGATCCCTCACTTAATCCCATCTCCAGCTGCCTTTTGCAGAGTAATGTGCACATTCATGGGTGCTGGGGACGGGGACATGGACATCTTGGGGTCGGGGTCATTATTCTGCCCACCACAGCCAACAATTACAATCAATGGGGATGAGAACTGGAAATGGTCCTGTATGATTCTCTTGCTGCCAGGCTTGAGAGCCAGCCAGGAGCACGCTGGGGGCCGAGCGTGGGAACGTGCCACATGTGACGGTGCTCCCACGGCTCAGCGCTGCTTCCAGACACAGTCCTACTAGTTGGAGCCTATTTTGGCCACAGCTCTCACCTGCGTTTTGGTGGTGGGAGGGGTGTTTCTGGGTTCCAGGTGAAGTTGGTTACACCTCCTGGGTGTTCAGGCATCAATGTTCACCTTCATCAAACGTTTAAAAAATTGTGGTTAGGCTGGGTGCAGAGGTCCATGCCTGTAATCCCAGCACTTCGAGAGGCTAAGGGGGGGTGGATCGCTTGAGGTCAGGAGTTTGAGACCAGCCTGGGCAACATGGCAAAACTACATCTCTACCAAAAATACAAAAATTAGCTGGGTGTGGTGGCGCGTGCCTGTAATCCCAGCACTTTGGGAAGCCAAGGCAGGTGGATCACCTGAGGTCAGGAGTTTGAGAACAGCCTAGGCAACATGGCAAAACCCTGTCTCTACTAAAAATACAAAAATTAGCTGGGCGTGTTGGCACACGCCTGTAGTCCCAGCTACTTGGGAGGCTGAGGCAGGAGAATTGCTTGAACCTGGGAGGCAGAGGTTGCAGTAAACCGAGACAGTGCCACTGCACTCCAGCCTGGGTGACAGAGTGAAACTCCGTCTCAAAATAAATAAATAAATAAATTAGCTGGGCATGGTGGTGCACGTCTGTAATCCTAGCTACTCAGGAGGCTGAGGTGGAAGAATTGCTGGAATCTGGGAGGCGGAGGTTGCAGTGAGCTGCGATCACACCACTGCACTCCAGCTTGGGCAACAGAGTGAAACTCTGTCTCAAAAAAAAAAAGTGGTTAAATATATGTAACATAAAGGTTGCCATTTTAACCATTTCCAAGTGTACAGTTCTGTGGCATTAAGTACATTCACACCGTTTGCGACCATCACCGCCACGTCACGGTCAGTTTATGTTATCTTGATTAGGTGCCAGTCCCCAGGGACTCAAACATGAGGCAAAGTGTTGCTGTGAAGGTGTTTTGTGCGTGCGATTAACATCTACAATCCGTCCACCTTGAGTAAAGGAGGTGATCCTGAATGACATGGGTGGGCCTTGTTCAAACAGTCAAAGGCCTGAAGAGCAAAAATGAGGTTTCCTGAGAAGAAGAAATTCTGCCTCAAAACTGCAACTCCAATTCCTTCCTGAGTTTTCAGCCTGCTGGCTCATCTATCAATGTTGGATTTGCCAGCCACCACTATTGATATCGATATCTATATGTATTTCTTAATATCTATATTTATATATCTTATTGGCTCTGTTCCTCCCTGCCTGTCACACAGTCTGTCTGCTTGCCAGTCTCTCCTATGGGAATGTAGCCCCCTGAAGTCAGGAACTGTCTTTTTTATAGCTGTATCCAGTCAGCTAGTGTGGCACACAGTAGGTGCTTAATAAAAACATAGCTACTTTCTAATTGCTCTGGCGCTCACATGGAAGTGGCTTGAACAGTAGACGCATGGGAGAGAGCTGTTCCTGGCATCCTGATGGCCTGGTGTGCATCTCGGGTAATTCATACAGTATCTTACGTTTGCCCTCTCCTTATTAATGTCACCCAGCCCTACCTATTCTAGGCAGCTGCGTTCACTCTGGTGAAGGGGATAAGTTCTCTGGGAACCTTCATTTGCTGAGTCAGTGTGGCCACCTAGGGTTTCTGCTTGGATGTGTTCCTGACACATCCGCCCCGGTCTCCAGCCCTGGGTGGACAGCTCTGCGTAAGTGTTCCCATTGCTCCTAGGAATTCGCTCTAGTCTCAGACCCAACACATTCATCCATCCATCCATCCATCCATCCATCCATCCATCCATTCAACAATCTGTGTTCAATGCCTCTTCCCATTTAGCACTGGGGATACAGTGGTGAACAAAAGAGATGACAATTCCTGCCCTCATGGAGCTTACCTTCTAGTAGAGAAGGCAGACCATACACAAGATAAATAAGGGGACTATACTGAATGTTAGAGAATAACGTGTGTTCAGGAGGAAAAGAACTGCCAGAGGAGAGGAGGGCGTGAGATGTGTGGAAGTCCTCATGCATTGGTCAGCTCTTGTTATGGTAATGCTACATAACAAACACCCCTAAGTTCCAGTGGCTTCCACCCATTCTCTTGGGTCTATGGTTTGCTTGGGTGGTTCTGCCTCAGGCATTGGGTTGGGTTAGGGCCACTCCATGTGTTACCCTTCTGAGGTTCAGACAGAGGGAACAGCGTCTATGTGGGCACAGCCTTCTCATGGCGCAGGGCTCAACCATGCACGCACATTGAATGCCTTCAGCCGGACATGGCCAAAGTTATGTCTGCTCACACTCCATTGCCCAAAGCAAGTCACAAGTCGCAACAAGTCAGAAGGCTGGGGACACACACTCTGCCCATAGCGAGCCATGGCAGAGTCACTCACAAGGTGGGCGCTGTGGTTCGAATGCTTCTCTCAAGAAGCATGTGTTGGAAACTTATTCCCCAAGGCCACAGTGTTGGGAGGCGGGCCTAATGGGAGGTGATTCGGCCCTGGGGTGACTAGGCGAGAGGCGGGGCCCTCATGAATGGATGAATGCTATAATCGCTAGAATACGTTTGTTATCGTGAATCTGGGCTCCTTACGAAAGGGTGCGTTGGGTCCCCCCTCTCTTTGCTCTTCCACCTGCTGCTGCGGGATGACACAGCAGGAAGTCCCACCTGCCAACTTCTCAGCCTCCAGAACTGGGAGGAAATAAAGTTCTGTTCTTTATAAAGTGTGTAGTCTGCGGTATTCTGTTATAGCAGCACAAAATGGATTACGACAGCGGGTTTTCGGTACAGACCTCAAGGAAATTAGTGCACCAGCCATGCAGAGAACTGCAGGAAGAGCTCTCTGAGGTGGGAACAGGCCATGCAAAGGCCCTGAGGTAGGAGGGCACATGCGCCTCGGAGAACCCCAAGGGGCCAGCATGGTAGGAGCATTGGGAACAAGGGGAGGCTGGGGCTAGGTCTGTAAGGCACTGCGGGTCACCGTAAAGAATTTGACTTTTCCCCTGGGTAAGAAGGGAAATCAGGCAAGATGTGGAGTCCAGGAGGGGCCTGATGCAATCCTCGTTTTAGGAATTGCCCCAGCTGCTGGGTGGAGAATAGACTTGGAGGCAAAGCCATAAATGGGAACCCAGGGAGGCACGAACGGCAACCATCCAGGCAGAGGACAGTGCTGTCTTGGATCGAGGTGGTGGGGTGGTGAGGAATGGGTAAAGTCTGGACAGTTTTTGCAGGTAGAGGTGACAGAATTTGCTGATAAATCAGGGATGGGGCGTGTCTCAGTCCGCTTGGGCTGCCGTACAAGATACCACAGACTGAGTGATTTAAATAACAGAAATTTATTATCTCAGTTCTAGAGGCTGGAAGTCTGAGATGAAAGTGTCAGAAGGGCTGGCTCTTCCTGAGGCCTCTCTCTGTGGTTTGCGGACAGCCACCTTCTCCCTGTGTCCTCACAGGGCCTTTCCTCTGGGCACACACATCCCTGGTGTCTCTTTCTCTTTTCTTATAAGGACGCCAGTCCTATTGGATTAGAGCCCCCTGCTTATGACCTAATGTAATGTTGATTACCTCCTCCTATCTCCAAATACAGTCACACTGGGGTTAGGGCTGTAGTAACTCTTGCCTGTAATCCCAGCTACTAGGGAGGCCCAGGCACGAGGATCACTTCAGCCCAGGAGTTCAAGTCTAGCCTGGGCAACATAGTGAGAGGCCGTTTCCTAAAAAAAAAAAAAGGGTTTTTTCGTTTTTGTTTTTGTTTTTTTTTTTTTTTCGAGAAGGAGTCTTGCTCTGTTGCCCAGGCTGGAGTGCAGTTTCTCAATCTCGGCTCACTGCAACTTCCGCCTCCTGGGGTTCAAGCGATCCTCTTGCCTCAGCCTCCTGAGTAGCTGGGATTACAGGTGCCGGCCACCACACCCGGCTAATTTTTGTGTTTTTAGTGGAGACAGGGTTTCGCCATGTTGGCCGGGCTGGTCTCAAACTCCTGACCTCATGTGATCCACCCGCCTCGGCCTTCCAAAGTGCTGGGATTACAAGTGTAAGCCACTGCGCCCGGCCAAGAGTGAAGTTCTGATAGCTGGGGTAAGAAAGGCCGTGGGAACAGCCGGTTTCAGACACGCTGGGTCTAAGACGCTGCGTCTGGCGCTGCTCGGCATCCAATGGGAGCCGTGGAGAAGCCAGGCGAGTGCGTAGGGCGGAGCCAGCGCACAGGAAATAGGACGTGATGAGGTCAACCGGCTGGTCCAAGTGTGGACGGAAGTAGAGGATGCAAGCACCGAGCCCCGGGGCCCCCAGCATTGGCGGGGAGGAGCTCGCGGTGCGGGAGAAGCAGGGGACCGCGCATCCTGGAGACCAGGTGGAGCCAGTGCGCCCGGAAGGGGCGTGGCCCGCTGACAGCCGCCCAGGAGGCCGGGGGAGGCCTGGAGCCGAGGGCCGCGCGTGGCAATGTGGAGAGACATTTTGGTGGAGTCATGGGGCCACAGCCTGATTGGTGAGAACAGGAAGGGAAATTGCAGATGGGCCTGGGCCCCCTGGCTCCCGCATACTCCAGGACCAGGGCTGAGTCATCGTTCACCGTGTGTGACCAGGGCCCCGTGTGGCCGGCTGTCACTCGGTATCCAGTTACCCTGGGCAGACCACTGGCGGCACCCCCCAGCCAGAGGCCGCAGCAACACACACGCCTGCAGGCGACCAGGCCGGACTGCATGCCCCGTGGGGGAACTGAGGGCGTTTCAGTAACAGAGTGTTAGGGGACACGGGTTGGGTGGCTTGGAAAGGGCCTAAGGTGGGGTTTGTTTTAGATTGGGGTGGTGAGGGCGCAGGGGCCCGGTAGGATTCTCTAACAGGGCAGCAGCCACTCATTTAGCAACAGGAGAGGCGTCCAGCGTTTCGTGGGCTGTGCGGTGACCTTGCTTTTGTGCTTAGACACGATTACGGGTGGCCTTGCTTCATCTCCTTCTGCCATGGTCTCGTGGCCCCTGTCTCAGCTGGCGTTCCGGGAGGTTGTTTACGTCCAGGAGGAAAGCAAAAGCCTGGCCCTGAGCATCAGGGTGGCTCTGGACGCCAGGGCTGTACTGTGTTCTTTCTCGACACGAATGAGTTTCTGGACAGTTTTCCCGGCTAGTGCAGACCCACACTGACTGAAAACCGAAATCTTTGCACATGAGAAAAATAACTCCCATGGCAAGGCGTGGCGGCTCACACCTGTAATCTCAGTGCTTTGGGAGGCCAAGGCAGGAAGATCGCTTGAGGCCAGGAGTTCGAGGCCAGCCTGGGCAACATAAGGATACCCTGTCTGTACAAAAATAACAGATTAAAAAAAAAAAACAAAATAACACCCATGGTGCAGCCATTTCTTGGGGGGTTATGGTAATTTTAGTAGCAATCATCTAAGAAGAGGTTTTGTTTCCTCAACCCGAATGCGCTCCCTTTCCTCAAGGCTCTGAGAGCAGCAGGAAGGCTCACCTTCCTTGTTTAGTGAGGTGTTAACCTTCCTGGGTTCACCCCGGTGCAACGGTTTGTGTCATGCATCAACTTGGCTGGGCCACGGCGCCCGGTTTGGTCAAACGCCCATCTGGATGTTGTCGTGGACAGCTGTGTAGATGTGATTCGTATTTAGGTCAGTAGACTTTTAAAGCTGGTGACCTTCCGTCGTGTGGGTGGGTCTTGTCCGGTCAGCCAGAGGCCTTAAGTTCAAAGACTAAGCTTTCCTGAAGAAGAAGGAATTGCACCTCCCTCAAGACTGCAATACAGAAACCCTGCCTGGGTATCCAGCATGCCGCCCTGCAGAACTTGGACTTGAGACCTCAGTCAGCTCTTGCCTGAGTCTCCAGCCTGCCGCCTGCCCTGCAGATTTTGGAAGTGACAACCCCCACAATTGCCCGAGCCAATTTCTTCAAATAAATCTCTTTCCCTCCATCCATCCATTCATCCTTCTGTCCACCTATCCTATCGGCTCTGTTCTGTGGGTTCTGTTCCTCTGGGAACCCTGACAGATGCCCCTGGTTTGGTGGGTGTCATGGTCTCTGGTGCTGGTGCTACACCCTGTTGCTGCCCTGGCCAGAAGCCTGCAGGTGCCTCTGAGCCCACGGAAGCTAAGGGGGCCGTTTCCAAGGGGCCGCATTCCCCGCCTCTCTGCTCTTGGGGCTTCGGTCCATTCGGCCCGCGTGAGAGCTAGGAGTGCCACAGTCGACATCCTCAGTGGGATTGGTACCAGTTGCCTACACCAGCAACCCTCTCATGGAGGAGCCTTCGGTGGCTTTGCTCCTTACCCCACCTCCTGCCCCCTCACTCACTCCTGCTTCCCAGGTCACCTTCCAAAGGCCCCACACCTGCCTTCTCCTCTCCATCCCCCGAGGTGGGGAGCCAACACCCCCCCAGCAGCCCACCTCCCTGCTTTCCCTTGGAAGCACTGCTCTCCAGGTGTCCACAGGCAGCAGGGGTTGGGGGGCTCCTTAGCGCCTTCGCCTTGACCAGGCACGTGGAGTCATGGATCCAGATCCTGGCTCTGAGAGCGCCTGCTTCTGACTGCAGGCCTGGCCGACCCGTGTCATTGCCCCTCGAGGCAGGGCGGAACCTCTGGGTGGGGAAAGGTGGGCCGTGCTGCTCAGGAACCAAAGGCAAACCAGCCTTGTCCTCACGCCCAGAGCTGTGTCCAGCCTCCTCGGCGAGCCTGGGTTGATTCCAGGAGAGACTAAGCACCCACTGTGTCCCACGCCTTCAGCCACGTCGCCCGTCACCTGCGGCCTGAGTGTTCCCTTCCAGAGGGCGTGAAAAACAATTGTCTGCTGAGAGGTCTTTGAAGGGGAAACAAGTGCCCGGGGCAGGCCAGGACCGCAGACTGGATCTTGAGGACTGGCAGCGCAGTGTTTTGTGCAGAAAAGCTAAGGGAGATGTTACGTGCTCAGACCACACGAAGCGGGCAGCATCGTGGCGGGCTTAGCCCGGGCACTGCCTCTCGAAGCTTCCAGGAGCTTCCTGTAACTTTCCGGATGGTGCCGCAGCTGCTTCCCCGGCACCCGGGTCGCCGGGGTTCTGACTGCAGAGGGTTTCTGTGCGGGGTGCGGGGTCCACTCAGGTGAAGCACTCAGGACACCCCTGGTGTGGTGACAGCAGCAGCGTCACTGTCACGGGTGATGCGGCAACAGCTCCTCTCCCTCCTCCAGCACTGGCCTAGGAACTGTTCATTCTTCTGAACACAGCGAATGCCCAGGGCTTGAGCCCCCCTTGCCTGCCTCCAGTCATTTCTGGGTCAGGTGGGCTAAGAACAAACACACAGTGAGTGTCGAGTCTTGCCCGGTGACTGACTGCAGAAGCCTCTGTGTGGCTTCGCTCCCGGATGTCTGAAGGCCCCTCCCTGGGCTGCACGGCGGCTCCTGCGGGGCACTGCGGGAAGAGCCCCAGCTCTCCAGCTAAACCTGTGGGATGCGGCCATGGTGAGAAAAGGAAACGACCATCTTCACGCTGACACTGAGCAAAGAAAAGATAAAACTCATAGCAAATTTACCATGTTAGATTTACAAACGTTAGCAGTGGAATAAATCCAGAGGAAAGAACAAAAGAAAGATTCGAGACCAGCCTGGCCAGCAGGGTGAAACCCCATCTTTACTAAAAATACAAAAAGTAGCCGGGCATGGTGGCGAGCACCTGCAATCCCAGCTACTCAGGAGGCTGAGCCAGGAGAATTGCTTGAACCCGGGAGGTGGAGGTTGCAGTGAGCTGAGATTGTATCACTGCACTCCAGCCTGGGTGACAGAGGGAGACTCCATGTCAAAAAAAAAAAAAGAAGATATGAGTAGAAATGAATGAAATAAAAAACGACATACTGTAGAGAGGATCAACGAAGCCAAAATCTAATAAAATTGATAAACCGCCCCAATTAATCACGAAAGAGGTGGAGACAAATAAACAAGAGGGATGAGAAAAAAAAAAACAAAATGCCCACCACGCTCGTGAGGCCGGAGATCACCGAGGAATCCGAGCACCCGGGGGACGCTGCATGCCCGTGAGTGTGATACCTACACAAAGGAGGATTTTCTAAAAACCAGAAGTCCTATGGCCATTAAAAAATGGAATCAGTAGGAAAAAAAAAAGCCCCAAAGAGAAAGTAACATTCCTAGATGTTAACTGGTGAGTTTCTACCAACAAGTAAGAACAGTTTCAGTTTTATAGAAATTCTCCCAAAGAAAAGAAAATTAGAAAACATGCTTCCCTCACCTCCCGTTTTATTTGTTTATTTTTATTTGAGACAGGGTCTGGTTCTGTTGCCCAGGCTGGAGTGCAGTGGTGCAATCTCTGCTCACTGTAACCTCTGCCTGCTGGGCTCAAGTCATCGTCCCACCTCGGCCTCCTGAGTAGCTGGGATTACAGGTGCGTGCCATCACATCCATCTAATTTTTGTATTTTTTTGTAAAGGCAGGGTTTTGCCATGTTGCCTTGGCTGGTCTCAAGCTTCTGAGCTCAAGCCATCCACCCTCCTCAGCCTCCCAAAGCACTGGGATTACAGGGGTGAGCCGCTGCGCCCAGCCCACCCCCCGTTTTATAAGGTGGTTATAACGTTGGTATCAAAACCGGATAAGCACAATACAAGAGAGAGCTACAGGCCAGCTGCATTCAGAGCACAGGTGGAAAATCCTAAACGTAACAGAGCTGAACCCATCGTCCCATCTAGCGCTCCTGGGAGGCAAGCCTGGGCTGGGGTGCCCCCACCCATCCTGGTGAGAGCCTCGGGCTGAGCTGCCTTGATCCCAAGGGTTCTGCTTCCCCATGGTTCCCCGAAGGGCCCAGAAAGACACGTCAGAAAGTTGGGGACGGGGTGAGGGAGGCCATCATCCTTTGGAGCAGATTTGGCCACCTGGAGATGAGAAGAGCCAGTTCTGCAAAGTACCCTCCCTCCCTTCCTCACCTCCCTTTCACTTCCCTGGGGTGGTACCTCCCAACAAAACATCTGCACCTAGACGCTCCCCAGGCCCCCTCTTCTTGGAAACCTGGGCTAAGACAGTAACTAAGCTGGGTTGGTTCCAATCATGTGAGATTGGTTTAGCATTAGACAACTGATTCATAAAGTTCTTTGTATTAACATATCAAAAGAGGAAAAGACGTATGACCTTTTCAGGAACGCAGAAGCAATTTCAGAAAAAATGATACCTACGTAACAACCAGAGCAGTGAGCAGATTCTTTTTAGGTCATGATGCAAACACATCAACTGTAAAAGAACATATTTGAGACAATCAGGGTTATCTGATGAGGGACTAGGTTTTAGATGACATCGAGAAATTGTTAGGAATCCTGTCAAACGTGAGAGGGAATTTGCGCTTATAGAAAGAAATGTTCGATTTGTAGGAGAGGTACCTGAAGTGCGCGGGGGTGAAATGACGTGGCGTCTGTGCTTTGCTTTAAAATACTCCAGTAAAGAAAAAAACCAAGAGAAGCGGGAAGCAGGGCAAAATCCTCCTAATTGTTGGATCTGGCTGAGGAGTATGTGAAGGGCTCATTGTTCCATGGTCTCTACTTTTGAGACTGTGTAAAAATTTTCATGATAAAAATAAACTCAATGAAGTAGCATTTGCCGCCACCGTAAAAGTAATACCCCGTGATGGGCGCACCAGGTGCTGGCCCGCAGGGGGAGGGCGGGACGTCACTGGCTCTGTCCCCGTCACCCATGACCTGCACGTCCTGGCAGTGGTGAGCGCCCAGTGTGTGCTGTGGGACAGAATTATCTCTAAACCCCCGAAAGAGGATCCTCTCCCCAACTTAACTCCAGCCTCGGAGGGCCTCGGGGGTCTATGGCACACTCTCCCTGCTGGCTTTGTTCTGGAAAGGGCTGGCGGGACATGACCGGCCCCACGTTGCACTCTGAGGGCAGCTCGGGGGTCTGCAGGGGACCATCCTGTGTAACCTGCTGACCTCGAGGAGAAGCAGGGCGAGGGCTTAGCTCAGGCACATTCCCCGCTGAGCCACAACAATGCCCCATCCGCCCTACACAGGCGGATTTGTGTGTGAGCCCCGCGGGGCCCTGGAGTGGAAAATTGCAGCGCCAGCCTTTGTGGGGCAGACTGCTGGCGTTACGGGAATCCTGTAGATGAAGTGAATGTGGCCTTTGTGTGAGGGGCTGGCATTGAGCTCGGGTGCAGTGGGGCGGCAAATCGCTGAGGACAGGCTTAAGCTGGGCCGCGGAAACAATGCCGGGGAGCCACGGAGGAGCCATCGCAGAGGCCGGGAAAAACCTCCCGACAGGGCTCGATCTGTAGAGATATTTGAGAAAAATGATCTCCGAGACAGTGGCTTACACACCCCCACGCATACACACCACGGACACACACCACACACATCACACACACACCATACACTATAGATGTACCACACACACACCCCACCACCTATACAACACACACCACACACACCACACACACACCATACACTATAGATGTACCACACATACACACCCCACACCACCTATACAACACACACCACACACACCACAGACACACACCACAGATATACCACACACACACCAGATACACAACATACACATCACACACACCACACAGACACACACCACAGATACTCCACACTGCACACACATCATACACCACACACACACCACACACACATCACACACATCACACACACATCACACACATCGCACACCACACGCACCACAGAAACATCACACACCACACATATACCACACACCCCACATTCCACACACCCCACACATCACATAAACACCACACACACACCACTCACATCACACACCACATATACCACACACATCACATATACAACACACACCACACACACACCCCACACATCACATATACAACACACACAGCACATACCAGACACATCACACACACACACACCACACACACTATACACGGTACATTGTACACCACACACCACACACACATCACACACACGTCACAGAAACCCCACACACCACACATATACCACACACACACACCACACACGTCACAGACACACCACACACACCACACCCATCACAGAAACCCCACACACCACACGTATACCACACACACACCACACACGTCACAGAAACCCCACACACCACACACACATCACACACCACATATCCAACACACACCCCCCACACACCACACATATCAAATATACACCACACCCCCACACACGCTCCCAGACCAGTTGGAGCCCTGCCCTCGCACCCCAGATCCCGCACATCTGTCCCTCTGTTCCCTTGGCCTCCCACCCCTTCTCCACCCTCAGGAGCCCCATGCAGCCCACACTGGGTCCTGCCCAGCCCCTGGGCCGGAGGGGATGGTCCCCCTGCGCCGTCCCCAGCGCTGCCCACCCTGCAGAACGTCCTCAGGCGGCCGGGCTCCACACCTGCGACAGGCCCGAGGCCCCGGCTGCAGGCCCCACTCGGCTGCAGTTCCCGTCGAGGCAGCCAATGGCCTTGAGGCCTCTCCCAGGTGGGACGGCCCCTGCGAGGGCTGGTGGGCACAGGGGCCAGCCCTGCCCCATGGCCTTGCTCAGCTGTGGGAGGCGTGCCTTTTCTTTCTCTGATCTCTGTGAAACTCTTACTTTTTCTTCCCCGGGGCGGGGGGGTGAGGGTCGGGCCTGTGGTGGCACTGCGCTGAGCCAGGCATGCTGGGCTGGCGTCTCCCTTGCTGGGGCGCAGATGGCCTAGGTGGGGCCCGTGTGGAAGCTGCGTCCATCTGACTCTGCCGCCTGTGCGGTCTCTGCATCTGTGAGGGGGGACCCAGCAGCAGTGGCCCAGGGTGGGGCTGGGACTGAGGGTCAGGCCGGATGGAGCTGTGCGGCGGCACCTGGCCCACATTCTCCCTGCGGCCACCAAGACCCCAGGTGGGCACTGGCACCTTGGGCTATGCCCAGGTCCCCACCCTCAGCCTTCTCTGGAAGCTGCTGGCTCTGTGGTGACCCCCTCCCGCACCCCCTTAACCCAAGGCGGGTCCTTTGGGGCCCACTGGGTGCTCTGGCTGGGTCTGCCCTGGGCTGGTCACTCTCGCCAGGGTCTCGGTCCAGGGCACAGGCAGGAGTGACGGTTACTCTCCAGGAGGCCGGGAGAACCAAGAGACATCCAATGAGGAAGGGCTGCCCATGCTTAAAGATGTCCAGTGAGGAAGGGCCACCCGTGCCCAGGGACATCCAGTGAGGAAGGGCTGCCTGTGCCCAGGGTGATCATGTTTGCACAGACCCCGGTGTGCCTGCGGGGCTGAGCTGTTTGCCTACCCCCATGCCCTCCCCAGGTGGCAGGCTACAAGACCAGCCTTGTTCTTGCCCTTCCCAGCCCTGGCCTGGGAGTCAGACACTTGACTCGTAGCCTTGACTTCCGTGCCAGGCTGCCTGGAGAGGCCAGCCTCTTCCCGGAGGGGTCCTTGGGGCCTACTGGGCAGACCTCTCTCTCCACGGCCCTTCCTGTCCCTAGGCGGACCTTTCCCTGACCCAGCTCACACCAGCCTGGGGCCTGTGTGCTGGGGCCGGGCTCCTGCAGGCTGTCCCGGGCAGGCGCCAGGGGGCCCTGTGCCACTGGGCGGTGGTGTGGGAGGCACAGGAAGAAGCTTACCTCACCCTTCAGACATCCTGGGGGGTACCCTTGTTTCCTATATCATTTCAACCTTGGGGTCCCAGCATTGCTGGCGACGAGGCCGGCTGCAGGTTTTGGCTCAGAGGCAGACTGAGGGCAGCGCCAAAGGGCTCCAGGCCTCCCGAAACAGCCTCGGTCTGCTCACACTTGGAGGGCTGTCAGAGGCCACTGGACGCCAGCAAGAAGGTTGAGGAGCCCCAGGCCGGCGGTGCCCCCAAGGTATCTGACACCAGAGTGAGTCACAGTTTTGAATATTCCATCCTCCATACCGCAAAATTATTTTCAGGATAGTTATGTAATAATCACGGATAATCATGATTTTCTTGATTCATTCTTTAAAGCAATTAACAGAAAAAGAATGCATTTCAATGTTAAAGATATTCAAATTCAGTGACTTCTTTCATGCATGAGCTAACATCTCAGCTTCAGCACCACATCTCCGTTTTCGCTCTGGTTTCACAGTCTCACATTTGAAACACAGAATAAAAACACCAAGAGGTCATGCAGAATGACAGAACTGAAATACTTCCAGCTCGGTTTCTTTGTGAGTGCTGTTGTTGTTATGTGAAATTTCTCGTTTAAGCACAGAAATATGTTGAACCACGGGCTGGAGATGAGAACCCCTCCCCCAGTGCACCTGCACCCGCCCTTCAAAGCCGCTCCAAGCCAATGCAGGTGGCTGCGTCTGCAGTGTCGGGAGTGGCCCCATGACTGGAAGTTCACTGGAAAATTTCCACTCAGTAAATGTTTAGAACAAGAAATAAAACTGTGCTAATGTGAAGATTACAGAAATATAGTCTATCCTCATGACTCATGCATTCCAGATTTGGGAATTCCCTGTGATGTCAGTGTGCCAGGGACCACAGACTGGATGGCTTAAACAACAGACATTTGTTGTCTCACAGTCCTGGAGCCTGGAAGTCCAAGATCGCAGGGTCGGTGGGGCCGGTTCCTTCCTGTGCTTGCAGACGGGCCTCTTCTTGTTGTGCCCTCATGTGGACTTTCCTCTGTGTGCATGTGTTCTTGGTGTCTCTTTTTGGAATTTGTCCAGATTTCCTCCTCTTTTTTTTTTTTTTTTTTAAGACAGAGTGAGACTCTGTCGCCAGGCAGGAGTGCAGTGGTGCAATCTCGGCTCACTGCAGCCTCCGTTTTCCGGGTTCAAGTGATTCTCCTGCCTCAGCCTCCCGAGTAGCTGGGACTACAGGTGCATGCCACCATGCCTGGCTATTTTTTTGTATTTTAGTAGAGACGGGGTTTCACCATGTTGTCCAGGCTGGTCTTGAACTCCTGACCTCGTGATCCACCCGCCTTGGCCTCCCAAAGTGTTGGGATTACAGGCGTGAGCCACCGCGCCCAGCTGATTTCCTCTTCTTATAAGGAAGCCAGTCACATGCATTAGGGCTCACCCAAATGACCTCCTTTTAACTTAATTTCCTGAGAGATCCTATCTCCAAATACAGTCACACTCTGAGGTCCTGGGGTTAGTACTTCAACACAGGAATTTTTTGGGAACTCAGTTCAGTCCATGACACCTACTTGGTCAAATTTATTTGTAGGCTGGGCACGGTGGCTCACGCCTGTAATCCCAGCACCTCTGGAGGCCAAGGTGGGAGGATCGCTTGAGCCTAGGAGTTCAAGACCAGCCTGGGCAACATAGCAAGCAAGACCCCGTCCCTACAAAAAAATTACCAAAAAAATTTATTTGTGACCCCAAATCAATAATTGCAGAGTTTTCCTGGTCATTCACAGATGTGTAGAGAGTGCCGAGACATTTGTCTCCTTACACATATTCCTGGGTGAGGTTGAACAAGGCAGCACTATGCCCTCTTGTTTCAGCCTCAGGCGGTCAACCAGTATCCTTTTTGAGGTCTATTTAGTGCCATGATTTTTGCATTTCGTGTGTTTTGTTTGTGATTTTGCTTTTTAAAACGTCCCCAAGCCCAGTGCTGAAGAGCTGTGTGCTTGGAGGCATTTTTAAGTAAGTGGATTAAGCACTTCAGTTAAAATGCAGAAATTGTCCAAACAGATTAAAAACATTATCTAATTATATGCTGTCTACAAGAGACACTTTAGATTCAAAGACACAAATAGTTTGAAAGTAAAAGATTTCTAAAAATATGCCATACAAATGGAAACCCAAAGACAGTTTTGGTTACTGTTTGGTTACTCTTCAGCTTTGTGCTTGGGGGCATTTTAAACAGCAAAATCACGAACAAAACACACAAAACTGCAAAAGGTAAGCAAGCTGCAGTGCATCTCACAGAGGAAACACGGGTTAGAGAAGCTTCCTTCGGGCAGAGCTACAGGGCTGCTGGCCATGAGTTCAGTGTTAGTGAATCAATGTTTATAGATTCAGTAAAGCATCTTTTTTTTTTTTTTCTTTTTTGGAACAGAGTCTCATTCTGTTGCCCAGTCTGAAGTGCAGTGGCACGATCTCAGCTCACTGCAACCTCCACCTCCTGGGTTCAAGCGATTCTCCTGCCTCAGCCTCCCAAGTAGCTGGGATTACAGGCCTGCACCATCACGCCTGGCTAATTTTAGTATTTTTAATAGAAATGGGGTTTCACCATTTTGGCTAGGCTGATCTTGAACTCCTGGCCTCAGGTGATACACCCGCCTTGGCCTCCCAAAGTGCTGGGATTACAGGCGTGAGCCACCACGCCTGGCCTCAGTAAAGCATCTGTACACAGAAACACTCATAAGACAAATGATGCATTGCTCAGCTGATGAGAACATTGGGGCCAGAGGCTCGCAGGACCCTAAGCCTGTGTCTCCCCTGGGAGCCATGGTTCAGCAGTCCAGGCATCACTAATTCAGTGCTCACAGCAGCTTTATAGAACACCCCTACCTCTAGAAACAACTGCTATGAATGCAGCAATTGCTAGAACTTAGCCCAGCAAAAGGGGATTTTGTGCTGACATGATTTGCATGGACAGTGGCTGGGAATCAGGAAAAGAACACTGACTTGTCTTTGGTTTCATTCTGGTTTTTCATTTTCCGCAGACATCATATCCCTCAGTGCACTGGCTGTCACCTCCCCCTGCCCGCCACCTGCACACTGTGGCTTTGAGGCAGCATCTTCAACACAAATTTCAGGAGGAGCCCAGGTCCAGAGCAAAAGGGTCTTGTTTCCCCAGAATCCAGGCGAATGGCGCAGGGCTCTGGCAGGCGGATGCACTGACATCAGCGTGCATTTACTTGTTTGTTGCTTGTCTCTACCCAAGAGAATATCAGCTCCAGAAAAGCAGGGACTTTGTTTAACACAGCGTTAAGAGACAGGACTCGACCAGTGTGGATCAATTAAGTGAGGATGTTTGCACAGCAGGCTCCGGGCCAGCGAGTGGGGGTTAAGGCTCCTGAAAGTAGCCGGCTTTGAGATGTGGTGGGGGTGATCCTGAATTATCCAGGTGGGCTGAGAGCGTAATTGCCAGGTGGATGTGATGGGAGAGACCTCACCGCCCACCACTGCCTTTGAAGGTGGAGGAGGGGCCACGAGCCAAGAAAGGCAGGTGCCTTGAGATGCCAGAGAAGGCAAGAAACAGACTCCCCTGAGCCTCCAGCAGGAGCCAGCCCTGCCAGTGTCTTGCTTTAAGTTGAATGAGACACATTTCAGACTTGTGGCCTCCAGAACTGTGAGAGAAGACGTTTGTGTTGTTTTAAGCCACTAAGTCTGTGATTGGTACATCAGCCACAAGACACTAATACAACACCTAAACTCGGGGTTTGAAAAGGCCCCTAGGGCCCTAGAGCCCTCCCTGCCCCCGGTCCAGGCCTTCCTGCTTCTGTTGTGCAGACTCAGGCGCTGGCTCACTCAGAAGCCCCCTGCAGGCCCGGCCAATCCTGTGGCAGAGCCTCGACGTCCCACGGCGGCCTCTGAGCCGCCAGGCCCTACAGCGTGTGGTGAGGGGCGCAAGAGGTGTGAGTGCCTGGACCTTGCTCTGCCCCGTGTCTGAGGACCTTGCCCTGCCCCGTGTCTGAGGACCTTGCCCCATCCTCGGCACCCAGAGCTGTGCAGTCCATAGGACCAGGCTGGTGCCCAGCCCCAGGTTGGTGCCTCAGCTGCCTCCTCAGCCTGCAGTCTCCACTGTTTGACTGACCATGTGCAGGGCCAGCTGTGAAGGACAGCACAGCTCCTCCCTCCCTGCCAAGTGTCAGGGGCACTAAAAACACTGCCATCAATGTTCTGATGTTTAAATCATGTTTTGATGCAATGTTTAAACAAATCAAAATGGGTCGGGCGCAGTGGCTCACGCCTGTAATCCCATCACTCTGGGAGGCCGAAGCGAGTGGATCACCAGAGATCAGGAGTTCGAGACCAGCCTGGCCAACACGGCGAAACCTCATCTCTACTAAAAATATAAAAATTAGCTGGGTGTAGTGGTGTGTGCCTGTAATCTCAGCTACTTGGGAGGCTGAGGCAGGAGAATCGTTTGAACCCGGGAGGCAGAGGTTGCAGTGAGCTGAGATTGTGCCACTGCACTCCAGCCTGGGCGACAGAGCGAGACTCCATCTCAAAAATAAATAAATAAAATAAATAAGTAAATCAAAATGAATGCAAAAAATTTGTGGTGGACAAACTGTCAACATTTTACATAAAGCCAGGATGAGGACGACGGCCTTCTCCTTTTGCTTCAAGCTCCAGCATGGCTCTGCCCAGCACTGACCGTGCTCCTGGCCTGGCTCGACCCTCCCCAGGGCCAAGCTCCATGCTGGTTTCCATCCCAAAGGACTCTTCTTCCCCCTCCCTGTGCCCCGGGAATAGGCAGCCAGCACAGTGGGGCCGCCCGCTGCCTCACCCAGACCCTGCCACTGCTTGGATGTTGACCCCCAGACTGGAAAGGTGGCTTTAAACCCCCTTCCCTTCTTCCAAGCCAAGTGACCTGGGCGTGCGGCTTAACCTTCTAAGCTCCCATTTCCTGGTCTATGAAGCGGGAATGATGCTGGGACCTGCTTCACAGGGTGGCTCTGAGGACCCACAGGCAGAGAGGTCTGGTGTAGGCTTTCGGGGGAAGCACCCATCACTCTCCCAGCGTTTCCTATCTGCACCTTAATTTGGCACCCCAGGGAATCGCTCCTCTGGAATTGTAACCTTGCAGGGCAAAAGCTATCATTTCAAGATTTTTTGGGATCCTGTGTCCCCGGACAGTGCTGTAAATGTAGGAGGAAGGGTGCTGCTCATGGGTGCTGCTCATGATGGAGGTGCCCCGTGGAGCACGCCTCGGAGCCCCCCCTTTCATCCCTGATCCCATCTGGGATGTGTCAGGTCTGATCCGCATACACTGGGGCATCTGACATTTCATGGCCTTCTGAGCCCATGGGCTGGAGATGAATTTGCAAAGCCCGGGAGTGTCCTGGGTGTGTGTTCACTCCACACGCACGAATCTGTTAGAGGCTGAGTAGGAACTAGGAGGCCAAAGAGAACCAGGCAACTTCCCACAGCCTGGACCGTACACTAGAAAAGCTAGCCTGGGAGAGGGGGCATGGCCTCTTCCCAGGCTGGCAGGGGGGATGTGGGGGAGGACCATGCTCCCCAGGGCCAGTTTACCAAAATATCAAAATACCAAAATATCAAAAGACTTAAAACTAGGAGTGAGCCAGGTGCAGTGGCTCACGCCTGTAATCCTACACTTTGAGAGGCCAAGGCAGGTGGGTCACCTGAGGTCAAGAGTTTGAGACCAGCCTGGCCAACACGGTGAAACCCTGTCTCTACTAAAAATACAAAAATAATAATAATAATAATAATAATAATAATTAGCCAGGTGTGGTGGCAGGCACCTGCAGTCTCAGCTACTCAGGAGGCTGAGGTGGGAGAATTGTTTGAACCTGGGAGGCAGAGGTTGCAGTGAGCTGAGATCGCGCCACTATATGATCTGGGCGCCACTCTGGGTGACACAGCAAGACTCCATCTCAAAAACAAACAAACAAAACCGGGAGTGCCTGGACACTTAGTGAGAACTGGACAGGGGCCATGGGTCGAGGAGCAAAATAATCACCAGGACTTGTGGATAACAGGATCATGTGGGTGGTGGGTCCGCATGGGTGACAGGGACGTGGGGACATGTCGCCACCCTGACAGGAGCAGCCCAACTCAACAGCCACGGCAGGTCATGCCACGGAGGCTCGAGGCGTTACGTGGGGATGTTACATCAAGGCATTACATCATTACGAGATGTAACGCTCGAGGCGTTACATCGAGGGGACGATGGCCATGGGGCTGGGCGTCCAGGGTGGGCCGCAGAGGGAAGCTCACCACGTGGTGCTCTCATCTGCCCACAGCCCAGCCCGTCTTCCTGTTGGAGGCATGTGACCCCTGGAGGACAAGCATGAAACGCCATAGGGCTCCCCCAGGTGCTGGAATTATGGCACCTTGCAGCTTCTTCTCCACGAGTTTTAACAAGCATGCGTACTTTTGTAAGTGGTGAGTGTAACGGAGGTTCACAGATGCACTCCGCTTTGGAAACCAGTGCACTCTTGCCCAGGCCCGGTGAGACTCTGAGGACGATGTGTCTAACCTCTGTGTCTAACGGGGGTGTGTGCTCTCCCTCCTCTGGCGACCATGAGGACCACCCCGGCAGGACAAGGTGTGCAGAGAACTAGCATGGTCCCTGGCACGTAGCCCCTGCCCAGTGACTGGCAGATGAGAAGCTCCATTGTCGCCCCAGGCGAGTATGGGGCACAGGCGCCTCCTTGGGTTGTCTGCCCTCCCGGGAGCCCCAGGGTGCCCAGGCGGGCCTCAGCTGAGTCCAGGCCTCGGGGACAGTCCGTGCAGCCCCTCCTGGGGCTGGGGGCGGGCACTTGTCCCAGCCACGTTTCTGCTGACTGAGCAGCCTTCTTCATGAGCTCACGCCTTTCCAGAGAAATCCCTTAATGCCTCCATTCTGCTGGTGGCATATATAGGGAGGGCTCGGCCTTGGCTCCACACTGCGCTGCCCAGAGGCCCCGCTGACTCCTGCCAGCCTCCAGGTCCCCGTGGTACCAAAGCTGAACATGGACGTGACCATCCAGCACCCCTGGTTCAAGCGCACCCTGGGGCCCTTCTACCCCAGCCGGCTGTTCGACCAGTTTTTCGGCGAGGGCCTTTTTGAGTATGACCTGCTGCCCTTCCTGTCGTCCACCATCAGCCCCTACTACCGCCAGTCCCTCTTCCGCACCGTGCTGGACTCCGGCATCTCTGAGGTAAGACGTGGCCCGTGGTGCTGGCCTCTCCTCGCTGCTCAGAGGGTGGTGGCCTCGGTGGGTGGAGAGCGATGGACTCTGGTCTTGCTCCGTCAGGCAGGTGGCCTCGTCCCACTTCATCCCCTTGCAGAGGCTGGGCGAGAGCCTGTGTCCCCACTGCAGCCACGTGGCAGAGCTTCCCCTGGCACTGGGGAGAGGGTGGACAAGGGAGCAGCCTGAATCCACCTTTGCTTTCCTCCATCAGCTCATGACCCATGTGTGCTTTGTAAGGCACCAGCCACATACTGGAAACCCCAAGAGCAGCCCATCCAGGCATGCGTGGTGGCGAATGCCAGCTCCCGGGTTCCTCTGGTCTCCTGAGTCCCGGAGACCTGGGAGCAGGTGGGGGTCATAGTCCTGAAAGCCAGAGAGCAGGGCGTTCCTAGCACCTCCTCCAATGAGCTCGGCCTGCCCACGGCTAGCAAAGCTCTTGGCAAGTTTACTTAGGTGCCCTGCCAAGGCTAAAAGGACAGGCAATGGACGCCCCCCCCCCCACCCAACCACAGGCCTCCTCTCTGAGCCACGGGTGAGCGGTGCAGGTTCTGCTGTTCTGGAGGGCCTGAGTCCCACCCAGCACCTCATAAACAGGGTCCTCCCCAGGGCTGCTGCAGTAGGCATCAACGCCAGGGTGCAAAATGCCTCAGGGAGCCAAGGCTGAGCCAGGGGAGTGAGAAGGAGCATGTGGAAGTGCGTTTTGGAGAGGCAGCTGCGCAGGCTGTCAGCAGGCTCCGGCCGCTTCTATAGACAGCATGACACCAAGGGCAGTGACCTCATTCCACAGGCTGAGTCCAGCCAGCCAGCCAAGCATCACCAGCCAGACGATTGACCCTAACGGACCAACCAACCCGTAACGACCCCTCCTACCATAACCAGTAGCCAGCCAGCCCATAACCAGCCAACTTATCTATAACCAGCCACCTGACCATAGCCAAACAACCAGCCGGCCCACCAGTAGCATTCAGCCCCTCAGCTGGCCCTGAGGGTTTGGAGACAGGTCGAGGGTCATGCCTGTCTGTCCAGGAGACAGTCACAGGCCCCCGAAAGCTCTGCCCCACTTGGTGTGTGGGAGAAGAGGCCGGCAGGTGACCGAAGCATCTCTGTTCTGATAACCGGGACCCGCCCTGTCTCTGCCAACCCCAGCAGGGACGGCACCCTCTGGGCAGCTCCACATGGCACGTTTGGATTTCAGGTTCGATCCGACCGGGACAAGTTCGTCATCTTCCTCGATGTGAAGCACTTCTCCCCGGAGGACCTCACCGTGAAGGTGCAGGACGACTTTGTGGAGATCCACGGAAAGCACAACGAGCGCCAGGTGAGCCCAGGCACTGAGAGGTGGGAGAGGGGGGCGAGTTGGGCGCGAGGACAAGGGGGTCACGGCGGGCACGACCGGGCCTGCACACCTGCACCATGCCTTCAACCCTGGGAGAGGGACGCTCTCCAGGGGACCCCGAATCAGGCCTGGCTTTTCCCCAAGGGAGGGGCCGTGCCCACCTGAGCACAGCCAGCCCCTCCCGGTGACAGAGGTCACCATTCCCGAGCTAATGTGGCTCAGGGATCCAGGTTAGGGTCCCTTCCCGGGCTGCACCCAGCCGTCGCCAGCTCCATCCCTGTCACCTGGATGCCAGGGTGGTCTTAGAAAGAACCCCAGGAAGTGGGAGTGCCCCGGGTGGCCGCCTCCTAGCCAGTGTACATCTTCACATGAACCCTACCTGAGGAAGCCAGTCCCCGACGGCATAGCTGCATCCGCTTGGAATGCTTTACAGGCATTGACACCTTCGCCTCACAGCAGCACTTTGGAACCAGTGTCCTCATTATTCCAGGGCACGGCTGGGGAACAAGGGGGTCCTCAGCCTGCTGGGTCCCACAGCTAGTACCGGGCAGGTGGACGGGAGCTTCTCCCCACAGTCACCCTGATGCCCCGCTCTTGCTCGGCTGGAGGCCTCGGATCTCCGTGGTGTTGAGGGAGCCGGGGCACTGGAGCCCTGGTGACCTGCATCTCCTGGCGGAGCCGGGAAGAGCTCATGGACTGTCACAGATGGACAGTGCCCCGCGGGGGCTGGAGAGCAGAGTGGGGCTGGAAGGTGGAACTCTTAGCCAAAGTCTTGGTTTCTTTTGGCCAGGGTCCTCTTTCAATGGCTGGAGAAGGTGGTGCTGGGGGGTGAACGCTGACCTCCTCATGTGCTGCCCCTCCCTCGCCTGGGCCCGGTAAAGCCCCCACGTAGCCCCAGCCAGCCTGGAACATGCTTCCTGAGCTCCCAGCTCTTGGTCTTTGCACCCAGTGGAGGAGGAGGTCAGCCCAGGGAGCTGAGTCTGCGGTTTAGGGCGTCCAGGGGACGTGGAAGCATGTGGGTCGTCTGGCCACATTAGGTAGGGCTGCAGAGACCTGGGCTAGAGCAGTCCTGCGGGGTCTGGAAGGGGAAGACTGGCTGAGGTGCGGGGCCTGGTCTGGAATGATCCTGCGATTTTGGAGTGAAGCCATGGAGCGGGAAGAGACAACCCCCCGCGGGGAATAGCCCGGCAAGTGGCCACGAGGCCAGGCTGAGGTCCAGAGAAGCAGGGGCATGAATCCATAAATCCCAGGGGGCCTGGCCATGGGATGTGCTGGCTGCACCCGGCCCCTGTGAGAGCCCCCGCAGGCTGGCCCCCTTCTGCAGTCAGTGGGGCTGGGGCAGCTTCTCTGGCATGGGGCGAGGCAGCCGCCTGCACAGTGGCCCCCCTGACTGTGCGCCCCCACCCTCTCCAGGACGACCACGGCTACATTTCCCGTGAGTTCCACCGCCGCTACCGCCTGCCGTCCAACGTGGACCAGTCGGCCCTCTCTTGCTCCCTGTCTGCCGATGGCATGCTGACCTTCTGTGGCCCCAAGATCCAGACTGGCCTGGATGCCACCCACGCCGAGCGAGCCATCCCCGTGTCGCGGGAGGAGAAGCCCACCTCGGCTCCCTCGTCCTAAGCAGGCATTGCCTCGGCTGGCTCCCCTGCAGCCCTGGCCCATCATGGGGGGAGCACCCTGAGGGCGGGGTGTCTGTCTTCCTTTGCTTCCCTTTTTTCCTTTCCACCTTCTCACATGGAATGAGGGTTTGAGAGAGCAGCCAGGAGAGCTTAGGGTCTCAGGGTGTCCCAGACCCCGACACCGGCCAGTGGCGGAAGTGACCGCACCTCACACTCCTTTAGATAGCAGCCTGGCTCCCCTGGGGTGCAGGCGCCTCAACTCTGCTGAGGGTCCAGAAGGAGGGGGTGACCTCCGGCCAGGTGCCTCCTGACACACCTGCAGCCTCCCTCCGCGGCGGGCCCTGCCCACACCTCCTGGGGCGCGTGAGGCCCGTGGGGCCGGGGCTTCTGTGCACCTGGGCTCTCGCGGCCTCTTCTCTCAGACCGTCTTCCTCCAACCCCTCTATGTAGTGCCGCTCTTGGGGACATGGGTCGCCCATGAGAGCGCAGCCCGCGGCAATCAATAAACAGCAGGTGATACAAGCAACCCGCCGTCTGCTGGTGCTGTCTCCATCAGGGGCGCGAGGGGCAGGAGGGCGGCGCCGGGAGGGAGGACAGCGGGGTCTCCTGCTCGCGTTGGACCCGGTGGCCTCGGAACGATGGGGTCGCCTGCGTCCCTTCCTTCTCCTGAGCTCAAGCGCCTCCCTCCACACTGGGCTGGAAGGAGAGGTTTTGGGGGCAGAGCCTCTGATGGGAAAGGGACTGGGGAGCACTTCCGAGAGCTGGGGGCGGGGAGGGACCTGGAAGGGGCTGCAGGGAATGGAGGGAGGCCGGGCTCCTTTCTCTGTCCGCGCCGGCACCGGGGCGGGACGCCAGCCCTGGCCTCCTTCTGCGGGGCCGTCCGGTTCTCTCGGGGTCTGCTGGGTCGTCCTGTTCTCTCGGGGGTCCTGCTGCCTTCGGGGCTGGGCTTTAAGGGCACTCGTGCTTTTGAGGAGGTGGAACTCGGCAGCTTCCCCTGGGCAACCCATCATGGCCCCGAGCTGGAGGCGGAAGCTCGCTCTGTCCCCTCCCGGGACCAGACACTGGGCGGCCATGCCAGACCCCGCCACGGGGAGGGAGACTCGGCCTGGGGGGCCCTGGCTGCCTGCTGCGCTCACCGAGGGGCATCCGGGGGGCCAGAGGGCACCCAAGGGGAAGCAGACGCCACGGCGGGTGGGCCCTGCCAGCGCCCTCAGCCAAGTAAAGCGCCCTCGACCCCGGAGGCCGAAGGCACCGGGACCCTGAGGCACTGGGACCCCCATGGCACCAGCAGGACGACCACAGGGGCGCAGCCTCCACCCGGGAGAACACAGACACTGACACCAACGGGTTTTCAAAAAGTCAGCAACAGGCATTAGCGTGGGCGGCCATAGTGACGCCCAGTGACATCACGTGCCACGGACACTGAACAGCACACACACCACACACTCCACACACACACACCACACACTCCACACACAACACACTCCACACACACCACAGACACACACACACCCCTCAACACACCATGCCCTTTGTCTCTCTTTGTATTCCTCTGGCCAGGCCGTGGTGTGACGGGTTCTGAGTCCTGGGAGTGGCTCCCCTAGACTCCCCCCCTCCTCCTCCCTCCAGCAGGACCTGCCCGGCTGTTGTGCCATCGAGTCCCCATTTGTACAGAAGGGGGTGCCCTGTGGTTGGCAACAACATGACCCACTGTGCTTTGGGGCTGCGGCTGGATGTTTTTGAAAATCGGGGTGTCTGGGGCTCCCTGCTCCTCCTGGGTCTGTCCCGGACCAGCTGAGCGGACACCTTTGCTCTGCACAGCCTGGCAGCCATTGCAGGGAGGCGGGCCCACCCCAACATCTGGTAGCTCCGGGTCCCGTCCCACCGGCTGCACAGTGAATGGAGCTGTCACTCACGCCTGCAGCCTTGCTTGACTGCGGGTCCTGCCTGGACCTTGTTAGGGGCTGGAAGGTGACTCCCTGAAAATTATATGGGGTCCTACCCCCAAAGGCTCAGAATGGGACTGTGTTTGGCGGTGGGGGCTTTGATTAAATTGAAGTGATGTCACTGGGGTGGGCCCTGGCCCAGTCTGGCCGGTGTCCTTGTAAGAAGAGGAGATGAGGACACAGACCTACAGAGGGACAACCCCGTGAGGGCACAGGGAGGAGACACTGTCTGCAAGCCAAGGAGAGACGCCCCAGAGGAACCGGCCCTGCTGCCCCTTGACCTTGGACTCCCGGCCTCCAGGACCCGGCAGAAACGATGTCTGCCATTGGAGCCGCAGCTGTGGCGTTGCAGCTGCGGGAACCGACGCATTCAGGCCCAAAGACATAGCCTTTGGCTAGGCCTTGGCAGGGTCTGCAAGGCCCGTGGGTGGTTCACCAGATCCTCGATCAGGCTCCTTGGAGAGTCGCACGGAGCACCAGGGCCAGCCCAGGCAGAACTTCCCCTGGCTGGTGGGCTGTCTGATCTCCTCTGCTCCCCCAGTTGGGTCTTCCAGCAGCACAGGCTCAGCAAGGACTTGGAGGGGGTGGGGGGAGGGGCTCTCATCTCATCTGGCCTCCAAGACATGCAGCGTGACACCTCCCATCTCCCCTCCTGGGGCCTCCTGATGCCATCCTTCCTCGGCTCTCCAATCACACCCCACCCGGGCGGTTCTTAAACTCAGGGGCCTGGGGCTGCTTCACCTCTGGCCTGGGGTAGGCTAGATACGCCTGAGAGATTGTCCATACAGGGCTCAGAGCCTGGCTCCATCCCAGGCTGGCCACAGCCCCTATCTCCTCTCCTCCCACCTTGGGGCCTATTCTGGAACAGCCTGCCTTGCAAGGGCCGCCCAGGTGATTTCAGTGATTTCACTGTCACCATGGCTACTGTGAGGCCAAGGTCACACGGACTCCCCACAGGCACCAAGCTGACGGTCATCTGACAGCAGCCTCATCACCACCTTGTCCAGATGAGACAGAGGCTCAGCAGGGACTTGTGCAAGGCCCCAGCCAGCCAATGGCAAGGCCTGGAGACCTAGGCTCCCACCCTGAAGTCATCTCAACGGGCCCAGCCTCAGGAGCTGCCTGTGCTGGGGCCTGGGGCTGCTTTGCACCCAAGACCCCTTCAGAGTCACAGGTGAGTGGCCAGATTCCACCCCCACCATGCCCGCCCCGCCAGGGCAGGAGGCCACGTGGATGTGAGCTTTAATGCAGGGCGCAGCTCTGGCCATGGTGCCCAGCCACTTTCCTGGAGTCTGAGCAGCTGCCAAGGCTCTCTGGTGGCTGCTCCTACCCACATGGCTCCCATGGGCTGCTGTTGGAGAGCTTCTGAAGCCGGGAGGATGCCTGCTCCCCTTGCCTCCTTTCCAAGCTCGCCTCTGCCCACCCACTGCTAGGCCTGGGACTCACACCAGCCTTCTCCGTGGGTGCTGCTGCCAGCTTTCTGCCCTCTGGGCCTCCCTCTCCCTCGCCTGGCCTTCAGAGGGCCGAGGCTCTGATCACCTCTCCCCCGCTTCCCATTGTGTGGCCTGGCGTCTGAGGCCCCTGTGGTCTGACTGCCCCACTGCTCCCTGGTATGCATTCAGGTTGAATTCAGAGAGCTCTGCGTGCCAGTGTCCAGCCCCATTCACCAGGGCACACGGCCATCGTGGAAAGATGGGATTGGCCAGTACTTCCCAAGCCTGCCAGGCCGGGAGAACCACCTGCAGTGCATTGCAAATACAGACTCCTGGGCCCCGCTCACACCCACTTAGAGTCTGGAGGGGCAGAGTCCAGGGAGCTGGGCTTTTGGTGCCTCCAGGTGAGCCCTATGATCAGGTGCAAGTGGGAGATGCTGCGGGACAGCGGCGCCTCCTCAGGTTGGGGCAGCGGGGGAGAGAAGTCTCACTGGAAGCTGCCTTTCCAGTCTTGGGGCTCAGCTTCTCGATCTCCAGGGAGGCTCTCCCTCATCCCACTGCTGGGGACGCTGGACTCTGGAGTGAAAATGACCCACGCTCTCCTCTGCTCCCGTTTTCACCTTGGGCATCATTGTCATCATCATTATGAGCAGCAGCCGGAAAAGCATTAATGGAGCACCTGCTGTATGCCAGGCCTTGCGCCTGCTGCGCTTGTAACGGCAATTCTCATGCAGCCTGCACAGCAGCCTGTAGCCTGTTTCTATTGTTAGCTGAGGACACCCAGGCTTAGAAATGGAGTCACCTGCCTGGTGTCCCCAGCTGGTGAGGGCTTGGGCCAGGTGCACCCTGTCTGTTTGACCCCAAAGCCAGGGCTCAGCACCGCTGGGCAGATGATTACTGCAATGTCACACATAATGTGAAAATTGGGAGGCGCTGAGGAAGCCTGAGGCACTGGTCCCTTTCTTCTGGTGACATGCTGGGTGACTTTGGACAGATCTATCAACCCCTCTGAGTATTCGATGTCCGTCTTTGCCAGTCGGCTGAAGCTGGGAGACCGAGTGCCTGCGGGGAGCCTCCAGCCCCCAGTTCCTTTCAATCATCACCAGCGTGCCTCACACTTACCACCAGGTGGCAGCAGAGGACTTGCCTGGCCGCCGAGACCTTGGCCGCAGGAGACTTGCCGAACCTCAGCCTTAAAGGTCACCTTCACTCTTCAAGACAGTGGGAAGCGGCCGCAGCAAACATCCGCAGAGGGCCTGGCTCCGGGAGCCTCTGGACTGCGTGCTGCCAAGCTGTGGGAGACCCACCCTGACCCCCGGGGAGCTAGTGTCCAGCAGGGGAGACTGAGATGGGAAGACACAAAAGCCGTGCTGGAAGCCAGCGGTGTTTCTTTACCATGAGCAGTTTTGGGGTTTCATTTGCTTGTGTGTAAAATCACTTGAAAAAGGAGGCGTCACTGTCTGGAAGGCCAGGGCTGTGCTGGGGTCCCTGGGGGCTCTGGCGGGGTTTCCTCCGCGCAGAATGACGTCACTCCCCGGCTTCCGGCCCAGGTCAGCTCTTCCTAGGAAGCCTCTTGTGAAGAGCAGCCCCCGTCCCGCCCACATCCGCAGAGGCCTGTGAGTGGGGCAGGGCGGTAAGTGTCCCTGGCAGGCAGCCTCAGCTGACGCGGTGTTGGGGTCACAGGGTCAGAGGTCCTGCCAGCCAAGGCTGCATGTGGCTGTCTGAGAAGGGGCTGAGACAGAGATGCAGGCACAGGTGCCAGACAGTGCCAGCTTGGAAGGAGGAGGCATCAGGAGAGCCGAGGGGTTGAGGGACAAGGAGCTGCTTGCTGGGGGCAGGGCGGCCTTCTCTCTACAGGGCAGGCACCTGCCTCCCGCTCTGCCCTTGGCCTCCAGGATGGGAGCTGGGAAAGGAGTCTCCCTTCAGGGGAGGGACCCTTGGCAGGGGCTAGTGAAGGCTCCGTCAGCGTTAGCTCCCAGGCTGCTGGGGAGGCCAGAAGGCCCTGCTCTGTGGGATTTCCTCTGAGACCCTGGGCTAAGGACTGAGTTTGCAGGGGCAGGAAATGTGGGCGGGCTCCAAACCTGCTGTGCAGGCTGCTGCCATTAGAACAGAACAGAAGGAAAGATACACATGCATCCATGCACACACACACACAGTGTGCCCATATGCACAGAACACACATGCACATAGAAGCACAATGTTTGCACAGTGTGCACCCATGCACAACACACCATGCACACTCGTGCACAACACACAAAACACATGCTCACACACCTCACACATGTGCGCACAAATGCACAACACAAACACACATGCAACATACAAACACATGTACACACATCACACAATACATGTGGACACACACGGACACACAGAAGCACATAACACCTACGCGTGCACAAATGCCCACATGCACACCTACACAAACATACACTCACACAGCCCACAGGAAGACGCACACACCACTATCATGGCCATGGCCAAGCTCTGGGCTGTTACTTCATTGCGCGGCTGCCCTCTGTGTCTGATTTGTACTTGACCGTGAGAGACCCCTTTCCACCCTCCAGCTTAGGGGAGCCCCCTCCTGTGTGCTGCTCAGCAGCCTCTTTGACATCTAGCTGCCTGGGCCCTGGCATTCCTCGTGCCACCTGCAGAGACGTCAGAGACGGCACGAGGGAGGAGCGGGTATGAGGGAGGGGCCGTGTGGCAGCTCAAGGACGCCCCAGGGGCACCGGGAAGGAGGGGCAGTGAAGAGAGGGGGTGGCTCATTATTCTGCAGAGCTGTCTGCCCCGGGAGCCTGTGAGCGCTGTGCCTTTACCTTGGCCAGGAGTGAGAGAAATCAATTTCCAAAGCATCCTGGCTGGAAAATCTTGCTTTCCAGAGCAGTGTGGGTCTCCGAGCAGGGCTCCCGAAGGCCCTGACGCAGAATTGCAGATGGCTGGCTGTTGAGGGGACAGGGCGCCCCCTGGGGAAGACACGTCAGACCTAGAGGACTGGGGTGGGAAGGCAGGACACGCCAAATCCCATCTGCCGTTCGCAGGAACACTGAGACCCCACGATGACCCTGGCAGTGGCTCTCTGATGGTGATAAAAGGCAGCGGCTGCCCTTGGAGGAGCTGGTGGCTGACTTATTTCTGACAGCCGGTAATGGCCAAGTGCTGGGCCTTTGATTGTACGGGGCTGGGCTGCACTCCACACAGGAGCTGGCTCAGGGGTCCTGCTGGCAGCTGCAGTGCTCTTACCTGCTCGGTGATGAGAAACCCAATTAAGTAAGTGGCCTGCAGCCATGTGGCCTGTGCCAGGAGCCAAGCGGGGAGCCCCGGCTCTCCCCCTGAGCCCCCTTGCTCACTCTTCCTGCCTGCCCCTGCCTGTGGCTGTCGGAAAGGGTGTTTCTGCAATGAACCAGCTGGAATCCAGCAGTGCTGTGGGGAATTTCCCACGGCTGCTGTGACAAACGACCACAAGCTGGTTGGCTTAAAACAACAGAAATTCACTCTGAGGCACGAAGTCCGAAATCAAGGTATCTGCAGGGCCGTGTTCCCTCTGGAGGCTCTGGGGTGAATCTTCCTTACCTCCTCCAGCATTCCCGGTTGCTGGAAGCCTCTGAGCTCCAGTCTCTGCCTCCGCCTTCCCCTCCCGTCTGTGTCCTTTCCCCTTAAAGGACATCAGCCATTGGGTTTAGGGTCTGCTCTCATCCAGGACGATCTCACCTTGATGCTTCACTGAATTACATCTGCAAAGATTCTGTTTCCAAATAAGGTCACATGCCCAGGTTCTGGGGTTTGGAACTTAGACACATGTTTTGGGGGACACTGTTCCACCCATGACAAGTATGGATGACGTCCCTGAGATCCTGTGTCCTTGCATTTGGGGACGCTTCACATACGCCATTGTACACGTTCCTCTCAGGAACCTCTGAGGTTGGCGGGACTGTTTTTGATATTCATTGCGCATGTGTGTCCCCGTGGGTGTGTATGTGTGAGAATGTGTGAGTGTGGGTGTCCCTGTGAGTGGGGGTGAGTGTGAGTGTGTGCGTATGAGGTTCCACATACATATGTGAGTGTGTCCCTGTGAGTGAGTCCCCTGTGAATGGGTGTAAGTGAGCATGTGTGTGTGAGTCCCTGTGCATGGGTATGAGCATGTGTGTGTCCCTGTGTGAATGAATGTGTGTGAGTCCCTGTGTGTAACAGCATGTGTGTGTGTGTCCCTGTGTGTGAGTGAATGTGTATGTGTGCATGTGTGAGTGTGTTACGAGTATGGGTGTCCCTGTGAACGTGTGTGAGTGGGTATGAGTGTGAATGTCCCTGAGTGGTTGTGTGTGTGTGTGTCTGTCCCTGTGTATGTGTGTAAGTGTGTCTGTCCCTGTATGTGAGTGTGGGTATCCTTGTGAGAGTGTGTGATTGGTGTGAGTGTGGGTGTCCTCATTAGTGGTTTGTGTGTGTGTCCATCCCTGTGTATGTGTGTGTAAGTGCGGCTGTCCCTGTGTGTGTGTGTGTGGGTGTCCTCATGAGTGGTTGTGTGTGTGTGTGTGGGGGGGGTCTCTGGGTTTGTGTATGGGTGTGTGTGAGTGGGTGTGTGTGTGTCCTTGTGAGTGGTTGTGAGTGCGGGTGTCCCTGTGAGTGGTTTTGTGTGTGGGTGTGTGTATGACTCTGTGAGGGGGTTATGTGTGTGTGTGGGAGTGTGGCTGTCCCTGTGAGTGTGTGAGTGTGGGTGTCCCTGTGAGTGATTGTGTGTAGATGTGTGTGTATGAGTGTGGTGTCCCTGTGAGTGATTGTGTGTAGGTGTGTGTGTGAGTGTGGGTGTCCCTGTGAGTGATTATGTGTAGGTGTGTGTGTGTATGAGTGTGGGTGTCCCTGTGTGTGTAGGTGTATGTGTGTATGAGTGTGGTGTCCCTGTGAGTGGCTGTGTGTGTGAGTGTGTTTGTATGAGTGTGGGTGTCCCTGTGAGTGGCTGTGTGTGTGAGTGTGTGTGTATGAGTGTGGGTGTCCCTGTGAGTGATTGTGTGTAGGTGTGTGTGTGTATGAGTGTGGTGTCCCTGTGAGTGGCTGTGTGTAGATGTGTGTGTGTGTGTCCCTGTGAGTGGGCTGAGCCCAGGTACTTGGTTTCTGCAGGGAACTTACCCACGTTTGTGGGCCCCTGGTGGCAAATGTCCAGTGTCAGCCAGGGCAGGCCGTGGTTGGAACTGGATAGGAGACTTTGTATTTTGGGGCTGCCCATGGCGGGTCCCCGTCCTCATCAGAGGCATCCCAGGGGTGACCTTTCATCTGCTGGAGCTGCTGCCACTCCATGCTGTGACTCCTGATATGCATCCACTCCCGTGTTAGCCCAGGTCTGGACGTGCACAGTGGCCAGGGTGAGGGGTTCTGTCCAGAATACCCTCGGGGAAGGGGGTCTCAGGGACCATCTTCTTTGGCAGGTGGGCAGAGCAGTGGGAAGCCTGGGTTCTGGGTGGGGGCACGGCAGGCAGGCTCTTCTGGCAGCTGGGTGATGCCCGTGAGCGCTAAATGCAAGACGTGTGAACACAGGCGGCTCACAGATGCCAGTGCTGAGTGCGACTGTGCCTCCGCCTGGCCTCGAGGCATTTGCTGAACTTCCAGCTTACCCGGTTCTCCTCCTGTGCTGACTCCAGGGCCTCCTTGGGCCCTGCTAGGCGCGGGCTGCCGCCGAGGGGATGTGGGTGGGCTGGCAGCTGCTATCAAGGCTCTGCTGCTGGTCACAGCTGGGCAGTGGCCCCAGGGCCCCCAGACGGCTCAGCACATGTGTACCCTGGCCTTGTGGCCACTCAGGTGTCCCAGGCCTGAGCTCATGAAGGGCAGAGGGCATTCCCTGGCACCCTTGCAGTTCTTCAGGGGTCCTGAGTGCGTAGTGCCCATTAAGTGGCAATGTTGATGGGGACAACCAACACAGTCCACGAGCTTGCCCCTCTGTGTGTGGAATGGGCTTGCAGCATGGTTTGTGCCAGCCCCGACAGGCAGGGGCCCTTTAAATGAGTTCCCGCGCAGCCCACCGGGGCCTGGCTGATTGCTCAAGCTGCCTGCTGGAGCTGCACCTGCTCTAAATTGTGATCAGGCTAAATTAGATGGAAAAATATGCAAATGTAGTTGGAGCTTTTTGGCAAATTAGCACGCAAGCGGGTGGAGATGAGGCTCGCCGGCGAGGGGGAGCACCCATATCGTTTGACTAATTATTGAGGCAGTCAAATTAAGACAGTGGGCTCGCCACCAGGGTGGGTTTTAAAGGGGGAATTATTTCAGCTACGTTTTCTAGTTTTCTGAGGCTGCCTGAAAAAGAGAAGAAAAGATACTTCCCTGCCAGTTTCTCTGCTGAATAGGTGAAAGTCAGACAGCTTTTTCGTGCTGAGTCCACAGACGCTCCTCGGTCATCTTTGATGAACATAGACTGGAATATAGAAACCAAAAATATTTTGAGCTGGGAGGGAGGGTTGATTTGTCTAAACCTGCTGGAGGTGAGTGGTCAGGCCCTGAACCGGGTCATGCATGCTGAAGAAGCAATCGTTGGCCTCCATTTGTGTATGGCGCGTGCGTGGTGATGTCTTAACCACACCAATTCCACCTGGACGGGCTGCAGTTGTTACCAATTGTGAGTGACCATACCATAGGGATGAACCAGCAGAGAAGACCCAGTGGTCACATGAGGCCAGGCTGAGTGCAATGACCAAGACAAAGGCATGTCTAGGTTACCCAGTGGGAGCAGTGGAAGCGGCGCTTGTCATTTGGAGCGGGTCAGGAGCCATCCCATGCCACCGCGGCCTCTGTAGTCTCACGACTTCCTCTGCACGCCCGGGGCACTTCATTCACGGCATGGATGTGGCCCTCGTGTTGCTGATTCTCATAGTTTTTGGTGCATCCTTCTTCACTCCATCAGCCGCGAGGATTTTGTCTTCTGCCGTCTTGTGTTTTGACTTCCCCTTCTGCCCTTTCTCTCAAGGTCGCCGTTTGCACACAGCAGCATCTGGAGGGATGAGCTCGCCTGATTCCATGCAGGTGGGTTCCTGGGTGGGGCATTGGAGGCTATCTCTGAACGACTGGGTGGCAGGAAGGTACCCCTGGTGCATGGAGGCCTGGCTGAAGCATGGCCGGTCTCCCTGGGACAACGTCATTATCTGTTTGCCCTTTGATTTCAGAATCGAACTCAGCTCCGTGGTTCACACTTGTTTCCAGAGATGCCAACAAGCTGCTCTTCCCCGAGTCCCCGCAGGTGTGCACCTTTGGGAAGGTATCAGATAGTGACCTCCTGGGCTGGGCTGTGCCTGTGTGCACCTGTCACGAGCAGGGCTGTGGGGGTGGAGATGTTAACCATCTCACCAGAGGAGGGCTGGACTGGATCCAAGAAACTTTTTTCCCCCTGGGATGGAATTTGAAAGTGGAAAAAAAGTCACATAAAAATCAGTGTAGCTAATTAACAAGAATACATGGAACAGTCTCCGTCGTTTTCCAAGTCTGCTATGCTGCGGCACATAAGTAGAGGTTGAAACAACAATGGCAACAGCGGTGAGAAAGGATACGGGGCCTGCTGAGATCTGCATCCTGTCCTTAAGGGCCTGATGGTTTTGAATTGTCCTCCAAGGCCACTGCCGTGGTTGGAGAGGCCGACGTGTCATCAGCACAGCTAAAACAGACAACTCGGGAAATATGGGAACCTGGGGGAGACTGGAGCCCAAGTCGCTGCAAATCCTTGATGAGGAGACACAAGAAACCACTACTTCAAAGCTGGAGGCAGCTTCTGCACAGAACAGATTCAT
The DNA here is from genome assembly GCF_000001405.40 of Homo sapiens. Taxonomy (NCBI): domain Eukaryota; kingdom Metazoa; phylum Chordata; class Mammalia; order Primates; family Hominidae; genus Homo; species Homo sapiens. The sequence continues at coordinate 43,183,422 of NC_000021.9, forward strand.
GTTTGCATTTGGGGATGACTGTCTGCTCACTCTGGGACGTCCATGGTTCTGCACATGTGTAGCCGGGGGACATGTTTCTGTTCTTGGAAGACCTGGAAGATTTATATTGTTTTATTTTTTTTTAATTCTTTTTGAGGCAGAGTCTCACTCTGTCGCCCAGGCTGGAGTACAGTGGTGCAATCTCAGCTCACTGCAACCTTCACCTCCCAGGTTCAAGCGATTCTCTTGTCTCAGACTCTTGAGTAGCTGGGACTACAGGTGCACGCCACCATGCCTGGCTGATGTTTTGTGTTTTTATTAGAGACAGGGATTCACCATATTGGTCAGGCCGGTTTCGAACTCTTGACCTCAGGTGATCCACCTGCCTCGGCCTCCCAAATTGCTGGGATTACAGGTGTGAGCCACTGCCCCTGGCTGGAAGCCTTTAGTGGTGTAAACTGTGGGTGGGTTTTAGCAGATCCGTGTCTCCGTGGGTTATGTTTTCTCCGTGTCTCCGTGGGTTATGTTTTCTTTACATCAGATATTTCTTTCCTCACTACCTGGAAGAGGTACCCGTTCTTTCCAAGCATGGGTTAATGAGAAGGAAGCAACAAAAGGCTGGGAGAGAACACATGGAGGGAAGCTGCCGTTGGTCTCGAAGCTGTGCCATGGCGGGTACCGTCTCCCCTCTGATGAATTTATAACCCCCTATGTGCTACCATTTCAGGTTAAACCAACTTGACCAAGGACTTCCAGTTTCTTGGAAAATGATAGTTTTGCTAACCTTCCTGCTGATTATAAACTCTGGACAAAATAGAAACAACCATTATTTGAAGGCATTGGAAAGTGACATAAAGCATGAAAAAAAAAAAAAACTCAAGCTAAAGAGGTATGACCCTTGCAAAAAAGGGAGCCATGCTTATCTGGGTTTTGTTCTCAGATCCTTCTTCAGACCGCCCCATATGGAATGGAGCTGAAGTGGAACAGTAGTTTTGTTGGGCTGAGAGGTCAGAGGCCAGAGTTCAAGGCTGCCAAAAAACAACAACAAAAAAAGGGAGCCACAGAGAGGGGAGCTCCTAAATCTAGCACAAATTTCCCTGAAACCCTTGGCTGATAACTAAAGTTTGCATGTGCAAGCCAAGACTCCAGAAAGCCCAGAAAGCAGGAACAGCTGGAGGCTGAGAGCTGGGCAGACATTTCAGCATCTGGCTAGTCCCGGAAAGACCAAGTTTGGAGTTCATGTGATAAGCACCTTGAGCTTTTCATCAGAAACCCTGGGATAGAGTAAGTTTTTCTATGTGCTGAAGTAAAGTCATTGTTAATTATATAGTCAGAAGACAGAAGGATACTATATTCAAACTGCTGAGAGAACAATCAGTCCCCTACATACCCAGCTAAACTATCACTCGAGAATGATAGCAAAATAAAGATGTTTCAGATACACAAAAACCAGAAGTTCACCAACAGCATACAAAAGATACATACCAAAGGACTTCTATTTGATGGCTTTTAAAGTGATCTAAAACATTGGTCAGGTGGGATTTAAAGATGACCAGGATTTTGTGCTATTCTGTAGAGATATTTAGACTTTAAGTTAGCAATGCCTGCTAAAATTTAAAAAGATACTTTTCAAAATAGATGGAATAAAGGAATTTTACAAAACTTTTAATCAATGCAAAGCAAGATAGGAGAGGAGAATAAAGGGATAGAATGAGGACAGACCTTGGGGAATGTGTGAATGCTGAATGCTGGCCTTTCTTGTTCTGTGTTCTTTTTGTTTGTTTGTTTGTGTTTTTGAGACAGAGTCTTGCTCTATCGCCCAAGCTGGAGTGCAGTGGTGTGATCTCAGCTCTTCTGCCTCTCAGGTTCAAGCAACTCTCCTGCCTCAGCCTCCTGAGTAGCTGGGATTGCAGGCATGTGCCACCATGCCTGGAGAATTCTGTGTTCTTAATGGGGGTCAAAGGGAAAGCTCACCTGGCTGTGGATGGGAATGTTTTGCAAATGTCCTTGAATATCTGCCCAACCAATCGTGCTCCAAAGAGGTATATTTGGGCAGGGAATGAAGACCTAGAGGCAGATGTTGGCTGTCTCTTGAGTAGTTGAAGCCTGGACTTGGAGTGGGAGAGCCATGCTCAGGGCTCTCTCACTGCTGTGGGTGAGGTCACTCCTGGGGCAGGAGGAGGCTGAGCCCCCATGGAAAGCAGGGGTTGCTCACATCAAGTTCCCTTCAAGGGCCCCAAACTTTCAGGGAGGCCTGGTGCCTGTTACATCCCTGGGAGGGATCTGAGGGAGGGCTCCATGCCCTGGGATGGGACAGAGAGGCAAGGCAAGGAGAAGGAGGCTGACCTCGAGAGGCTGAGATGCAACCTGCAAAAGAGGACAGCAGTGCCCAAGTCAGGTGGGTGGAGGGGCCACCACCCCAGGGGCACGCTGTGGGCTGAGCCAGCCTTTCCTAAGGGCCAGGGAGGGCATCTGTAAATGCACAGACCCAGATGTGTGAGATCTGAACACCAAAGGCAAGATGGTCTCGCATGCGAGGGTTGTCTGGAACATCTGGGAACTGGGATGTGGCCGAAACCATCGTTTGGTCCATGCTGTTCCGACGTGAGCTTCGTGATCATGTCCCCGGCCTCCTGTCTCCAGCTGTGGGGTAGCTGCGCTGCTTTGGGATTGAGTCTGTTCTGACTGTGGGTTCAGGGATGGGTGCTCCCTGCAGTCCGCACCTGGTGTTTCCCTAGATGGAGGCCGACTCAGGTTGGGCGATCTGTCCCGACCGCCGAGCTGCAGGAACAGTGAGTGCAGCTCTGGGAAGAGGCTTCCCCTCCCACAGAGAGCGTGGGCAAGGTGACCTTTCTCCCTCCTGGTCTGACATGGTCATGCACAGACCTGGGCTGTGGCAGCCTCCAGGCAAAGCCCATGCAGGGAAGATGGCAGAGCTGGGGAAACCCCTGAGAAAGGGAACCACGTCCAACCATCTCTGGATTTTTCTGGTTTTGCAAAAGCCAGTTGGGGTTGGTCTTTCTGTAACCCACAGCTGAATGTGTCTCACTTGGTCCTGGTGGGACTCCCGTCCACCAGAGTGACATAACCGGTTGCAGGTCACCCAACAGCAGGTGCTTGTGATGGCTTACCCTCAGGTTGGCTGAGGGCCTGGCCCTGTATAGTCCAGGGATTCTGATAGAATGATTGCATTGGATCAGCCACGTGGCGGCAGGTGATTCCCTGCTCAGCATCCGAACCCTCTGCTACCCCCGCAGGGTCCTGCGGCCCCACTCACAGGTGCCCTGTGAGGAGGAGGTGGAGCGAGAGGAGAGGGGACTGGGCCCGACACTCACTGATCTTGAATGCGGCCCATGGGCCAGGTGTGGAGGAGCAGGAGGCAGGTGTCATTGTCACCCTTCCACACTCAGCAGATGGACTCCAGAGGCTGAGGCCCCTGGGCCAGTGGCAGGGTGGAATTCAGCAGAGGCTTCTGTTTCCAAAGCAGGAGCCAACCGTTCTTTCAAGACTGGGTCTGCCCCAGGCCTCCATACCCTGCTGGTCATTACGCAGCCACTCTAGCAATTAGACACCTGGGAATCAGGTACCCAGGACTGTTTTCTGTAAAGCCCTATTAAAATATTCATGAGCTCCATGAATTCTCCCCGTGCTGGGGGCTCTTTTCTTGTGGCCTCGGGTGCAGCTGGTGCTGGCTCTGTGCAGGTCTCTGGTTTTATTGACTGGGTTGGTCCTTGGCCTCATCCTTCCGTGGCTCCATTTTCCTGCCCGCCCATCCCCTGGCCACCGCTCTGAGGGCTGCCGTGGGTCCTGCTGTTATGGGTCTTGTGCCACGTGCACCATAGCTAGCTGAGCAGTTGAAGCCCCATGGATGGTGTTGGGCCCAGGGCTTGGCTCCACAGGACACTCAGGCCAGCCCTGGGGTCTGCTGGGGCTGCTGCCCAGGATTCCTGGCAGTGCCGATGCGGTCAGTGCCTGGGAACCTTTACTGCAAGACAGTGTGCAGATACAGTGCAGGTCTCCTAGGGAGTCCAGACAGGCCTGAGGCGGCAGCTGGAGGCTCCTCAGCAGGGACTGGGCCCTGAGTCACAGGCTCATGTGCTCGGCTCGGAGCAGGAGTCAAGAGGTTTCCGCCTCTGCTTAGCCCCTGACTCACTGAGGCCTCCCTGGACCTCGGTTTCTTCTTCTGTGACATAATGGACTGGGGTGGGTTTGGAGGATCAAGGACACCTCTGAAAATATGATCAGAAGACATGGACTCATTTCTAGGCACACACACATGAACATACAACACAAGCATGCATACACAGTGCACACATGCATGCCTATGGGCATACATACATGAACACACACACGCACATGTACAACACACGCACACAGTGCACACACATGAGCACACACACGAACACATACACACATGTACATACAGTGCACACACGAGCACACATTCATGAGCAATAGACACATGCACACAACAGACATGCACACAGTGCACACATGCATGCACATGAGCACACACAGATACATACATGAATGCACATACATGCATACATGTGCTCACATGCAATGCACACACACATGTGTACACACAGGCACATTCACATACACTCAGGGAGTGTGTGGGCTGGGGCAAGCTTGTGCATAGATCCCAGGATCAAAACCTTGAGATCTTTTCCCAGCTGTGCTCACATCCCATGGGTGGCTCATGAAATTAATTCAGTGGGTCTCCACCAGCATCTTTAAAGAAGGAATAGAATAGAGTAGAGTGGAAGTATACATTGGTTCACAACCTTTACTTCAGTGCTACACACACAGGCACACACATGCGATACACACTGGATCATGGTGGAAAATTTATTTCCTACTGTGGCCCTTGGTCATTGAGTCTGAAAACACAGAGCCAGGACATCCCCTGATGGGGTGGCCGGCTGGGCACCCTCACTCCTCGCCACCCTCAGACCTAAGCAGTGGCCTGTGGGGTGGCTCTCGCCACAACTTGAGGTGGGAAACCCAACACATAGGAAAGTTACTTTCTTTTTGTTTGAGACAGAGCCTTGCTCTGTCACCCAGGCTGGAGAGCAGTGGCGTGATTTCGGCTCACTGCAACCTCCACCTCCCGGGTTCAATCTATTCTCCTGTCTCAGCCCCCCGAGTAGCTGGGACTACAGGGGCCTGCCACCATGCCCAGCTAACTTTTTGTATTTTTAATAGAGATGGGGTTTCGCCATATTGGTCAGGCTGGTCTCGAACTCCTGACCTCAGGTGATCTGCTCGCCTCAGCCTCCCAAAGTGCTGGGATTACAGGTGTGAGGAACGTTACTTTCATTTCCTGATGTTTGAGGTGTGGTCTCTTCTGGTTCCTTTTTTATTTGATTTGATTTTCTAATTCATCTACTTGAGGGCTGAGAACGTCTCTTCTCTTCCTCTTCCTCTTCCCCCGCCCCCACCACCCTTCTTAACTCCTCTTCTCTCTTTTCTGTGTGCAGAGACATTAGGCTGATGCTCTCCCGGCCCCCTTGGTAATTGTACCAGTTGGCAGCCTTGCCTCTGCGTCCCTGTGGGAAGCTTGGCTCGGCCGGGAGCTCTTTGGCGTGGCAGAGCTCCCTCCCGGCCCCCACCGGGTCTGGGAGGATCTTGCATTTTACAGAGTGCCCATGCCAACCTCCCTTGGCAAGCTCGTGGTGTTTCTCTGCATTTGCCAAGAAATGGAGCAAAACCCAACTCAGTTTGCTGGGCTCTTCGGGGATACAGGAAAGAAAAAAGAATGGCTCCACACCCTTTCCCTGAACTTTCTGTACTCATTATTTTCTTCTGTCTGTCTATTTTTTGCTCTAAAATCACAGGGCTTTCGTTATTTGATGTCTTTCGTGTATAAATACACGTTGTCCCCAGACTACTGTTTTTTCAAACGCTTTTGTGATTTAAAACAATTTTATTTTTATTGTAAAATATATGCTACATACAGTAGAGTACATACAATACAGATATACATTTTAAAGAATGGTTAGCCTGCTGAGTGCAGTGGCTCACGCCCATAATCCCAGCACTTTGGGAGGCTGAGGCAGGAGGATCACTTGAACTCAAGAGTTCGAGACCAGCCTGGGCAACATGGCAAAACCCCGTCTCTACAAAAAATACAAAAATTAGCCAGGCATGGTGGTGCATGCCTGTGGTCCTAACTATTTGGGAGGCTGAGGTGGAAGGATTGCTTGAGCCCAGGAGGCAGAGGCTGTGAGCTGTGATCGTCCCACTGTACTCCAGCCTGGGCGACAAAGTGAGACCCTATCTATCTCAAAAAAAAAAAAAAGGGGAACTTCTTCCCAGATTAAGAAATAGAACCTTAACCAGAACCTTAGAAGTGGCCTGTGCACCCTTTGGGATCGCATCTCATTCGTTCATTCATTCATTCGTTCATGCATGCAGCAAGTCTTTATTGAGTCCCTGCTATGTGCTAGGCTTTGTGCTAAGCATTTGGGATATAGCCGCAGACGAAACAGATCAAAACCCCTGGCTGTGTGGCTCTGCATCTTACCCTGCAGGTAAGAGACATTTTGACTTTTTGTGATGTTCATTCCTTTGCTTTGTCTTAGGGTTTCCATGTGGGTGGGAATGCATCCCTAAACAACATCATGCTTCCTTTTGTGGTTTTGGAACTTGAGGTAAACAAGGTGATACTGCGTGGACCCGGATGGGATTGCTTCTCTCCCTTGGTCTTGTCTTGCATGTGAGATTCACCCCACAGCTGTGCGTGGCCATGGGCCATTTGTTTTCATGCGTCTATATAGTGTTCCACTGTTTATCGACTTATCCATTCTGTTGCTGGTGAACATCAGGGTTGCTTCTGATTTTTGGCTATTGCAGAAAATGCTGCTGCAAGTGTTATTACACAAGTCTCTGTGGGTCCTAGGGGTGGAATCGCTGTGTCATGGGGTGTACCTGTGCTCAGCTCTACCAGATCGTGGCAAATGGTTTTCCCACATGGAGCTCTGATTGCAGTCTGCCTGAGTTACTGTCTACTAATTTGCATTTCCCTGATTATTGATAAGGCTACGCATCTTTTCTTTTTTCTCTTTTGTAGAGTTGGAATCTTGCTATGTTGCCCAGGCTAGTCTTGATCTCCTTGCTTCAACTGATCCTCCTGGCTTGGTCTCCCAAAGTGCTGGGATTACAGGCATGAACCACCACACCTGATCATCTTTTCGTGAGTTAGTATCTTTTTGTATTTCTTCTTTTATGAAGTGTTTTGCCCGTGACTTTCATATTTTGGCTTTTTTTTTTTTTGCAGGCATTTTTTATATCGATGGTTCTCTGCTGGGATGACTTTGCCTCCAAGCCCCTGCTGGCGGGGCTCTCAGACTGCAGCCCCTGTGAATACTCACATGCCCAGCAATTGTCCCTTAGGTGCAGATGCCATGTGAGCCCCAGCCCTTGCCTGTGGACGTCCATGTCGTGCTGTTAACCCTGGTCATCCACAGTCTGAACCCTCCTCTGGTCCCTTCCTGATACAGGAAGTGCACTGGGCTCTTAGCCACAACTGCAGAAAGTGGGGCTGGGGTTCATTGCTTGTTTCTGGGGTCACTGCCACTGTCAGTATCATCCCCCTACCCTGCAACAGCTCAGCCTGCTTGGGTCTAGGAGCTGCAGCGCTTTCTATCCCTTCCTCAAGACAGTGAGTGCCCACCTAGGCCACACTACCCAGGAGCCAGTGCTGCCGCCACCTCGACCCACCGTGCCCACCTCCTGGAAGAGGGCTGGCGGCATCTTGGACTAAAGGTCACGTTGGCTTCCTGGGAATGCTGGCACACCTGTGGGCTGCCAAGGCCACTCCCAAGGGGCTGTGAGTTTTGACTGTGCTGGCACACACACCCCTCACGTGCACACAGTGGGTGCCCCAGAAAACATGACAGTGGCACTCCTGTCACTACCCAGACCCCAGGGCAGGGTGCACAAAGCCTTGATTTAGAGATGCCACCTGGAAAGCCACAGCCCCAATCCATTCCTGTCAATCCAAACCTATTGGAAATAAGACATGGGACTCAGCACTTAGCAGCATCCTCATCAGACCTTCTGGTAAATGGAAGGATTTTTCTTTAACACATGGGTTTTCTGATGTCATTTTGCTTACAGTGGACTGATCAGGGCCACTGAAGGATGAGAGAGAGAATACATGGCAGGAACAACGATTTCAACTCCAAGGAGAGGTGTGATGTGTGAAGGGGACAGGGGCAGAAGGAACAGGGTGTCAGGTGGGAGGGAGGGGTGTGGCCAGCACGGGGAGAGGAAGGGGAGGACTGCCAGTGCCTGGAGGGAGGCGACCCATTTCCATTAGAGGGGACCTCCCCTACCTCCTGGGCTCGATCCCATAATTAGCAGCAAAGGCAGCTGGCCAGGGCACGGTGCGCCGTACGGGTTTGAAATGGCAGCAGTGCCTCAAGCATTCTTCTCCGCACCTTTAGTCATTAGCTATTTGTTTCCTCCCCACAACAATTAGTGCTAATGTGACATGTGCTCATTTTTGTACGGGATAAAACTGCCATCCAGTGCGATTTGGTACAAATGAGTCAAACAAGACAGGCTCACCCTGAGCCTCCTCTTTTCTTTCTCCTGCTGGAGACCTCTCTCACCAGACACTCAGGTGTACCAGTACAGCAGCTTTGGACCTAAGTGGACTCCAGCAGCTCCATTAACCCAGAGCTTGCACCAACCCAGAATTTCCACCAAGCCAGAGTTTCCACCAAGCCAGGGCTTCCACCAATCTAGAACTTGCAACAATCCAGAGCTTCCGCCAACCCAGAGCTTCCGTCAATCCAGAGCTTCCACCAACCCAGAGCTTCCACCAACCCAGAGCTTCCGCCAACCCAGAGCTTCCACCAACCCAGAGCTTCCTCCAATCCAGAGCTTGCATCAACCCAGAGCTTCCGCCAACCCAGAGCTTCCGCCAATCCAGAGCTTCCGCCAACCCAGAGCTTCCGCCAATCCAGAGCTTCCGCCAACCCAGAGCTTCCGCCAATCCAGAGCTTCCATCCAGAGCTTCTGCCAACCCAGAGCTTCCACCAATCCGATCTTCTGCCAGCCCAGAACTTCCGCCAACCCAGAGCTTCTGCCAACCCAGAGCTTCCACCAATCCAGATCTTCTGCTAGCCCAGAGCTTCTGCCAACCCAGAGCTTCCGCCAGCCCCAAGCTTCTGCCAACCCAGAGCGTGCACCAACCCAGAGCTTCCACCAACCCAGGGCTTCTGCCAATCTAGAGCTTCTGCCAACCCAGAGCTTCTGCCCAGAGCTTCCGTCAAACCAGAGCTTCCACCAACCCAGAGCTTTTGCCAACCCAGAGCTTCTGCCCAGAGCTTCTGCCAGCCCAGAGCTTCCATCAACCCAGAGCTCGCACCAACCTATAGCTTCTGCCAACCTACAGCTTCCACCAACCCAGAGCTTCCATCAACCCAGAGCTTGCACCAACCCAGAGCTTCTGCCAATGCAAAGCTTCCACCAAGCTAGAGCTTCCACCAACCACGAGCTTCCACCAACCACGAGCTTCCACCAACCCACAGCTTGCAGCTCAGTCTCCAGAAAGGGGGGAGCTGCTCTGTGGGTGGCATTCGTTCCAGGTGCGACCCTGAGGGGATGGCCAGGCTGGGGGCTGTGCTTACTTTCCAGAGGGCAAGAGGAGACAAACCAGGGCCTGGGGCTATACACACATGCACGCGTGTGCGCACACACACACACAGAGGACACATCACACACACCCAGACACACACACACACACGCACTGCACACATCACACACCCAGACACACACACACACGCACTGCACACATTACACACCCAGAGACACACACACACACAGGACACATCACACACACCCAGACACACACACACTCTGCAAACATCACACACACTGCACACATCACACACCCAGACACACACACACACGCACTGCACACATCACACACCCAGACACACACACACACGCACTGCACACATCACACACCCAGACACACACACACACACGCACTGCACACACACACCCAGACACACACACACGCACTGCACACATCACACACCCAGACACACACACACACTGCACACATCACACAGATACCACACACACTGCACACACCTCATGACACACACACACTCACACAATGCCTTCTCCATGGCCAGGGGACCTGGGGCCTATGCCTGTGCCCGTGCCCCTCTGTCTGGGGGCCTGCCTGTAGGATGGTGGCCTCCTGAGGCTGGGCTGCATGGCAGCGTGTGGGGCCAGGTGTCTGAGCTCCATCCTCCTGGCCGCCACCACCACGCTGCTGGTGAGCTGGGGCGGCCAGAACTCAGCACCATGGTCCGGGCGTTCAGCAGCAACTTGGATTCCTCATTGCTCTGCGGCTGGGCATCCCACAGCCGGGACGGGGGCTTGGGCCTGGCGAGGCCCCTCCTGGTTCCCACAGGGTCCTCAGAGCAGGGGCTGGCTCTGCTGTCCCTTCCTCACCTTAGGAGGGCACCCACCCTGCGGGCTCAGGACCACTGCACGATTGGGTCTTACCCTAGCGCTTCTCCACAGCTCCCTCTCCAGACACAGCTCCCTGGGGAGGAAGGGCTGCCAGCAGGGTTCTGGTGACACAGCCACCTGCCCTGCAGCTGTGGCCTCTAGGCCCTGCTCTGCACCCCTCTGGCTGCTTCCTGGTGTGGATCCTGGGGCCTCTGGGCTTCCCCAGATGTCTCAGAATCGAATCAGCTTCCCTCCCTCCCAGTAGCAAACCTCAGAATGATTCAGCCCCAGGAACCTCCGGACGCTGCTGTTGCCTGGGCCCATCCATCCCCGCCAACAACCCTGCCAAGCCTGCTCCCTCCTTTCCCCTCCCATGAGAGGAGCCGTCCCCGCCTGGCCTTCCGGAAGCTTGTGGGCCTCTTGGATGGAGCATCCTGCCTCTCAGTGTTCTTTCCGATAAAGCCCCCTCGCCTATATGCTGATTTGTTTCATTTGACACCCATCAAAGGGCATCTGGGTCCCCTACCCAGGGCTGTCAAAGTTGACCCTTCTCTGGAACTGGCTGATTTGATCACCTGGGCCACCTGAAGGAGTGGGGGGACTGATGTGTGCCCCGTGCATTTAGAAGCAAGGAGGAGGGGACGGGAACTGCTGTTTCCTAGAATGGTTCTGTGATGCTGGTCTGCCTGCTGCAGTGGGGAAAGAGGACGTTCTTGCGGACCTTGACCTCCATGCCGGCAGCCGGACCCCGGAGGTGAGAGTGACTCTGCTGCACCCTGGACGCACCTCCCCCCTCCTCATTTCTCAGGCCTCCTCCACCCTTTGTGCTGTGGGGAGGGAAATAACTAGAGACATCGTCACATTGCATGTGACGGGAAGGTGACATTCTGGTCTCAGAGCCTGAGGCTGATGGCCTGTGGGGAAATTTCAGGGGAGCACAGAGAGGAAGAAAGGAGAACGGAAACCCGTCCAGGGGCCCCAGCCGGCCCTTTGCAAACAGAGGCAGGGTCAGGCGAAACCGAGGGCCAGGTCGCAGATGAAGGCTGGAGTCTGAGGTCTGGGGCCTGGGATCAGCCTGTTTTAGCTGCTGCTCGGGTGCTTTCTGCGGAGGGGGCTCATCACACTCTCCACCCATGGGTGCATTCGCATGTGGGGCACTGCTCGTGGCTGAGACCAGGGTTTGGCTCCAGTGACTATTTGTAGGTGGCCTTTCCTCTGTGTCTGATCCCCAGCTCGTGGCTGCTGTGCCTTAGTGGTGTTCCATTCCTTCCTCACGGCAGCAGCCCTCTGGTCTCAGCGGAGAGCAGGGGACATGTCCCCCCAGGACGGGCTCCTGCTTGCTCCCGAGGGGCGCCTTGGCAGGGCGGACATTGGAAGCTGAATGCGGAGGAAGCATCCGGAAGCGGCGCTCTTGGCCTCAGCCCTCCTGTCCTGGGGTGAGTCAGGATCTCTGCTGGGGAGGGCTCTGGGGAGACAGCTCTGGAATCCTCTCTGCTGGGTTCATGCAGGGCCAAGCCTGGGTTTGACCTTCATGCATGAAGGAAGGAAAGCGGGTGGAACAGCTGCGGACGTGGAGGCAGTGGCGACAACGGACTTGACTTTAACTGGAAGCTCAGGAATACTGTGGTCGTGCTGTCAAATCTCTGTTATCTCCGAAGGGGCAGCGGGGAGGTTCCCTTGTGTCAGGACAGACGGGAGGTGTGCGGGGGAGGCCGGGGGAGGCGGGTGTCTGGACTGGGGTCTGAGCAGCGCTTCAGGGAGGAGGGGGCCTAGCAGGGCAGGAAATGGCCAGATGTTGTTCTGCAGCCCCGTGGATAGGGGTCCTGGGGACAGGAGAAGCCCTTGACAGTGTCAAATAGAAAACAAATCTGGACGTAAGTCACGGGGGAATGTATTAGAAAGGATATTGCGAGAAAGCGTGGGGCCCATTGCACCAGGGAGGGCATGCCCACTTTCAGAGCGGGGAGTGCCTGAGGGTTGGGGAAGAGTGAACAGAGGGAGAGAGACTGAGCGGTGGGAGGTGGGGAAGGAAGGGGCGGGAAGGGGCCATGAGGAGAGAAGATCTGATCTGAGGCCCTCCTTTTCACAGAGGGGTTGGCTGTGGGACGAAGCCCCTTCCTAGCTCCTGGCTATCTCTTTAGGTGTCTTTTGAGTTTCACTTGTCACTGTGAAATGTCTCGTTCGTTTGGTGTTTACTAGTTCATTTCCTTTTAAACAAAGGAATTTTTCCCTCGCAGGATGCTCTACAAGTCACCAGCAGGCATGTGGAGTCACTGTTGGAGTCAGGCATCCACTCCAGTGAACTGGAGGAGAAGGGCTAGGGTCGAGGAGTATAAAACATGGTAGCCAAAGGCCTGGCTACTTGGCAGCGTTTGTGGGCATCTTTCCCTAGGGAGGGCTGTGGGCACAGGCAAATGTCTAACACAATTATCTTTTTCTTCTTCTTTCTTTTTTTTTTTGAGACAGAGTCTTGCTTAGTCGCCAAGGCTGGAGTGCAGTGGTGCTATCTTGGCTCACTGCAACCTCTGCCTCCTGGGTTGAAGCAATTCTCCCACCTCAGCCTCCCGAGTAGCAGGGATTACAGGTGTGTGCTACCACGCCCGGCTAATATTTGTATTTATGGTACAGATGGAGTTTTGCCATATTGCGCAGGCTGGTCTCAAACTCCTGGACTCAAGCGATCCTCCTGCTTCAGCTTCCCAAAGTGCTGGGATTACAGACGTGAGCCATGGTGCACGGCCTGCAGCTGTCTTTAGGTCTAATCAAATGTTCCTGAAATTTGACTTTACAAAGATCTGCTAATTCAGAAGAAAGCGCTTTACTCCCAGAACTGTGAAGCCCTGCAATGGACAGACCCAGGTTACTCTACTCAACTGTGGCTTTTCCAGGAACCGCATCCATGGGAAATCCCAACTTCATCCCACTTTAGGGAGAGCCACACATTTGTACATTCTGCATTTTACTTTTTGTATTTTTGAAAGAAGGAGCAAATACGGTCACATAAAGTAACAAAACAACGATTGTTAGAAGGGCTTTGCATGAATCCCTTATTGTTCTGCTCTGCAACCTGACTTGGCCTCTATTCCTGGATGGCCACACCCAGATTTGTTCCCTCTTCGTCAAGCCAAGCCCAGGGGCTCTTGTATATCCCTGTCAGCCTCCCAGGATCCGGCACTGGCAGGCGCTTAGCACGTATCTGTCACAGGTGGTTTAATTATCTGTTTGGACCTTCTCAAGTTACAATTCTAAGGAGTCCCAAGGAAGTAAAGTGATTTTAAAAACACAGAAAACAGTTTTCAGAATTTCTGCAGCCAGCCATGAAGGAGTAGCTAGGATGGAACTTATGCTGTCTGTTTCTGTTTTTGTTTTTTGCCAAAAGAACTAGAAAGCTGGACAAAGCAGACAAAACAACTGGCTTTGGACATCAGGACAAAAGGCTGTGCAGGGCTGGCATCCCTAAGAGATAGGAAAAAAATGAAGTAAGTTGTGCAATCAACTCTGTTTTCTGGCTGGAGGCAGTTTTCATACTGTCAGGCAGGGAGGGGGAATCCAAGCACAACATGGTGATCTAGCTGAATTGAGAAGAGTGGGCTATGGGGAGGCAGAGGTGAGACAGGGTAGCAGAGAGGAGGAAGATACTCAAATAAAGAAACTCAAATACCTGCATAAGGTCCCTTTGAGCATTCACTTAATACCAATCTGTACATGCGTAGGTGGAATTCCAGGAAGTGAATAAAGAACAGTGAGGTGTTAAGCTGAACAATTCCTAGAACTCACACCAGGCTGCAAGAAATTTGAACTCCTTCTATTCAGTTGGAGACCTCATAGAGCACTTGGGGCAATCAATAGACAATACACGGCTCACGCCTGTAATCCCAGCACTTTGGGAGGCTGAGATGGGCGGATCACCCGATGTCAGGAGTTCGAGACCAGCGTGACCAACATGGAGAAACACCGTCTCTACTAAAGATACAAAAAATTAGCTGGGCGTAGTGGCGCATGCCTGTAATCCCAGCTCCTCGGGAGACTGAGGCAGCAGAATCACTTGAACCTGGGAAGCGGAGGTTGCAGTGAGGTGAGATCGCGCCACTGCACTCCAGCCTGGGCAACAAGAGTGAAACTCCGTCTCAAAAAAAAAAAGAAAAAAAAATAGAGAATACAAAGGATCAAGCTTTAGTAGTAGGAATAAATTAACTCTAGAGTATAGGCAACTCTAGATAACCCCAAAAAAATGTAAAAGCAAGCCTCAAAAAGATCAACCTCATCTGCAAGTAACTTTATTACTTGCCAGAACAAATGTCAACACTATTTATAAAGGAAAAAAAAATCTATACGTTTATCAATGTTATATTCAAAATGCCTGTCACCCAATAAAATATGGTGAGATATGTGAAGCAAAGATTGTGATCCATAACTAGGAGAAAATATCAGTCCATCAAATCAGGCCCAGGAATGATGGGAATGATAGAATTAGTAGATAAAAGAATTTTAAATGGCTATTATAAATATGCTCAAGCATGTAACAGAAAACATGAATGCAAACGGAAGAGAAAAGGAAGGTATTGAAAAAAAAATGGGATGTCTAGAAATGAAAAATAATTTTTCAACTGAAAAGTTCACTAGAGGGGATCAACAGCAGATTAAAAACTGCAGAAAAAAAGATCAGTAAGCTTGAAGACAGGGCAATAAAACCTGTCAAAACAGAAGTATATAGAGGAAAAAGACTGGAAAAAATGAACAGAGCCTCAGGAATGTTGTCTAACATGCTTGTAATTGGAATTCAAGAACAAAAGAAGGGTGAGAGAGAGTAGCGAGAAAATGCATTAGGAAAAATAATGGCCCCCAAAGTTGTCAAATTTGATAAAAAGTGTAAACCCACAGGTCCAAAAAGTAAAACAAATCTCAAACAGCGTAAACACTAATAAAAGTATATCAAGGTATATCATAATCAAGTTGCTGAAAACCTATGATAAAAAGAAAATTTTAAGAGTGTCTAGAGGAGGAGAATCCTTACATTTTAGGGGAACAACAATAAGGTGACTGCAAACTTCTCTTTAGAAAAACGCAAGCTGGAAGGCAGTGGAATGACATCTTTAAAATACTCAGAGAAAAAGAATCTATTAACCAAAAATTTTATATTTAGCAAACATATCTTTCCAAAATGAAGGTGAAATACTTTTTCAGATACACACAAAAAATTAATATTTTTACTAGTGTGCCTATTCATCAATAAATATAAAAAGAACTTCTTTTAAGGTAAAAACGGAATCCTGGAAAACCCAATCTGAAATAAGCCAGGAAAGGAAAAATAAAAGAACAAAGAAGATGAATCAAATAGAAAACAAATATCAAGTTGGTAGACTTGAACCCAACTATGTTAATAATTATATCAAATGTAAATGGTTTAAACATTCTAATTAAAATGCAGAAACTGTCAGGCTAGATTAAAAAAGCAAGACCCAATTATATGCTAACTACAGGAAATTAGCTTTAAATACAAAGACAGAGAAATAAAAGTGGAAGGAGGAAAATGATACACCATGCAAACAGTAATCACAAGAGAGCTGGAGTGGCTAACACAGTAGACTGTAGGAAAGGAATAATATTACCAGAGATAAAGAGGGACATTTCATGATGATGAAAAAGCAAATTAATTCACCAAGAAGAAATAACAACCCTCAATTTGTATATTCCCAATAATAAACCTTCAAAATACACAAAGAAAATAATAATAGAACTGAAAAGAGAAATAGAAATCTATACTTAGAGATTTCAAAACTTCTCTCTCAATTATTAATAGTGGACAGAAAATTCATAAGAATATGGAAGACTTGAACATGCTATCAACCAACTTGATCTAATTGACATTTGTGTAGAATTCCAACTAACAAAAGCAAAATACGTATTGTTTGCAGGTGCGTATAGAATTTACCAAAGTAGATAATATTTTGACTATCAAACAATTCTCAAAGTTAAAAAGATTTAAATCAGGCAGAATATATTCTCTGACCACAGGGAATTAAACTTCCACAGTATTTCAGAAGCTAAGAGCTATACCATTTACCTGTCTATCTACTTTAAGGAACAGTGATAATTAATGTTCATAAAAATGAATTGAGGTGCTGAAAAAATCCTTATAAGGCATAAGACATGCCTTATATGTATGTCTTCAGAAAATTAAATGTAAAATAGGTATAATGTTAATATTTTATGAAATGTGCAAATGTACTCAAAATTGAGAGAGTAGTTCAAAGAAACCCATCCATATACCCGCCACTCAAATTTCACAATTATCAAGAATATAGGATATTTGCTTCACCAATTCAGTTGTTTATTTTCTCTATGCGGAAAAATTTTGAAGCAGACCTCCAATACTATACGATTTTACTGCTGCATATTATAGTTTGCCTCTGTAAAAACTGGATATTTTCTCGAGTGATCCCAATTCCATGGTCACACTTACTGTAAGTCATAGTAATTTTTTGTGATCATAAGATCTTGGAGCTGTTGCAGTAGGGGGGAAACCTCAGTGCAGAACTAAGCTCAGCTCTAAATACAGCAAAGACAGCTGGGAATTCATAGCCAAAGAGCAAAGCAAAGGGGTCAGTGGATGGAAAAGTACTAACAGGAACTTAATTCCATGTTTTATTAGTTTGCTAGCGCCACCAAAATAAAATCCACAGGCTGGATGGACATTAAATAACAGAAATTTATTCTCTCACAGTTTTGGAGGCTGGAAGTCCAAGATCAAGGTGTCATCAGGTTTGGTTTCTTCTGAGCCCTCTCTCCTTAACTGTCTTCTCCCTATGTCCTCACATGATCTTCCCTTTGTGTGTGCACATGTCTGTGTCTCCTAATTTCCTCTTCTTATAAAGACACCAATCATATTGGATTAGGTCTCATTCATATCACATTATACTTTAATAAATTATTTTATTTTTTAGTTTTTTATTTATTGATTTTTGAAACAAGGTCTTACTCTGCTGCCAAGGCTAGAGTGCAGTGGTGTGATTACAGCTCACCAGGCTCCCTGGGGTCAGGTGATTCTCCCACCTCAGGGACTACAGGCACATGCCACCATGCCTGGCTAATTTTTGTATTTTTTTGTAGAGATGGGGTTTTGCCATGTTACCCAGACTGGTCTCTGTCTTCTGGGCTCAAGCAATCCACCGACCTCAGCCTCCCAATGTGCTGAGGTTACAGTTGTGAGCCACTATGCCCAGCCCTTAATAAATAATTTAAAGAATGTATCTTTAGATATAGTCACATTCTGAGGTACTACAGGTTAGGAATTTAACATGTAAATTTTGGGGAGACACAATTCAGCCATAACAGACATCAAGGGTAGGAAGGTTCTTGCTAAAGGCAGGGCAATGACCTAGATATCAAAGGTTGGGGATGAGGGATTTGACCAGATACCAGAGATGGAGGGATTCTCACTAAGCTGACCTAACTCGTTTCTTGCTAAAACTGGGCTCATCAGCCCAAGGGTGTGGAGGGCTAAGGTTGAGGCCTAGTTGAGAAGGGGGCTCAAAGAAGACTAAAGTTTGGTCAAGGAGGGTGTCTTTGTCAAAGGAGACCTCCCCATTTTCAACCAAATCCCCTGTTTCAACTTTCAACTCTCTCCTTCACCCCACCTTCCATAATACCTGATATATCCAATCCTGAGCCATTCTGGGATTCTGAAGTATATCCCGAAGTAGAAACTGAGTGTCTGTGAAAGGCAAACACATCTTGTCTTTGTTTTTTTGAAATGACTTTTGTTCCTCCTTGCTGAAGAACAGTTTAGCTGGGTATAAAAATTCCAGGTTGGTAGTAATTTTTCTTCAGCATGTTGTTACATCACTTTCAAGTCTTTTGGAAAGACTTGGAATATTGTTCTTAATGAGTCCATTGGCAGGTTTTTTCTCCTTTTTAGGAAATCTGTCTTTCTCCTAGTAGCTTTTAATAATTTTGTTTTTTTATTATCATGGATGTTTGTTTTTATTTATTCTGTTTGGCATTTGATGTGCCCTGAGTACTCATGTCTTCAATTCTGAAAAATTCTTAGCCATAACCTCTTCTTACAGTGCCACACTGATATTTCCTGTATTTTCTAAAATTGAAATTCCTAATAAGCTAATGTTAAATCTTCTCTATCTGGCTTCATCTTTTAACTTTTCTTTCATATTTTCCTTCTGTTGACATCTGTATATTATTGTCTCCATCAGTTTCTTGCTAAAAACTCCCAATTTACCAGTTCCCTCTTCTTTATGTAGTATTTATCCCACCCATTGAGATTTAAAAATAATTTCATGACCATATTTTTCATTTCTAACATTTTAAAATTGGTTCTTTCCTATATTCTTCTGTCCTTCAAGATTTTTTTTTATTATTTTAATTTTTTTTGAGACACAGCCTCACTCTGTTGCTTAGGTTGGAAGTTGGAGTACAGTGGTGCAATCATAGCTCACTGCAGCTTTGAACTCTCGTGCTCAAACATTCCTGCTGCTTCAGTCTCCTAATTAGCTGGGACTGCAGGCACATGCCACCATGTCCAGCTAATTTTCAAATTTTTTTTTTTTTTTTTTTTTTTTTGAGACGGAGTCTCGCTCTTTCACCCAGGCTGGACTTCAGTGGCGCTATCTCGGCTCACTGCAAGCTCTGCCTCCTGGGTTCACACCATTCTCCTGCCTCAGACTGCCGAGTAGCTGGGACTACAGGCGCCAACCACCGCGCCTGGCTAATTTTTTGTATTTTAAGTAGAGACAGGGTTTCACCATGTTAGCCAGGATGGTCTCGATCTCCTGACCTCGTGATCCGCCCACCTTGGCCTCCCAAAGTGCTGGGATTACAGGCATGAGCCACCGCACCTGGCCAATTTTCAAATTTTTTAATAGAGACAGGATCTTGCTATGTTTCCCAGACTGATCTTGAACTCCTGGGCTGAAGTGATCCTCCTGCCTTGGCCTCCCAAAGTGCTGGGATTACAGGTGTGAGCCACTGCACCTGGCCTCTATTCTTCTATTCTTTACTGATATCCTTTTTGGCTTGTTTGCAACTCTCTGAGGATTTTAAACATATATAAGGTTGTGACTCTTTTGGTTGGTTTATTGTTTTAATTTCTCCCATTTGTTGTGTTTATCGGCTGGGTTTCCTGATGTTGGTTTTTCTCATGTGTTCTGAAAGTTTAGTTTGTAAATTCACCTTAATTAGGTGTTTCCTTTTTTATTTTGCTTTTGCCTCTTCCCCACTGCTTGCCCCTCTGTGTGTGAGTTTTAGCAACCACCAATGGGTTCACAACTTAGAGCCAAGTCCTACCTCAGCAGACTGGGGTTTCCTCCCCGGGGGACCTGAAGCTCTGTGGCTGACCTGATCAGGTGCTGGTTACATGGCTATCTCTGTCCCCTGAAGGTAACAGCTTCTTTTAGACCCCCAGTTACAGGCAGAGAAGGCTAACACAGCCCAGTCCTAGCCACTGCCAGCTCCCTGGCCCATGCAGCAAGCTGGCCTCAGCCTGAATCTAGAGGCAGAGCCATCAGTGCCCATTGACCAGGCCAGCGGAGAGAGTATCTCCTGCTACTTCTGCCTTCTGAAGTCCTGAGTCTATGGCTTCAACTTCAGATTCCTGTTGAGAGTTTCTGTTCTTTTTCAGGCTCCATTAACTTGCTTTTGAGCTCAGCTCTGCCTTGTTAAACATAAAAAGATTCACCATCGATAGGAGTTCGCGTGGGGTGGCTCCAGCATGAACTTGGCCAGCAGTTCTGCCGTGTTGTCCCTCACGCCTCTGAGTGGGGCTCCTGGCTCATATTCTCACAGCAGGCCTCTCCCCTCAACCCCTAACAGTGCAGCTTTCACATAGGGCCCCACCGCCTCTTGTCTAAATGAGCATCACCCTCTTCTGCCTGCCTGCAGCTGGGTGCCTGGCCAGCCTATGCTTTGCATTGTGAGGAGGTCAAGCCCTTGTTAAAGAGCATGTGAAGGCTCTCAGTGGACCTCAGGATAAAACCCTGACTCCTCCGCGAGGCTCAGTTTCTCCTTGTTCAGGCCCCTCCAGCTCCAGGGCTTTCCCAGTCCTGGGCTTTTCCTTCTGTGGCTTCCCAACTCCGTGTCTGGGATTAGGTGGCCTGGGTATTTCTACTGCAGGTTTCCCACGCTGAGCCACACTGTAGGATCTCCTGTCCTCCGCTGGAAATGCCCTGGGGTTGCATCTCATGCTCCTGTAAATGTGGCCAGGAAGGAGACCCAGGGTTCTCCAGGGCTCCAGGGTTCTAGGGTCTCTGGGGCTTGGCACGTGTTTATATCATTAGCGTTAGAAGGCTTGGTCTCTCAGACAGCCCCACCTTCACGGTTCTAGCTCCTCAGTCCCACCACAAAGTGAATCACCCTTAGGCAGGGGTGGGACGGGAATGGTCATGAATGAGGGACCCTCTGCACCTGTGACTCAACCAAGCAGGGAAACAGCTTCTGTCTGAAAGGGGGAAAAGATCTGAAGAGCTAACGTATTGACAGAAGAGCCATCTCAGTGAGAAGCAGAGGCCGAAAATGAAAGTCAATATCCACCCAGAGAAAATCAAACGCCACACAACCTCCAGCGACTTCCCCGTCAATGCAAACCCCTTTGCTGTTCATATTTCAGTAAAGGGCACTCACTTCTTGGGACCCTGATTCATGGATCTATTTGGGCACAGTGCCTGCCCCTTTGTTCATAAGATCCATGTGCAATTAGAAGGAAGAAAATTCATTATTCATTCAGCATGGTCCTGGTATCCCTGAATCATAAGAAAAACAATTATCACTACAAAATAGCTATATGACACTACAGGGTAATGTCGGTTGTACTCAAGACACCTTACAGTGGGGAAAATCTTTCCTTGCTTATATGAAATCGAATCAGCGGTGATGTGTGGAAGACGTTTGATCAGGACCTGCCAGTGGGTGACGAGGGCGGCATAAGGAGGACTGTGGTGGGCACCCCCTCACCCACCCCTTCTCAGTGTCTCCCCCCACAGAGCAAGTGCAGGGCTGCCCAGGGCTGGGGGCACTATAAGAGTCTGAAGTGGCTTTTATAAATGAGTGATTCGATTGAAGAGCAATTTTAAAATTTACCTATGTATTTTGGTAGAAGAATCTCTATTTAGAGAGGGAGATGACAGTGGCCTTCCCAGGCTTTGAGAGGTGAGTTGAATTTTCTGTCTCGATAAAGAGAAAGCTTTTCTCTTGGGTTCATATATATAAATAGCCAGTTGTCTAAAACACGTATAAAAACCCAATCTTACAAAATGTAAAAAATAAAAAAAAGCCAATTGTCTTTGGGTTTTCTAAATTTTCCTGCAAGTTCTGTGTGTGGGGCGGTGGCCCCTAATTTTAGTTAAATTTGCTTTGCTTTTCTCAGACGGCCTCCCTTATACTGGAACTTGCAGACTTTTCTGTCGGCCTCTGATCTGACCTCCAAAGGAAGTGGCTGAAGGGGATGGTGGAGGAGGCCAGGACTTCAGGGACCCACAGCCATCACCTCCCTCCCCTGCCCCCTACACACCAACTCTCTGGAAAACAGCAGGTAGAATTGTTCCCACTGAGTGGTCAATGCCAGAGGCCACATCAACATGCTATCTATGAGAACTTTCCAGATCTTAGTCAAAAGAAATCAAAGTTCTAATGCTGGAGTTCCAGGCTCCAGCTGGGCTGCTGGTGGGGAGGAACCCTGTTGTTGGGGACAGAACCCATTCGTGCCCTCCTGGGCTACCCCCGGAATCTAGCCGTGCATAGGCTTCTGCATCCACCATCCGGTTCTGGGCAATGTAAATTTCACATGTGCGTGATCCAGGTGGGCTCCCCGTGTGTTAGCTTGTTTTCACACTGCTATAAAGAACTGCCTGAGGCCAGGCGCAGTGGCTCACACCTGTAATCCCAGCACTTTGGGAGGCCAAGGAGGGCGGATCACGAGGTCAAGAGATCGAGACCATCCTGGCCAACATGGTGAAACCCCATCTCTACTGAAAATATAAACATTAGCTGGGCGTGGTGGCGGGTGCCTGTAATCCCAGCTACTCAAGAGGCTGAGGCAGGAGAATGGCGTGAACCTGGGAGGCAGAGGTTGCAGTGAGCCAAGATCCTGGCACTGCACTCCAGCCTGGGCGACAGAGCGAGACTCTGTCTCAAACAAACAAAGAAGCAAACAAACAAACAGAACTGCCCGAGGCTGGGTAATGTAAAAAGAGAAGAGGTTTAATTGACTCCCAGTTCCACATGGCTGGGGAGGCCTCAGGAAACTTTCAATCATGGCGGAAGGCAAAGCGGGAGCAAGTACCGTCTTACATGGCAGCAGAAGAGAGAGAGAGCGAGGGGGGAACTGCCAATCACTTTTAAACCATCAGATCTTGTGAGAACTCCCTCACTGTCCTGAGAACAGCATGGGGAAACCATTCCCATGATCCAATCCCCTTCCACCAGGTCCCTCCTCCGATACACAGGGATTACAGCTTGAGATCAGATTTGGGTGGGGACACAAAGCCAAACCATATCATCCAGGCTGCAGGAAGGGCCACTGGGTGGACAACAGAGGCAATGACCACACGTGCCCCTCTGTGGTGTTTGAGGGGACTCCCCCAAGGCAGACTGGGTCAGCTCAAGTGGATTGTGGGTGGACACTCAGGTGACCAGTTTAGGCGACCGAGCTAAGGGCCTTTACACCTCCTCCTTCTTGAGCCTTGGACTTTGGTGCCCACCTTCCATGGGGCAGACAAAGGGTGGTGCCCTGCTGGGACCGGAGCCCTGCCTGGAAGCCAGAGTAAATGGCACATCCATTTTGGACTGGTGGCTGCTCTTGCAGGTGCTGGAGCTCTTTGTCCTACTGGCGCAGCTCTCCAGCGCCTCCGTCACTCTCGCCAACAGGTTTGTCACGGTGCAGGTGTTTTCTTTTCCTCTCCTACAAGCTGACCTAGTGGAGCTCGCTGGGGGAGGTCAAGTGTCTTTCGTCCCCGTTGCATCACAGGACAGTCTTTATTATTAGCCAAGGGAGGGGGTAGGTGGGGGAGAAGCCAATCAAGCCTTTGGAGGGTCTGCAGCTGAATCGGCACTCAGACCCCCGTGGTGTGAAATGGGGATGGGGGGACGAGTGGGCGCAGCCACTGGGAGCATTGATGGAGGTGAAGAGAGGGGAGCGAAGCAGCTGAGCAGTTCCAAAGGCGTGTTGTGTTTCTCTTTTCTGCCTCTTAGGCCAGTTAGTGGGACACGGCCAGTCCCTTCTTCCCTCACCTTTCAGCGGGAAGGTGCCACCTGCCCAGTGAGCCGTCGGGATGACCCAGGGCAGGCACTGCAGCCTCTGGCCAAGCAGGTGCCCAGGCAGCACTGGTAATCATATGTTTATTGTTCTTTTCTGCAGTAGCAGTCACCCCCTTCTCTCTCTCTCTCTCTCTCTTTTTTTTTCTGGGGGACAGAGTCTCGCTCTGTTGCCAGGCTGGAGTGCAGTGGCGCAATCTCGGCTCACTGAAACCTCCACCTCCCAGGTTTGAGCAATTCTCCTGCCTCAGCCTCCTGAGTAGCTGGGACTACAGGTGTGCACCACCACACTCAGCTAATTTTTTGTATTTTTAGTAGAGACAGAGTTTCACCATGATGGCCAGGATGGTCTTGATCTCCTGACCTCGTGATCCGCCTGCCTCAGCCTCCCAAAGTGCTGGGATTACAGGCGTGAGCCACTGCTCCCAGCCACCCCCTTCTCTTAAACGGTTCCTCTCTGACCCATGCTCCCACGCGGATCCATGAACAAGAAGGGCTGGGTCTGTGGCTGGGATTTGGGGTCCTTCCAGAAGCTGCTTTTCCACTCTTTTGGCCAAATGTTCCCCTTCCCCTGTTGCCAAAACTGATTTTATGGTCTAATTAGATGAGGGAGACACCTCTCTGGAGCCTAGGATTGAAGCTTCAAAGCTATTTTCAAGGCTGACGTTGGAAGATCCTGGAAACACTGGCCCTGTTCTGGGCATCATTCATTTCCCGGAGACATGACCAGCAAATCTGTTCAGATGAGACAAGTCCATGTGGCTTGAGGGCAGTGGGAGTGGATGCTGGTGAGACTGTCCTGATGGTGTCTGTCCAGGGAAAAGCAGGAGGACTCCTGTTGCTGAGTGCACCCAGCTCGAAGCTCGGGGTTCCCCCTGCCTGGGAGGAACAGGGGGTCCCAGCTCAGCAGTGGAAAGAAGCTCGGGGTTCCCTCTGCCTGGGAGGACCAGGGGGTCCCAGCTCAGCGGTGGAAAGAAGCTCAGGGTTCCCTAAGCCTGGGAGGACCAGGGGGTCCCAGTTCAGCTGTGGAAAGGAAAACTGGCCCCGCCGGATGGAGGATGTGTGTGGGGGGCTGCCTGGGGTCAGAGAAGGGGCTGGGGTGGTGGTCAATTGAGTGACCTGGATCAGGGATGTAGAGTGGGTGGGAAAGATGGGGAGGAGAGGTCTGGTTCATGACATTTAAGAATCTTTGAGAGTCTTGTCCCAAGAATGTTTCACCTGCCAGATGGGTGAAAACCTCTTCTGAGAAACAGGTGTCTTGTTTTCTCAACCAGAGAGTCAATAATTATCATCTTGCCATAAGCATCTGGGTCTCAAACTTTCTGCTCTTCTATCCTTGACCTCCAACGATGAGCAAGATTCCCATCGAAGCTGAGCTGCTCCTTCAGGACCTGGGGGTCACCCCTGGGAGAACTGTCACTCATGCCCACGGCTTTGGATGTTGACCAGTCTGGTGTCATGAAGTCAGACCTGAGTGTCACGCAGAGATAGGCGGTGAGAAGTAAGGGTAGGCCCTGCTGTGACTGCAACTTAGGAGTAAATGCGTCACCTGGACCGACGGCAGGAAGTGCGGACAGTGGGAGGCCCATAGGTAAGGTCTCAGATGACCCTGGGCCATCCTGGCCCTGCTGTTTGCTATGTGGACTTAGCTTCACGCGGCCTCCCCATCTACGGCTCAATTTCCCCTCCAGGAGACAGGCATCCCAGCCTGCCTGGTGACTCTGGGCAGGGAAAGCAGCAGAGCTACCTGCCCCCGGCTCTGCGGGGGTGGGACGTGTGAATCTCTGGGGTGTTTTGAGATGACTTTTTGTGTTGTTGGTGATCTGCTGTTAACATGGGAGACAGAGTTGACGTTTTCTGTCCCAGACCTGGGACGAAGCTCTTGGGCGCGGACACAGCGTTCCTCAGTGGCTCTTTGATCGCAGCCCTGCGCCCCACTGTGTAGCGTTGAGAGGCCACTTCCACCAGCCTCTGTCCAGCTCCACTTGTGACCAGGTGCAAGAGGTTCCCGAGCCAGCATCCTGAACGACATTTTGTCCCATGTTTAGAGTCGAATCCTGTGATGTCTTTGGGTAAACATTACTGGGCCCATTTCAAGGATTGTGAAACCGACGGGAAAGGAGAGACCTCTGCGTCCAGGTGGTGGAGAACAAGGACAAGGGCCCATGGCTCCAAACTCCGGTCCGGGGCCCTTCCCGTCCCAGCACGCTGGCGAGGGGCAGGACCACGGACCACAGGCTTATTTTATTTTATTTTTTTCTTTGTCTGGAACACTCTGAATCTGATATTTAAAAATTGATCATGATTCATAGCCAGAGATGGGGGCTAACTGTCTCCTAGCTTCCCCAGCGTTTCTGAAGAAATCCATTAAGACTGTCCAGAGGGACAATGGCAGGATCTGTTAGCATCCCCCACCATGTCCCCTTGGACCTTCCCTCTGTGCCAGGCCACCGCGGCCAGCCTCCTGGTCATTTTGTCCCAGCATCTGGAAAGTGCTCAGCGTCTGTGGCTGCCCTCCGGCCGGTGGGGTAGCTGCAGTGTGGGACAGTGTTGCCTGGCAGGGATTGGCCCCGTACCTGTGGTGGCAGCCTGCTTGGCTACACAGGGCTGCTGGGGGCCCCACTTCCCTGTCTCAGTTCTCAATCCCCTGCCGGGGGGCCTGGAGTCACACCCCGTGTCTAGGAGTGTCCTCACCTGCTTGTCCTGGGCTGCTGCTGCGTCCCATGGAGCAGTGGCACAACACACGCCTTTGTAAGAAGATGGCAAATGCCTGATCGTCCCTCTCAGCAGTGTGGCTGGTGTCAGGGCAATGGGCATGGGACCCAGCTGTGGCTCAGGTCTGGCCTCACGTGCTCCTGCCCCTGGGCCAGCACCCGGCTGTCTGGGCTGCGGTTCTGAGTCTGTCAGTGGGATAAGGATGTGCACCTCGTCCGGGAAGTGTCTGCGCCTCCTGTGGAGCACGCACTGACTTAGAACTTCTCCGTTGGGATTGCTTTTCGTCCTGTTATCAGGCCAGTGACTCAGTCCTGCTCCATCTTCCAGAGGAGGAGACAGAAGCGCTACGAGGTTGAGTCACTCGTCCAAGTTGACACAGTGGCCTGTCTGAGTCCAGAGCCTGCGCCGTGGCCCCACGCAGCCTCTCTGCCTCCCGGTGCCGTGAGTTTGCCTGGGTAAAGCTGGCTGCATACGAGCCTCTGTCGTCACGGGCTCCTACTTTAAGGTGCCGTCCTGTGCGGCTGCCAAAGGGAACAACGTTGTCAGAACCTCTTCCCCCGGGGAGTCCGGAGCTGCTTGGTGCTGGGGGGCTAGCCAGTGACCTTGCTCCCTGATCTTGGCACACACGAGGCAAATCTGAGTCACCCACCCAGTCCCCAAGGTGTCAGCCCCAGGACAAATGGAAAGCCAGTGGTGACCTGAGGAACAGGAGCAAGGCAGGCTGGACCAGGTCAGGGCATGGAGAGAGCTGGCCCAGGATAGGAGGGGCCCTCCCCAGGTGTCACAGGAGGGGTGCTGTTTACTATGTGGACAACTGGTGCTAATTCGTTGTTCACTGTTTTTGATATACATTGCTTGGAATCAAGGCTTGGCAAAGGCCTCTGAGTTCTGGCCCTGCCCCTGGCCAGGTCTGGGAGAGGGAACTCTTCCCTCTCTGAGCCTGCTCCATGCCAGCCTGTTCCCCGAGCCAAGAGAGCTGTGGGTTGTCACACACCGAGGGTGGGCCTGGGCTAGTCTGCTTTCTGTGGCCATGGAACTGGAGGGCCCAGGCATTCACCCATCTCCAGGCTGTTCTGACCTTGGAGAGTGGGCAGAGATGCTGTGCTTGGGGTGTGGGCCTCCCAGGAAACGTACGTGTTGGTGACCTGTGCAATAGGACAGCGTGGTAACTAAAAAGAAATGCATTTTTAATGGTGAAATTGTGGCCCACTGCCCAGTGGGATTCCTCTGTTCACTCCGGGAGGCAGGGTTTGGCTTTGCTTGCAGTGCCCAGGGCCCAGTCTCATGGCCTGTGACTGCCTGTCTCCCCCCGGCCGCTACCCAGCGAGAGCTCACACCTCATCCAGCTCCAGGAGCACAGAGTGTGGCAGCTGGGCGGAGTAGAGGAGTAGAGGTGTGGCAGGTGTGGCTCCCTGTGACCTTGGATAAGTCACAAGTGGCCTCCAAGCCTTCTTGCCTTGGGCTTACAATGGGATGTTCCTGCCACCAGGTGGAGCGGAGCCCCCGAGAGCCGGCACAGCATTTCTGCCCAGCTCTTTAGCATACAACCTCACCCGCCACTGTGCAGCGTTCAGAGGTCACTGCCGCTGGCCTCTGTCCAGCTCACTTGTGACCTTCCCTGGGATGTGCGAGAGGAGGGCGTGAGCAGGGTGGCGTGAGCAGGGTGGCGGCCGTGCGTCACCTGCCAGGAGTTCCCGGTGGGTGCTGGAGCCTGCGGAGCAGCCCTGGGCAGCAGGCAGTTTGCATGGCTTTTTGCGTTTTTTGTTCATTTGTTTTTGATAGGGAAAAAGAAAGGAAGGAAGAAAGAGAGGGAGGGAAGGAGAGAGGCAAGAGAGAGAGAGGAGGGGAAGAAGGGAGGAGTCGGGGGAGAGAAAGGCATTTCAGAGGGGAGAGAAGTCCCTACAGGCAAGCCAAGTCCCCTAAGTGCTGTGGGAGGGGCACTCCTTAGCCGACTGGCTGCCAGGTCTCCCGGGCAGGGCTCCCCTCGGCCACCCTCCTCCCACCTTGGTGCCACGGGCAGCCTGCCAATGTCAGCTGGCCTTGGGGAGCTGGGGAGGGGCTGGTGCTACCCTGGGCTGCTGGTGGAGCCCTCGTCCAGAGAGGATGTGCTGGTCTACCCGGGGGGCAGCCAAGTCCACAGCACAGCTCTGCCACGTGGCCTGTGTTACCCAAGGCTAGAGTAGCCTCCTCACCTTGGTTCTGCTGTTCATCCTTGCCCTGATCTGGCTTGGGACAGTCACTGCAGGGAGCTGAGGGAAGCCCCTCTCTCACCTGAGGCTTCAGGCCCTGGAGTTAAGCCCCTCTCACCACAGACACACTCACCCCGTGCTGTTAGGCTTCCGGAAGTAAGAAGGGCTGTGTGCAGGGACCACACCTGGGCTTCAATCCTGACTCCTCCCAACCTCTAGTTGTGTGGCCTTCAGAAAATTATTCCCTCATCCCCAGCTTCTGATGAGACCTGCAATGACCAAACTGCAGAGTTGTTCAGAGGATCGAAGCAACTAATAAGAGGGACAGTGCCCAGCAGGGTGGCTGGCAGAGAGGCACTGGCAAATGTTAGTTTCTGCTTTTCAGCTATTGAGATCTCCGACAGTGATGCCATAAA